>NC_000006.12:49453939-49756969 GCF_000001405.40 Homo sapiens | reverse complement strand
GTCCTCGCTTCTTCCTGGGCAGGGCCAACCAACCTGGGACTCCAGTACAACCACCCTACCCCCACCTGACCACTTCAATCAGAGGCAGCCCAGCATTTGTTTGAGGATGAAATCCCACAGTCAGCTTGCAACCCCTGCACCACTGTAGTTGCAGTGGTACCATCCTAATAGCCCTTGGGCTGGGAAAAGAACAAAGGGCCTAGTCACTACATTGGCACCTCCAGCACATCAAGGCCACCATACAGAGAGGTGCCTAGCCATTCTTTGCTGGGAACTCCCAAACCCCACTCTTTACCAGGCAGAGCTCCCAGTTCATGACCAAAGAACAGTCACCCCACCCACAGCTGAGCATAAACTACTGGTAGTGGCCCAGAGTTTCCCTGGGAAGAGGCTCCCAGAAGCATCTGACAGCACTTCTGCCACTGCCACAGCAGTGGCTCTATCCCTGCTGCCCTTGTTCTGGGGAAGAAACAAAGACCTGAGGGCTACACCCAAGCTTACAGCATGCCACAGTCACCATATGGAGAGGAGACCAGTCTCTCCTCCTGGTGAGCCATCAACCCCCTGCTCCCCAACAAGCAGAGCCTCAAGCTCATGCCAGCAAGGCATCCACACAACTGCCCTGGCTGAAACTTCCAGCAACAGTGGCTTCATGTTTCTCAGAGGTGAAGCCCCCAGGGGCAACCGAAAGCCTCTCTGCCACTGCAGAGAGAGTAGCAGTGGTACTTCCCATACTAACGAAGGAGAAAAGAACCTAAGTGCCTTATCCACAGCTCCAACAAGCAGCAGTCAACCCAGAGGAAAGAAGACCAGGTCCCATTCACCCACCCACAGTGCTTATCATCAGGCACAGAACTCCTGGCTTGAGCCTACCACACCGACCCCCATCCTGAGCTGATTACACTGATCAATTGATGATCTGCATCTCTCTGGGGCAGAGCCCCCAGAAGACAAGTAAGAGACCTCGTCTTCAACCACTGCTAAGGTAGGTCACTTCCTCTGTTGCCTTCAAGTTAGGGAGGAAACATAAACCCTGAGATCTCCCCAGAGCTGTGGTGGGCAGTCTGGGAGTACCAAGCTATGATCTACAACCAACACTCAAGTGAAAGAAGGGTCCACAGTTTCAGAGTATTGAGTACTGAGAGGCAGCTGCAACTGTGAGAAAATATAAGACAGCCACATGACTGAGCAAGAGCCTGCCTATTGACCAAAATGCCTAAGAGCCACCTACTGGATCACATCCCAAAGCTTTGACACCAAAAATACCTTGCTAACATAACCCCCTGTGAAACCAAAGACAAGAAATAAGTCAGCAGCAAATTAAAAAAGACTCTGCACAAAGCCTTAGCCCTGTGAAAACACCCAGCAAAGGAGGCTATAGACTGTACTCAATCTACACCACAATTAAAGGAACACCCATCATACACAGATATGAGAAAGAAACAATGCAAGAATTCTGGCAACTCAAAAGGCCATACACACACACACACACACACACACACACACACACACACACACACACACACACACATATATATATACTCTGATGATTATGTGTCTTGGGGATAATCTTAGTTTTTTAACCCAAAAATAGTTATTTTATATATTTATTTATTTATTTTTGAGATGGAGTCTCCCTCCATCATCCAGGCTGGAGTGCAGTGGCATAATCTTGGCTCACTGCAACCTCTGCCTTCTGGGTTCAAGCAATTCTCCTGTCTCAGCCTCCCAAGTAGCTAAGACTACAGGCATGTGCCAGCGCATCTGGCTAATTTTTGTATTTTTAGTAGAGACGGGGTTTCACCATGTTGGTCAGGCTGGTCTCAAACTCTCGACCTCAGGTGACCCACCTGCCTCAGCCTCCCAAAGTGCTAGGATTGCAGGCATGAGCCACTGCTCCCAGCCAGGCCAGAGTATGTTATGTCCTCCAAACTATCACACTAGTTCTCCAACAGGGGTTCTTAATCAGACTGATTTGGCTGAAAGGACAGAAATAAAATTTAAAATACGGCTGGAAGTGAAGATCACCAAAACTCAGAAGAACAGCAAAATCCAATAAAAGCAAACCAAGGTCTGGGTGTGGTGGCTTATGCCTATAATCCCAGCACTTTGGGAGGTTGAGGCAGGCGGATCACCTGAGGTCAGGAGTTTGAGACCAGACTGGCATGTGAAAAACACACTAGAAGACTTTCACAATACACTCACAATATTAACAGCTGAATAGACCAAGCTGAGGAAAGAATCTTGAAACATGAAGACAGGCTCTTTGAAATATGACAGTCAGATAAAAATAAAGAAAAAAATGAAAAGGAATAAACAAAACCTCTGAGAAGTACAATATTATGTAAAAAGGCAAAATATATGAATCACTGGCATCCCTGAAAGCAACGGGAGAAAGCAAACAACTTGTAAAATGTATTTCAGGACCTCGTCCTTGATAACTTCCCCAACCCCAATAGAGAGGGCAACAGTCAAATTCAGGAAATACAGAGGACTCCTGCAAGATTCTACACGAGAAGATAATCCCCAAGACACATAATCGTCAGAGTCTCCAAGGCCGAAATGAAAGAAGGGATATTAAAGGCAGCTAGAGAGAAACGGCAGGTCACCTACAAAGGAAGCCCAACCAGGCTAACAGCAGACCTCTCAGAAGAAACCCTATAAGCCAGAAGAGATTAGGAGCATATATTCAACATTTTTTTTTTGAAGGAGTCTCACTCTGTCAAAAGGCTGGAGTGCAGTGGTATGATCTCGGCTCACTGCAACTTCCACCTCCCTGATTCAAGTGACTCTTCTGCCTCAGCAACCCAGGTAGCTGAGACTACAGGTGCACACCACCACACCCAGCTATTTTTTGCATTTTTAGTAGAGACAGGGTTTCACCATGTTGGCCAGAATGGTCTTGATTTCTTGCCCTCGTGATCTGCCCACCTCGGCCTCCCAAAGTGCTGGGATTACAGGCATGAGCCGCCATGCCCAGCCTCAACATTCTTAAAGAAAAAAATTTCAACCAAGAATTTTATATCCAGCCAAATTATGCTTCCTAAACAAAGGAGAAATGATCCTTTTCAGATAAGCAAACACTGAGGGAGTTTGTTGCCACCAGATCTGCCTTACACTGTATCTTGAAAAAAGCACTAAATAAGGAAAGGAAATATGGTTACTAGACAAAACAAAAACACACTTAAGTACATAGATCAGTGACACTATAAAGCAGCCACACAAACAAGCTGGCATAATAATGAGCTAACAACACAATGACAAGATCAAATTTACACATACCAATACTAACATGGAATGTAAACAGGCTAAGTGTTCCCATTTAAAAGGCACAGAGTGGAAGCTGGATAAAAAAAAGCAGGACCCAGTGATATACTGTCTTCAAGAGACCCATCTCACATGCAATGACAATCATCTGAAAATAAAGGGATGGAGGAAAATCTACCAAGCAAATGAAAATCAGAAAAAAAGCAAGAGTTGCAATCCTAATTTCAGGCAATACATACTTTAAACCAACAAATATTTAAAGAGACAAAAAAGGCATTATATGATGGTAAAGTGTTCAATTGAACAAGAAGAGCTAACTGTCCAAAATGTATACGCATCAACACGGGAGGACCCAAATTCATAAAGCAAGTTTCTGAAGACTTAAAAAGAGACTTAGACTTCCACACAATAATGGTGGGAGACGTTAACACCCCACAGACAGTATTAGACAGATAATTGAGGCAGAAAATTAATGACAATATTCAGGACCTGAACTCAACATTGGACCAAATGAATCTGCTGAACCTTTAAAAAACACTGCACCCAAAAACAACAGAATATACATTTTTCTCATCACCATAATGCACATACTCTAAAATTCACCACACAATAATACATAAAACAATCCTCAGCAAATACAAAACAATCAAAATTATACCAAAGACTCTTAGACCACAGTACAATAAAAATAGAAATCAAGACTAAGAAAAATCACCAAACAAGATGCAATTACATGGAAATTAAACAACCTGCTCTTGAATTACTCTTGGATGAATAATGAAATTAAGGCACAAATCAAGAAGTTCTTTGAAAATAATGAGAACAAAGACACAGCATACTAGAATCTCTGGGACAAACCCCAAGGAAGTATTAGGAGGGATATTTATAACACTAAATGTCCACATCAAAAAGTTAGAAAGCTCTCAATTTAACAACCTAACATGACAACCAAAAGAACCACAGGATGAAGAGCAAACCAAACACCAAGCTAGTAGAAGACAAGAAATAACCAAAATCAGAGCTGGACTGAATGAGATTGAGACACAGAAAACTATTCAAAAGATCAACAATCCAGAAGTTGGGTCTTTGAAAAAATTAATAAAATAGACAGGCTTCTAGTTAGACTAACAAAGAAAAAAGAAGGAAGATCCACAAAAGCACCATTAGAGATGACAAAACGGATGTTAACACTGACCCCACAGAAATACAAATGACCATCAGAGACTAATATGAACATCTCTATGCACACACCAGGAAATCTAAAAGGGATCTAAAATCTAAAAGGGATGGATAAATTCCTAGACAAATACACCCTCCCAAGACTGATCCAGGAAGAAATTGATTCCCTGAACAGACCAGTAATGAGCTCTGAAATTGAATCAGTTATAAATAGCCTACCAATGATAAAAAAGCCAGGACCAGAGAGATTCATAGCTAATTTCTACCAGATTTACAAAGAAGAACTGATATTTTTACCACTGAAACTATTACAATGAGTTGAAGAGGAGAGACACCTCTTCAACTCACTATATGAGGCCAGCATCATCCTGATATCAAAACCTGGCAGAGACCCAACAAAGAAAAATATTCAATCTATGATGAATATTGATGCAAAAATCCTCAATGAAATACTTGTGGCCAGGCACGGTGGCTCATGCCTGTAATCCCAGCACTTTGGGAGGCCGAGGCAGGCAGATCACAAGGTCTGGAGTTTGAGACCAGTCTGACCAACATGGTGAAACCCCATGTCTACTAAAAGTACAAAAATTAGCTGGGCATGGTGGTGCACACCTGTAATCCCAGCTACTCAGGAGGCTGAGGCAGGAGAATCGCTTGAACCTGGAAGGTGGAGGTTGCAGTGAACTGAGATTGCATCATTGCATTCCAGCCTGGGTGACAGAGTGAGATACTCAAAAAAATAAAAAATAAATAAATAAAAAATAAATAAATAAAATACTTGCAAACTGAATCCAGTGGCACGTCAAAAAGCTAATCCATTACAATCAAGTATGCTTTATCACTGGGATGCAAGATGGGCTCAACATATGCAAATCAATAAATGTGATTAATCACATAAGCAGAACTAAAGACAGAAAACATATGATTATCTCAATAGATGCAGAAAAGGTTTTTGATAAAATTCAATATCTCTTCATGTTAAAAACTCTCAATAAACTAGGTATTGAAGGAAAATACCTAAAAATAATGAGCCCATCTATAATAAATCCACAGCCAGCATTATACTGAATGGGCCACATCTGGAAACATTCCCCTTGGAAACCAGAAAGAGACAAGGATACCCTCTCTCAACACTCTTATTTGACATAGTATTGGAAATCTTGGCCAGAGCAATCAGGCAAGAGAAAGAAATAAATCGCATCCAGATAGGAAGAGAGGAAGTCAAACTATCCCTCTTTGCAGACGATATGATTCTATATCTAGAGAACCCCATAGTCTTGGCCCAAGTGCTCTTTCTGCTGATAAGCAACTTCAGGAAAGTTTCAGGATACAAAAATCAATGTACAAAAATCACTAGCATTACTATACACAAACGAGAGTCGAGCTGAGAACCAAATCAGAAACGCAACCCTATTCACAATTGCCATAAAAAGAATAAAATATTTAGGATTACAGCTAACCAGGAAGGTGAAAGATCTCTACAAGGAGAGTTACAAAACATTGTTCAAAGAAATCAGAGATGACACAAACAAATGGATAAACATCCTATGCTTATGGGTGGGAAGAATCAATATAATAAAAATAGCCATACTGCCCAAAACAATTTACAGATTCAATGCAATTCCTATCAAACTAACAATGACATTCTTCACAGAACTAGAAAAAACTATTTTAAAATTTATACAGAACCAAAAGAGAGTCCAAATAGCCAAGGTAATCCTAAGCAAAAAGAACAAAGCTAGAAGTATCAGACTACCCCATCTTAAACCATACTACAGGGCTACAGTAACCAAAACACAATGACACTGGTACAAAAACAGATACATAGATCAATGGAACAGAATAGAGAATCCAAAAGCAAGGCCACACCTACCACCATATGATGTTCAACAAAGCTGAGCAAACAAGCAATGGGAAAAGGACTCCTTATTTAATAAATGGTGCTGGGATAACTGGTTAGCCATAGACAGATGATTGAAACCAGACCCCTTCCTTACACCATATACAAAAAATCAATTCAAGACAGATTAAAGACTTAAATGTAAAACCCAAATCTACAAAAACCCTGGAAGATAACCTAGGCAATACCACTCTGGACATAGAAACTGGTAGAGATTTCATGATGAAGACACCAAAAGTACATGTACCCCTGAATCTAAAATAAAAGTTTAAAAATCATTTTATTGAAGAGGAAAATTGTCACAGACTGGTTGATTATATCAAATAAACATATAAACAGAATTATTTAAAATAGAGTATAAGCCAAGAGATATGCTGTTTCTACTAGCTTAAGATACATTGGAATTAATTATGTATGCAGTGTCACATTTTTTCATCTTAACTGACTTATCATTAGCAAATATCTAATATAAGCCTCCATGTACCAGAGACTGCCTCTCTTCCAAGTATAACTGTAAAGAAACTGAAAACAAAGAGTAACCTTTCTGTTAATAATAGACTCCTCTCTAGGACTCTATTACTACCAACCAAGTTGTGTTGGTTGGTAGGAATTTAAATTAGTACAGCTATTATGAAAAACATTATGGAGATTCCTATAAAAATTAAAAATAGAACTACCATATTATCTGATAATGCCCCTATTGGATCTATATCCAAAGGAAGTGAAATTAGTATGTTGAAGAGATATCTGCACTCCCATGTTTATTGAAGCACTATTCACAATAGCCATGATAAGGAAGCAACCTTATGGATATGGATAAAGAAAGTGGGATATATATATATATCACATTTTATGTGTGATATATATATGTCACGTACACACACACATACACACACAATGGAATACTATTTGGTCATAAAAATAAAATAAGAAAATCCTGCCATTTGTGACAACATGAGTGAATCTGGAGGATATTATGTTAAGTGAAATAAGCTAGACACAAAGGACAAATGCTGTATGATCTAACTCATATGTGGAATCTAAAAAACTTCATGTCAAGAAAACAGTAGAATGCTGGGCATTAGAGCTTATGGGTGGGACGTAAGAAGGCATGTTGAGATGTTGGTTAAAGAACACACATGTACAGTTTGGAGGGGAGTAAGTTCAAGAGATCTATTTTACAGCGTAGCAATTACAGTTAATGGCAAATATTATATTCTTGAAAAGATGCTAGAAGAGTGGATGTTAAGTGTTCTCACCACAAAAATAAAAACTAAGAAAAGTAACGCATTTGTTAGTTATCTAGATTTAACCATTCCACAATGTATTTATACAGTAAGTCCTCATTTAACACAGTCAATACATTTTTGGAAACTGCGACTTCAAGTGAAACAACATACAGCACATCTTTTAATAACATCGTTTTTTTCAACATCATATCATTATAATGTCAATGAGAAAAAAATGCTGTTTTTATGCATCATTTTCCAGGACCTATTTGTGATGTATGAGGACTTACTCTACTACAAGACATGTTGTTCATTATAAATACATACGATTTTGTATGTCAATTTTAAAAATAAATATGTACATTGAAAAAAATCAAAGTTGGATTTGTTAACTTCATTCGGGCCCAAAGTTTGTTCATCCATTAATACCAACTCATCTCCAATTTTTGGTATATAAACATCTTTTATTTACCCATAAAGTGTATTCCTCTACTTGAATTCTTACAGCCATTACAATGGGCAATACAGATATTATCACCAATCACGTGGATTCATATGTTTTTCTACAGTTTTTTTTTTTCACATGCTAGTCTTACTGCTTCAGTAACTCAGGGACAGAATTTTTCAGTTCTCTTAGCACTCAGGTTAGTACAGTCAAAAAATGTTTTCTACACACCAACATTTTGATCCTCACAACACTAGGTATTATTTTTGTCTCTATTTTACAGGCAAGAAAACAGAATTGGATTAAAACCAAGACTAGCAAGAGTCAAGGACTTAGCAAACAAATACATCCAATTAGTGAAAGAAGCAAGACAGAGCCTTGTTTTCCCTTTTCCTTAAACAGAGACATACATAATTTTAAATATGGAAGGACTTTTTAAGTTATTTTGTCTGCTCCTTCACTTTTAAAATGAGATAAATGAATCATGTGATCATGATAAGCACCTTCACTGTTTTTTACATCATCTTTATAATATGCAACTATTGTAATAATGCAAATATTATCCCATATTATGGTGGATGCTGTTTAGGTATTGCACAGAGATCCCATCCCAGAGGCAATGCTTCTGTCCCCCAGATGTTGTGAGAATTAGCTACTGTGCCCACATCTGCCCCCTCTCAAGAGAATTGCCTTTGGCAGAGGAGAACCACCTTGTCATCTCCCCACTGTTACTAATGACTGACTGTTCATAGGTTTAAAAAGGCTGTCTGCAGCACTGCCTCTATTAATCAGGGAAGACTAGATTTTACCTGAGAACACATTCTTCTTTAGCTCTTTGTCCTCCCCTGACCTGCTTCACTCTTTTCCTTTCTGCTGCAATGTACTTCCTCAATAAATCAGAGCCAATGTAATTTGTGTCTCAGTGTATTTCTTGCAAACCTGACCTAAGATCGTGTGATCTTATATGGGTGTGTGCATGTGTGTTTGTGTGTGTGTAATAAATAATACACTGAATGGTGAAACACATAAATAATTTATAATTCTGATATTTCACTCATATAATTAGGCATTGAGTGACAAAAAGTAATCAGGATATTAACCAAAGGGACTGAGGAAGCAAGAGAAAAATGCAAATAAATTGACACACAGACTATACCTTTCTTGGAAATTAATAAGTCACTAAATTAAACCATTATATTAAAGGATAATTCAACAAAACAACAACTGATTTATAAATCTACTATTTATTAATGAGAGCAGAGTAAAATTAATTCTAATTCTAAAATGCACCTGAGTCTGTGCTCCTTAATTTATTGGTGAGGATACAGAAAATGAGAGATGCTCAATCATTTTGTTAAAGTCACCCTGACAGGCTTTGATAGAACTGCACCTTAAACACTTGAATTTCTGGTTAAACTATGATTGTTTCCTAAATACCTAAAACAAGAAAGACTTCTTATAAAGACTCCTGAATTGGCAGTTCAATCAAACAAAATGCATTCGTGGAAGACTTTTATGTACTCAGGAAATACCAGGCTTTGGAAGGGATAATAATACAAATGTTAATAATTCCATTTATTGAGTGTCACATGCCAAGCATCGCACTAATAGTTTAATTATGTATTCAGTACATTTTTATACACAAATTATGCTTTTCAGTCATTAAAACCAACGTATGATATGAAAATTCACATTTCAGAGAAGAGAAAACTGAAGCTCAGAAAGGATTTCTCAGACCTGGCAATTTCCAAAGACTGTAATCAGTAAACTATAGGTAGTTGGTAATAATGGGGAAGTAAAAGTCATAAAAAGCTGGGTCAAGAGTTCAGCTGTAAGGCAGGGATCCCAGTTGCCCTTGTAATAACTAGTCAGTTTTGGGTGGTCAGTGTAGAAATCCCAGGAAGGCAGCATTCAGATGTTGTTGTATCTAAGATGAGAGAAGGGCTGACTAGGAAGAGATGGAAGCTGTGCTTTATTTATTCATATTATAGACAATCTGGTTACACTGTACTAGTCAAAGCATAGGAATAGAAGAATAATTTTAAAGAGTAAGAAAAGGAGCATTCCTAAAACAAAATGTAATGATTAATAGCAACAGTCGCTAAGAGACTCATTGATAAGTTTCAATAGAATAGTGGGAATAGATTAAAATGTATATACAGGAACAAACTATTTGCTCTTTTAAGATGGAACTTAGATATCCAAATAAGAGCTGGAAGACACTCACTGCTAAAATTGGGAGACATGGATCATGAAGGGCCAGCAATGACCTTGGGACACGTAAATACAGAAAAGACAACCTAATCATGGGAAATGAGAGAACAAAGGTGACTAGAAACAGCCATTTTGGACACTTAAGGTCAGATTGAAGTCAGTCTGTCAGTCCAACGTGTGTATGGTATTTTGTGACCCAAAAAGACCACATATACTTATTTAGCTTAATAATAAATGTACCAATATTTGACAAGCAAAATGCCTTCTACATCATGGTGCATCTAGTGGTCATTTAGTCATAACTCAGTAAAAAGTTAGAGAAAAACTATCAAGTTTGAATAATGAGGCAAAAATATTTTTCCTTTTTATACTGTTTTGTGTCTACTTATGGTAATTTCTCACAGAACTGCCTATAGCTTAGTAAGTCAAACCATGTCCTAAAACTCAAGTGCAATCCCACAGCTTACAAATATTAGGGGTAGGTTTGTCTAGATACAGAAGAAAAGTGCATAAAGTGGGAGAGAATTAACACTGGAAATACTTACTACATGGCAGGCAGCTTACATATATTATGTATCACAATTAAATACAATTAATATTATTCCCATTTATGATAAATATGAAAATTTACAATCAGAATAATAATTTCCTAATAAAGTAGGTGCTGTGGCTCATGCCTGTAAGTCCAGAACTTTGGGAGGCCAAGACAGGAGGATTGCTTGAAGCCAGAAATTCGACACTAGCTGGGCAACATAGCAAGACTCTGTCTCTACAAAAAAATTTAAAAAATTAGCTGTGTATAGTAGTGCACACCATGGTCTCAGCTCCTTGGGAAGCTGAAATAGGAGATCCCTTGAGCCCAGAAATTCAAGGCTACAATGAGTTCTGATCTAACCACTGCACTCCAGTTTGGATGATAGAGTGAGATCCTGCTTCAAATAAAATAAAATATGATATAAAATAAAATAATAAAATATAAAAATTTCCCAATACACATTGGTATAGAAATTTAGCCCATTTCCATTAAAACAGAAATATCAAGCTTTTAACAACATTCTACACCACTAAGTAGAGAAGAGAATGGGCTGTGGATGCTTCTGGGTCTGGTCCTTCCCCACAAAATACATTTTGCCACAGAAAGAGGATTGTGTAGAAGGTTGTTCCATGGTGATTTTTTCCACATAGCTGATTTGGTTTATTGAGAGCTTCCACTTCACATGTTCATAAAGTAAACAGATTCTAGGAGTTACTTGGAGACATGGCAGCAAATGGTTAACCATTTTTTAATGGTAAAATCTGACCTGAGTTTCTGAGTTCTCAACTCTCTTATAACAGACATTTAGAAGTATCCAATTCTTGAACTCAAAATTAACTATAATTTTAAAATGTGCCTATTGTGTAGACATTGATCTGTGATTATACATTTTGTCACATTGATCAATAAAGCTAAATATAAAAATGAAAATGAACAGAAACTATTGAATTATGCACCACAAGGTGCAATCTATATGCCAATATGAGCATGCAGAAATGTCTGCGTGCTATGTATATGCTACTTGTGATTTATTAATTTATACTTCTTTATTTATATAAACTCAATATTTAAGATTATTGTATTTTAGAATCAGAGGAAATCTGAAATTGTTAGTCCACCCCACTTCATTATTGTGCTATGGAAACAAGCCTGGAATGATTGACATCTTCCATAGATGAACAGAACCAAATAATGATAATTTAGCTTGGAGATCAATATTATCTTTAATTTTATACAACCAGAAAATACAAGTAAATACAGCACATCTTTGAATATAGAAATACCAATGAGTTATGGTGTGTTTGGCCATTGAGTTCTGAAAGTCACTGTGGCCTTGTATTTACAAACATTAAAGATAAAATTATTATCCAAAACAGTAATGTCCAATAGATTATTAATAAACATTTTAGATAGCTGTAAAAAACATTGTGTTCTCTAGAGTTCATAAAAATTATGAGCTTAATTTCAATCCAACAGAAATAATTCTGAAAACTCTAATGTTGTGATGCTAATAATTGGGCTAAGAATTTTCAAACTATTGACTGGCAAAAACATGGATAAATTGTAATATATGAACTTCAAAGAATAAATGCACAATTACAAAACTTGATATAGCAATTTATTTTTAAAAGCCATTTGAGGAATCACCAAATAATTTCAAAATCATGACTAGAAAACCAGCAATGAAATTTGAGACTACTGGTATGACAAATCCTGTTTCAGGCCTTGTTGATCTAGAGTTACTTGCACAACCAGAATTTGCCAAAACAGGAAATAGGTGTTTCATATATACGGCTCTAACCTTCTCTCTCTGCACCTTCCTTCTGTCAATAGATGAAACAAATACTTCATCCTGCTCTGGAAACCACTGGTAAGTGATAACTCCTTTATTTCAAGGTGAACATTATTTATTTCAAGGTGAACAACACATTTATACCTTATCAATGATAAAGTGATATATTCGTATATTTTATCTACAATTTTCCAAAGTTTATTGATAACTTTTAATGAGAGTAATTATCTTAATATATTCATTTTAAGCTGAGAAGCTAATACATAGACAGCTTTATTATTCCAAAAGCACTTTTATCCAGTTTGAAATTTAAATAAATTTTTACCTTTCATTCTAAAGTAATATAACTAATTCCCATGTCTATGACTTGTGGAAACAATTGTACTAGAACTATTTTTAATAGAAAAATGAAAAACTATGAATATATGTGTGTGCATACTTTCACATCAGTAACTTTTACTAATATTAAAACATACAGCTATATGGGATGCCATAGCAAAAGTTTTAAATTGGTCAAAACAAAATTATAGCACTGATCTCAAGATTAAAAAGTATTTTATTAAAGACCATCAACATAAAATGCAATTTACCTCATGAAATGCACTCAGATCAAAAACAAAAAAAAAAGGCTTTTAGAAGTTTTTCAGTCAAAAGTCAGTCTACTCAGTCATGTTTATGTAGGTAATTTAAATATAATATCTATCGTGCATATTTCATCTAAGGAAGCAATTTCCACATACGGCTTTATCTTCCGTAGCATATTAGAAGTGATTCTGAAGAGTCAGATAGTAGGAGACCACAGAACTACCTAATGACAACATGAAAGGGGTTATTTACCACTAGACAGAAGATTTTAAAGTAAAATGCTTTTCTTCCCTGTGGCTAAATGCTATCCAGGAAACTCTGGGAGTATTTGCAATAGCCATAGAAGATCCGGTGTTGCCTCTTCTGCTAGTTAAAACCAAATCTAGAATGTCTGCCTGTATGACTAAGACCTCTGAAAGTGGATCAAAAGAAATTAAATTGATGACAAGTTTCAAGCCTGGGAGTTACCCTACATTGATAAGTTATGAGGTAAATTGGGGCTTCTGATTTGTAACAGGCAGGGATGAATTGGGAGGAAGAGTGTCAGAATTCTCAAGTAATGTAAATCTGATAATTGCTATGAATTTCAGTTACGTTATTTATTGAATTCAAGTAAAAGGGAGGGAATTCATCCTTGAAAAAAAAGTGCTTCTCAAGAAATGCAAGACAGCTATTCTTATTTGGATATCTTTACGAATTTCTTACTTGATGAAGTCTAGCAGTTTTGCAAACTTTGCATATTGGCATAGGCTGCTTTCTGTATCACAGATACATAATAAGATGAAAGAAAGTGATCAGAATAAAGATTAACTATTAAATTTTAAGTAAGAAAATATTGCATCAAATACTTTTCTGTGCTGTGACTAGTTTATAAATGTGTCTATACCTATAGTGCACACATTATACTCACATGTGTTAATGCTTTTGACATCTTTTCTAATCCACGTAATCCTTTAAAATATTTCTATAGTCTGTTCTTCCTCCTTTGCTTTTTAATGTTACGATGTTTGGTCTGTCTCTTAAGTTTTGTATTTTCCTCCACCAGTTGATTTATCTGTTCCTACAATAATATTAAATTTTTGTCAACAAATGTTTGAAGTCTATCTTAATAACTAATATGAAAAGATAACCCAATTAATTCTTTCTTTTTTTTCTTTTTCTTTTCTTCTTCCTTTTTTTTTTTTTTTTTTTTGAGATGGAGTCTTGCTCTGTCGCCCAGGCTGGAGTGCAGTGGCACACTCTCGGCTCGCTGCAACCTCCACCTCCTAGTTTCAAGCAATTCTCCTGCCTCAGCCTCCCCAGTAGCTGGGATTACAGACATGCACCACCATGCCCGGCTAACTTTTGTAGTTTTAGTAGAGACGAGGTTTCACCATGTTACGCAGGGTGGTCTCAAACTCCTGAGCTCAGGCAACCCACCCTCCTTGGCCTCCCAAAGTGCTAGGATTACAGGCATGAGCCACTGCGCCCAAGCAATTCTTCTTTTAAAAGTTTACTCAGTTATTCATAAGCCACTTAAAATTTGTATTGGAATTAAAGTAAACAATTATCAGGTTAGTTTAGGATTGATATCTTTATGCTAACATGTACCATTTAAAAGCATTACAAAACTCTCAATTTATTCAGAACTTCTGCTATGTTCTTTATTAAAGTTTTAAGATTTTTTCCAAAAAGGATTTTTAAATTTGTTTTGTTGTTTCCCAGATACTGTATAGTTTTTTTAACTGTTATAAGTGTTTCTTAAATCTTATATTCTAGTTGAGTGTTTCCAGTAATAGAAATGGTATTTTTGTAAGTTGATAGTGCATCTAGCAAAATTGTTAATTTTGGTGTGTTCTCCAGATAGATGATCTTATCATTTGAAAACAATAACAATTTTACGTCTTCTCTTACAAAAGTTACAAATATTTTATATATAATAATATATTTTATATTATTATATATAACATAAAATGTATACATTACATTACTTGTATATATTATATATATATATATGTATATACTTTCTTTTCTTATGGCTTTGATTAGGATCTCTCCAGTACTGTGTTAAATAAAAGTGTTAGTCATTCTTTTCTTGTTCCCAATATTAAATGAAATGCACCTAGAATTTCTCCAATAACCATTATATTGGGTATAGATTTGCAGTATATGCTTCCTACCAAAGTAATGATCTCTTCTATTTTTTCTTTAAAAAAAAAAAAAAAAAAAAAAACTACATACAGGGGTTGAATTTAATGACGTATTTTTTGTCATATTACTTTGCTTTAGTCTGTTAATGTGATGAATTTTACCAATGAATTTTCTAATTTTGAATTATTCTTGCAGTCCTCATATAATTTTACTTGGTCATGATATTTTTAATATATTTTTGAAATTGATGAGTTAATATTTTGTTAGGATTCTTGCAATTCATTTATGAAGTGGGCTTATGTATTATTTACTATTATTCTTACGTCTTTTATGAGTCAATCCCGGAATTATATCCACTCCTCAGATTACATTTCAGGAAAAAACAGCATTGGGAGGAAGTAGTCAAGCTAATTTGAACCATACAACACTAGGGAGTAAGAAGGCGTGAGTATAAGAGCACTGGAGAGTGCTATCACACATGACCTTATTATCATTGGTTCTTCACACAGGATGGTACTTTCGTTTTTTGTTTTTTTTTTTTTGGTGGTTTTTTTTTGTTTGTTTTTTTTGTTTGTTTGTTTTTTGTTTTTTGTTTTTTTTGAGACGGAGTCTCGCTCTGTCGCCCAGGGCAGTGGCGCGATCTCGGCTCACTGCAAGCTCTGCCTCCCGAGTTCACGCCATTCTCCTGCCTCAGCCTCCCGAGTAGCTGGGACTACAGGCTCTCGCCACCATGCCCGGCTAATTTTTTGTATTTTTAGTAGAGATGGGGTTTCACCGTGCTAGCCAGGATGGTCTCGATCTCTTGACCTCGTGATCTGCTCACCTCGGCCTCCCAAAGTCCTGGGATTACAGGCATTAGCCACCGCATCC
Organism: Homo sapiens; assembly: GCF_000001405.40. NCBI lineage: Eukaryota > Metazoa > Chordata > Mammalia > Primates > Hominidae > Homo > Homo sapiens. The sequence continues at coordinate 49,740,823 of NC_000006.12, read as the reverse complement.
AGCCCCACACAGGATGGGTCTTACAGTTCTTCGATGCTACTTTGCTGACACATAGCACTAGAGCAAGCGTTTTTCTGTTGTTGCAGAATTTTGCAAATAAAGAGGAATCGATTGTTTTGAGGCAAGAGTAGAAACTAACAGGCATTACTTTAGACCAACCACTGCTGTTGGATGCAGCACTCCCCTCTCCTTCACATTCACTATACACAACACACACACACACACACACACACACACACACACACACATCCATATACACATTCTAGAAGTCATGAGAGACTTTATTCTCCTCAGATTTTCTCACTATCTTTTCAGTATTTTCTTGGAATCCCTGTTTCCCTCTTGCTTCTATAATTTTTTCAGAGTTAATTTTGGGGTGGCAGCAAGAAGCTTGCTTATTTTGATATTGTGCCTGAAATAAAAGCCAAAGGCTTGCTTTATAAATAGACCATTTGATTAATTCTTCTCTTAGCACTAAGCAAATTTGTCCTACTTCCTAATTTGCAAATCCTTATTTCCACAAAATGGACTGTTAAAGCCAGATATGCCTATAGAAGTTTTTGTAGATATATGTTGTCAGTCAATATGCAGTGATATCAGGTCATTTGATAAAATGATTTCCTTTTCCAAGGGAGTGTTTCAAACATACCAGTGGTCCTAACATCAGTGTGAAGAAGGCACAGTATGTTACAGTTTAATTGTATTATATACATTTATGCTTCAGAAAGACACAATTTGCTCTGCTGTAGATCTGGAATTAGTAGCAAACCATCACTATTTGAAATCATAAATCTTTGAAATCCAGGGACTTGGTTTTTCTCTAATCACACTTGAGATAAATTATTAATTTCTTTGAAAAAGGAAAACCAGAACAGAACAGAAAACCATATAAAAGGTAGGACTCAGTGACTTACACATAGCAAAATAACTCTTTCAAGTGAAATGAATTAAGAGAAATCTACTGCTTATTTCCAAGGAATAGTAGAAAATAATGTATAACTAATACACTTAGAAATTGCTTCATGGAAGTGAATGACAGGAGAGGCTATTTTTTTTTCATTCTTTCTAGTACCTTCTATGTGACGCTACTACTAAATGGAATTGCAAACAAATCATTTTCCACTTGCACCTGCTATTTACAGTAGTCCCTTGGGAGGAGAGGTGGGGATGGAGTGAAATATTACAGCGACTCTCTGTCACCATTATTGGTCTTAAAGCTGATGTTACATCTTTATCATATTTATCTCATTCAAGTTGTTTACTCCCTGAGCCCTGAATTGTGCTAGATTCTTCCCCATCTCTCTCCATAAAGCATTGGAATGGATCACTGTAAAAGGAAATAAAATTTTACTCTCCTCTTTTGCACACATGAGAAAATTCAACCAGCTCCCCCTCTGGGTACTTGAATGATGAGCTCCCGTAATTATATACCAGGACTCTGAGGGCAAGAACCAAGTCTTGTTCACTTGATCATGTGCAGCAATATTATAACATGTTATCCTGAATAGAGTGTACAAAACTTGATAAATGTCTCCTAAAGGAAAGAAGAATACCTAATTGTCTTTGACTTACAAATGAAAATAAGAATCTGTTTTTCCTCTTTTGCTCTCAAATTCTGCAGGAGACGCACTAGAGGGCCCATCTCTAAATACAGCACACTAGGAGTTAGGGCATCAACATATTGATTTAGAAGTGGAAGCAGGGCCAGGTTAAGTTATTTCTGAGTGAGTTTCAAGGTCTATAACACTAGTAGTTTGAAATCTTCTGGAGCTCCAGATCTGCATTCTGGCAACATCATTTTTCGTGGATTCTTTTTTTTTTTCAGACTTCAAGTGTATTTATTAATGCATTGGACAAAATAAAACCACACTTGTTATCAAAAGTATATCTCCCCTGCTCCCATTTTCTTGTTCTTCCATTGGAAATATCTTTGAAAAAGTGATACAAATGGATACCAGCAAAGTCCCATATTTGCGGGGTGATTGTGGGGCGATGCTGGGACGAGATGGTTTGTGACATTGACTTTAATAGCATGAAAATGGGTTTTGCAAGTGTATATCAGGCTGCATCCCAATACTTAGATTCACAGTGGGCGGGGTGGTGGGGTGCAGAGGTGCTGGTTAGGAGAAGGAAAGCTGAATTTAGTGCTGGGAACCAGTCTGGGGTGGAAAGCTCTTCCTCTGGGAGTTCTGTGGGGATTTGGTGTTAGCTAAGTTCATAGTCTAAGGGAGACCCAGTCCCAGCCCCCAGAGCTGAGGTTCAGGAGGAACCAGTGAATAACTAAGAAGGAAGAGCTTTTGTAGGATGAGTCACTACTTCTATTAACGTTCAGTCCAAATCAGAAGGCTAAGGATCTACCATATACTATTTGTTCTGCTTTCTTGTTTTTAAACTTAACACTGAAGCATAAGCTTCTTCTCTGAGGTTACAAAACAACCATAAATGTATAGTGGTTTTTATGTCTAATATACTGCCATAAGAGGATGTATTCTCATTTACTTAGACATTATATCTCCCTATTGCTAGGCATGTAATTAATTTACAATGTTTTAACCCTTATAAATGATAACATGATGAAAATTTTATGCTTAAAACTTTTTAGTATAGTTTATAATTTCAGTAGAATTCTAAGAAGTTGAATTAGTGAGATAAAGAATGTGAACATATTAAGGATATTAATACAGATAGGGTGAGTAATCCCTTAAACATGAGAATCAAATTATTACCTTTTTGTTTTAAGATCCAGAGGAAAAAAATGTTGCCTTTTTAAATTTGAGGCATGGTATTAAAGAAAGTTTTGAGAGGAAAGGAGTTAGGATGCTGGCTGCATGGGTAAACTTGAAGAGAGTAGTTTAAAGGTATGCATAAAAAGCATATACGTAGAGGACTTTCTAGGGTTTGAAGAATGGCAAGTATATGAGCCAGATCCCTGACGGAAAAGAACTGGCACATGCTAACTTTTAATTTGAAGAAATGTTAATAAGGTTATATTTATAAAAGTGTAGACAGCACTTAAGGAAATCAGCAAGGGCTAATGCAGTAGTATCCCAGTAATAAACACAGTTGGAAGCTACTGAATTGTTATTGTGAAGAATCCACTCCTACAACCTAAAGACAGTAGTTACACAGAGAAGACTGCGGAGCTGCGGAAGAAGGAGGTAGAAAGTCCTTAGCATTTATAGGCATGCTTCAAGGGCTTCAGTCGGGAATTTTGGTTTGTTCTTTATAGTCCCAGTTGAATGCATACTTTGAAAGCTGAATCCACTGTCATTCTGCTGGCTCCATGTGACAAGTCTTCTCCTGTTACATTAATAATGAATTTGGGATAATGGAGGTCATTACGTTTCTCCCACCCCCATGTTACTCAACAGCATGTACCAATCATTTTAATGCAGATCCCTGTTCCACCGGTTTTGTTTTCCCAGCAATGACATTATTCCCAGTGCTGTTGTTCCTGGTTGCTGGGCTGCTTCCATCTTTTCCAGCAAATGAAGATAAGGTATGGTTGAAGTCAAAAATCTTCAGAAAAATTCAGGCAACCATGAGGGATGGCAAGCTACTAGATCAATCTTCAAAAGTGAAAAGGTCTAGAGTGTCTGGTACATCATAAAGTACTCATTAGTAGCTCAAGGTAGTTAACATAATTATGTTTAAAGCTGTGGTGATCAATATGGTAGCCCCTAGCCACATGAGGGTATTGAAGTTCATTAATTAAATGACTTTGCTCCACCCCGCAAATTGCCTTGGAGATTTTTTTTAATGTGGTAAAACTATCTTTTGAGTGATCCCATAATATTTGCTACGTAATACATAAAACTCTTTTACTAGAGTATTGCATGTTACACATGCACTTAGGCTGAGCCTAAGCATTTTTTCTAAATACCAGACACCATTTCAGGCAGAAATTCCCCCTAGAGTCTTAGGGTAAATCATATGCCTCAATCTTTACAACTTCTTTGCTGCAGCCTGAGTGTGAATGTCTTAATAATTACTATCATGTACCCTTGTCACTATAAGATGTTATCACTCATATATTTAGAAAAATCACATTAAGACCTCTCTTAACCCAGAAATTGGTATTTGTGGCCTCAGAGGAGATTTTAGTTTGTCATGCCATGAATTATATCCCCATTCTGAAAACTTTCATCTAATACTTTTCCATTAAAAAGTCATAGCTTTGGCAGTCATTGACAATGTTTACCTAGCATTGGCAACACTTTTTAAAAATGGTCTTTGTTCCCTTGAACTAACATAGTTACTATTATGTGCAATTTCCAACAATGTTAAAAGATAATTGTAATTTTATTTTCCCTTAGGATCCCGCTTTTACTGCTTTGTTAACCACCCAAACACAAGTGCAAAGGGAGATTGTGAATAAGCACAATGAACTGAGGAGAGCAGTATCTCCCCCTGCCAGAAACATGCTGAAGATGGTAAGAGGTGATATTGCAAAGGAGAGGGGTGTGAACAAGCTGTGGAAGGAGTAGGCGGCTGGCAACTAATATCTCTTAATAACTTTGAAGTTTACAAAGTTCTCTCTGTATTTTTTTGTTTCATTTGAGCTGTGTAATGGGCAGAGCTGAATTTCTTAACTTCTCTTTATAATGGTTGCATAACGTCAAATTCATAGGGCTATTTAAATTATGGAGGCAGAATTAAAACCTAATCTTTGGACATACGGTGAAAAGCCATTATGTTTTTCTGCTCCTTATCTTATCTGTCCTAATCTGAGATCAGAAAGACCTTTTCCTTTTAAGATAAATGCCATGTAGGGTAAATAACAATCTACTTTTCTGGGCCCTGTACCAAAGGCCACATGTCTCCCGAACATATTCAGTGAGGGGGAAAAAAAGAAAAAAAGAACTGGAAATGAAGTAAGCCAGCTAATTACTTCATTGTTGGAAAAGCAATCTCAGCACCTCCACATGTTTATCAATATTTAGAACAGGACCATTACAAAAAATCTTTAGGTGTTTCTGATGTCCTGTGATAAATAATTGGACCATAAACCTAGATTTTTTGATTACTTAGGGTAGGCATATTACCTATATTTCTTTGTGGAGCAGATAAAAGCACATAAAAAATATATACATTTGATTACTATAAAAATCAGAAGATGCTTGTACAGAAATTTTATGATGATGTAAATCAACCTATAACCTGATTATAAAGCTTATGCTCCTTTGAGGTTTGAGACATTAAGTGGATATCTTTTTTCTGTCCTTGTTTCAGGAATGGAACAAAGAGGCTGCAGCAAATGCCCAAAAGTGGGCAAACCAGTGCAATTACAGACACAGTAACCCAAAGGATCGAATGACAAGTATGTAAATTAGGAAATATTTGTTGAATAAATCAACAAGTAAAATAATAAACCATGTTATGATGTTGCATTAAGAAAAGTTTGTAAATAAATATTGCTTCTAATGCTACCTTTTTCAATATGGACTATCTACATGTAGAGATAACTCTGAGAAGCACCATCTGTGCTTACTGTTTTAAATAAATTTTACAAAAACCGTCTCACACAGTATCATATTTTTACCTCTCAATCAGCTCAGGAGTAAAGCAGGTTACAGATCATCTCTTTCCCAATTACAGAGATTAGAAAATCAACAGCCTGGAAGAAAATGATGATTGGCAATTAATGTCATATATAGGAAATTTGGAATTAGAATTTCTGGCTTCTAAATCAGTACCCTTTTTAGTGACAATATGCAGCCTATTTGTGTTTTGAAACCTACTTAATTTTTTTTCTATAAAATATTTTAAATTTTGTCAAACTGTTCCTGAATTTTATGAAAAACGTATTTAACATTAGCATTAACTTTTATTATTTTCTTTTGAATTTTTGATGACAGTAAGCCATGTCTTTTATATTTTCTGGATGTTTACAATGCATACTATATTAAACTAAAAAAATGACCTGCAAGACATAACCTATACATCAATAAATATAAAAACAATTAGATAAAATATCATATGGATGAGCTATCAGATAAAATACTTATTAAATTATCAAAAATAACATAGGTAAAGGCAAACCAAATTTACAAGTGGTAAATAACTGGCTTGTTTTGAAAATAGGACAGCCACTGTTATCTATATTTTTGATATAAAACTATAATAAATTTATGAAAGGGGGTAACTATGGTCACGAGAAGATTGAAAGAAATGGTCTTGAAAATCCCAATCTATTGTTAAAATCTTAGCTTCTTTCTTTCCCTCTCAAAGGAGCTATACAAAGGTAGTTTATACTCTCTTTAAGTAGCATGTAGACATTCCTTGTTAAGCCATCCAAATATAAATATTAATTTTAGGGCTTGAAAAAGTGTTGAAGTATTTCTGGGCTGCAAGGCACTTTTTTCCTTATTTTTTGACCAGAGTGTGGCCTGTGATGTTCTGATTTGCTAAGAGGAGGCCTGTAACCTGTGAAAATATTGTCTTTTATGGTGTCATTTGCTTCATGTTTAGGGCTCTTAAAGACTGAGCATAAGACTTTTTAAAAAATTCACACAAAATAATAATTCTAACCACTTATTCAGATTCCTATATATGAAAATCTCTGGTGAGTATGGGCTAGAGCAGGAGAGGAATTACTAAGTTGATCTCTGTCTTCAGCAAGCTCACATTACAAAGCTGAAAGCTCATAAGGCACACACATGTGAAGAATTCAATGTGTAAATAAATGAATCCAGGGAGAGCAGACATTAAAGAAAAAAGGCTTCTCCATCTACTCAAAGTTTTGCATGTTGAGACCAGCCTCAAGTATTGGGCAAATCTGGCTTCTATTCAGCTTATAGCTGATAAGGATCTGAGGCACCCTCCTTATGTATTAGTCAATATTCATTAACGGTGGGTACTGGGGACTGTATTTAAAAAACAGGGATTCTGCTGTGTGTAGTGTGTGTGTGTTTGTGTGTATTTTGCCATTGCATGCTTTATTGCTTTCCTCATGAGTGGTCTGTTCCTTCTTAGGTCTAAAATGTGGTGAGAATCTCTACATGTCAAGTGCCTCCAGCTCATGGTCACAAGCAATCCAAAGCTGGTTTGATGAGTACAATGATTTTGACTTTGGTGTAGGGCCAAAGACTCCCAACGCAGTGGTTGGACATTATACACAGGTAAGGAGAAGAAATGAAAAACCATCTCCTTTATAAGTGCCCTAAAAAAAAAGGATTCTTCAAATTTTGACTGATTCCAAGTTGAATTTGGGGAAAATTTCAAGTGAATATAGAATAGTCTGGCATTTGGTGAGTATTTCAGCTGTGAACTGTCATTTTTCAGTAGACTGCAGGATCATGGTAGGGAAGCATAATCTTTGTCCAACGGTCTCAAAAAGGAATGTACATGGAAATGTAATATTTTAAAGTGTTTTAGTTTGATTCAATAATTTAACTAAATATAGCCATAAGGTATATGAAAACAAAATATGTCGGTAACATTCTTCTCCATTTTGTATTTCCTACTATTTGTTTTTTGGTATTTCCTTCTTCTCTAATGTGCTCTCATATCTTCACTTATTGGTTTATAGGTTGTTTGGTACTCTTCATACCTCGTTGGATGTGGAAATGCCTACTGTCCCAATCAAAAAGTTCTAAAATACTACTATGTTTGCCAATATTGTCCTGCGTAAGTATATATTTTAGCGTTTATTGTCAATAATGCTAAATACAATTTAACATTTAATAAAAAAAAACTAAAAAGCATATTTAAGTAAAGGTGAAGGAGATTAATCTTTAGAAATGTTTTCTAAAGTTGAGACACATTCAACCAACTTCTCAGAAAGATAAAGTTTTCAGTTCCAGTTCCAAGTATTATTGAACAGGGAGCTGTCTTTCCTCATGCCTAAAATAATTTGTCTCCTCTCTCAATTGCCTTTTGCTATGCTCACGGTTACTTCATAAGTACATGTAGTGTGTAGTTATCTAAATATAATTTTATCAGTTCATGCTAAGTTTACACACGAGAAACTGGAAGCTTGATAATTAGTCCAGGGATAAAGTAAGGTAACAAACAAATAAGGAATGACCCATTTTAGCAATATCAGTCCTTTCTGCTCAAATGCTCTTACTCCTGCTTATCAGAAAATTTCACATTATACATTAAGAAATGATTAAATCTTGGACCTCAAAGACTTTTAAGAGATCCCCAATATATTTCAAATAGCCAAGAAAAGATAATGTCTTAAATTTTTGCTTCTTAGAATTTACCACAAAAAAAATTTCATGGAACCTTCCATTAAGATCCTAATTTCTTAATTATCTCGGGTTTTCTGCAGAAAGTCCACTTTTTTTTCTCAAGCAATATAGTTGACCTACTCACGAAAAAAAATCTGTGGATATATTGAAGATATATTCACAACATATCTATTAGCTTTAATTTCCTTTTAATATTTGAAGTTGTTCACCACTAGTGGGAGGGGTTTTCCCCAAACTCAGCTTTCTGCATGGCTTATTTTGAGGCTGTAGATATCCCAGGTGATGTAGGATTCCAGTCTGAGAAATATGACCTGTAAGGTCATTTTTCAGCAAAGAATTATCATTGTTAATACAGAAAATTGAAAGACCCTGGGAGACTGCCTCCAAATGCCTGGTCATTAGAGGAGAGCATCTGGAGTCAGCATCTGAAGTGAGAGTTGGAATTAGTAATGAGAGAAAACAGGGAAAAGAGAACTTCCAGAACACTTTGATATCTATTTCACATTTTCTTAAGTGCTCACACACCAACAGCTATATTCTGTGAAGAAAGGCTGAGATTCAGCTACATAGCCTTGGACCGTTAGCCTACTTAGTGCAATTAAGACTTTGACTTTCTTGTATTTTCAGATGATAATTACCGATAGGAAAATAATCATCAATGATGTACAGGCTAGTCACTGTAAGATGAACACACAGAGGAGATTAGTATTAATTAAATCTTTTTTTCCCTAACATTCCCATTCTTGGCAAACATAAACATCTCATACACACCACCTGTAGACATTCCCAAACCTTTCCAAGCCCAATACCCTTTCACAAACATACAGCAAAAACCATGTGAAAATCACCACTCCACCTAGAAGCCAAAATTTACGCTGAAACTGTACTTACCCTACCTCATATTGTAGAAATTATGGTTTTTTTTTATTTTTAATTATAAGTTACATTTAACATTAAATGTTATTTTTCATATTGCAACCTTCTGTGCTTCAGGAACTTTTCTTATCTCTCTAGGGGATATGTTTTACCCCTTGCCAGCACCTTGTGGTACATCATCTTAGCAATTTGACGAAGTCTGTTGGGAGATGAAGTGTGTTGCCACATTGAAATATACTTTAAAAACTTTAGACTTTAATTATCCTATTTCAGTTTCTCAGGTTGCAAGATTATGGTCAGGAAAGTGAATGAATGTGTGAATTATTCTCTTAATTTGCATTATTGTCTGAATATACTCTGAGATTATATTTTTAATTATTTGACATAATTAAAAACATTTAATAAATACTCATGTATATTTGGTGACTGATACTAACCTTGGAACATAAACGAAACATAAAAATGAAAAATATTTGACATTTTTATTTCAAATTTCAGTGGTAATTGGGCTAATAGACTATATGTCCCTTATGAACAAGGAGCACCTTGTGCCAGTTGCCCAGATAACTGTGACGATGGACTATGCAGTAAGTTTGAAGTGATTAACTTGATAATAAAATAAAATGATCTGACATTTCTTCTAAGAATTGGGAAATCTGAAGACAACCAACTTAAGCAATGCCTTCATGCAAAGGACAAAAAGGAAAAAAAAGTCTGTCTGGCTCTGTCGCCCAGGCTGGAGTGCAGTGGTGCCATCTCGGCTCACTGCAACCTCCGCTTGCAGGGATCAAGTGATTCTTGTGCCTCAGCCTCCTGAGTAGCTGGGACTACAGGCACGTGCCACCACACCTGATTAATTTTTGTACTTTTTGTAGAGACAGGATTTTGCCATGTTGGCCACACTGGTCTCGAACTTCTGGCCATCAAGCGATCTGCCCACCTCAGCCACCCGAAGTGCTGGGATTACAGGTGTGAGCCATCACACCCAGCCTTACAGAGCATTTTTAAGTGAAAATTTTACACTGTTCAGTATCTATGTATCATTTGCAATGTAAAATTTGGCCTGTTATCATATGTAACCTGTTGAAACACTTACCATCCATGTTACATATTGGCATATATGAAAATGTGTCTGTGGAAATAACATTGTAATTAAATAGGAAGTTTATTCTCATCAAAGTTTATATCATTATACAAAATACAGCATTATTTTAAAAAAGGAAAACAAATATACATCTAAGAGTATGAGACCATAGAATATGGCTCAATCCAGACAGGGACTCCAAATACTGCAATTCCTCATATGCTAATGAACTTATCATACTAACTTCCTCATTTTTGCCATAGTGTAGTTACAATCATCAAGTTTAGTATAATAATCACTTGCACTTCTGCTTGCTAATAATTTTGTATACATTTTTAAAGTCAAAATCAAATCTGTATGTAGTATTAGTTTGCAGAAGCCTCAAAAATATTTTAGCAAAAAGGAGTAAATAAATTTATATCTCATACAATTTCATTTTGTGCTTTTATAAATAAAAGTACAAAGAGATGATATTTTTGTTTAACTAGGATATGTTACTAAAATTATTACTGACAATGCAGTTGACCCATTCATTGAGATTTTTACCTTTCAAATGCATTCACCTGACTGAATTGTAACATTTTTTTTCTGACTGAATTGTGTAGCTATAATTCAGAATACTGATAATACCAAAGCTATAAATCAACTAAAGAAGGAAAATCCAAATATTTCCAGCACTGCCAAATGCTGTTTTCTAAGAAGCTTGAAATTTATCTTATTAGTAATAATCAGCCAACTGAAAGATTTTAAACAGAAGAATGATAAGATCTGAACTGTGTTTTCTAAAGAGCTCCCGACAGTAGTAGGAAGAAGCAATTGGATGAAAGTCAGCTAGGAGACTGTTGGAAAAACACACACTCAAAAACAAATGGGTATCTTCACTGCATTAGGGCAAAATGAATGAAAAAATAGACAGGTATGAAAAATAGGAAGAAAATAGAACAGTCGGTTGTTACCTGGTATTGTTGAGTATTGATTACAAAAAAAAACCAAAAAATAGAAACAAGTTCCAGTTGATTCCTGGATCCTGGCTTGAATTGTTTAATAGTTGGGAGTGTCATTTCTCTGAAACTGGGTGAACGAAGTGAACAGTTGTTGGGAAATAATAAGGAAATGTCAAGCTTGTAGATAGGATGATGAATTTAGTTTGAGATTTATTGAGTTTGTGGCCACTGAAGGACATCCAAGTAGAAATGTCCAATAATCATAATGACATTCTCTCCACCTTTTACATTATACATTTACATCTTCCTATAATAATTACCTAGACCTGAGAGAAAGACTGGGGGCATTAGAGTCTAGAACAACTGTGTCCAATATAACTTTCTACAGTGATGAAGATGTTCAATATTCCTATAAAGTAGCCCTTAGACACATGGCTACTGAACACTTGATATAACTGGTGTTGTTGAGGAAAGACCTGAAATTTTAATTTTATTTGATTTTATTTTTATTTAATTTTAATTAATTTAAGTTTAAACAACCGCATGACAAATATCTACCATTTTGGATGTTGCAGTTCTAGAGAAATTCATTTAAATTAATTTTACTCTGCTCACTTGTTGAGTGAGGAAAATATGTCAGTTCATCTTAGAAACATTTCCAAAAGCTCGAATTTAAAAAAGAATCAGCGTGTTTACCTAAGTGACCTTATGTGTCCCTCAAGATATAAAATGGCCATCTTAGTGTAATAATCTCAACTTGTTTGCTCACTTCCCTACTCTCCGTTCATATAGAATGTTTTGTTTGTGTTGCTGTTATGAAAGAAAATGATAATGAAGTGACTAATTTCTTTGTTTTTATTCCAGCCAATGGTTGCAAGTACGAAGATCTCTATAGTAACTGTAAAAGTTTGAAGCTCACATTAACCTGTAAACATCAGTTGGTCAGGGACAGTTGCAAGGCCTCCTGCAATTGTTCAAACAGCATTTATTAAATACGCATTACACACCGAGTAGGGCTATGTAGAGAGGAGTCAGATTATCTACTTAGATTTGGCATCTACTTAGATTTAACATATACTAGCTGAGAAATTGTAGGCATGTTTGATACACATTTGATTTCAAATGTTTTTCTTCTGGATCTGCTTTTTATTTTACAAAAATATTTTTCATACAAATGGTTAAAAAGAAACAAAATCTATAACAACAACTTTGGATTTTTATATATAAACTTTGTGATTTAAATTTACTGAATTTAATTAGGGTGAAAATTTTGAAAGTTGTATTCTCATATGACTAAGTTCACTAAAACCCTGGATTGAAAGTGAAAATTATGTTCCTAGAACAAAATGTACAAAAAGAACAATATAATTTTCACATGAACCCTTGGCTGTAGTTGCCTTTCCTAGCTCCACTCTAAGGCTAAGCATCTTCAAAGACGTTTTCCCATATGCTGTCTTAATTCTTTTCACTCATTCACCCTTCTTCCCAATCATCTGGCTGGCATCCTCACAATTGAGTTGAAGCTGTTCCTCCTAAAACAATCCTGACTTTTATTTTGCCAAAATCAATACAATCCTTTGAATTTTTTATCTGCATAAATTTTACAGTAGAATATGATCAAACCTTCATTTTTAAACCTCTCTTCTCTTTGACAAAACTTCCTTAAAAAAGAATACAAGATAATATAGGTAAATACCCTCCACTCAAGGAGGTAGAACTCAGTCCTCTCCCTTGTGAGTCTTCACTAAAATCAGTGACTCACTTCCAAAGAGTGGAGTATGGAAAGGGAAACATAGTAACTTTACAGGGGAGAAAAATGACAAATGACGTCTTCACCAAGTGATCAAAATTAACGTCACCAGTGATAAGTCATTCAGATTTGTTCTAGATAATCTTTCTAAAAATTCATAATCCCAATCTAATTATGAGCTAAAACATCCAGCAAACTCAAGTTGAAGGACATTCTACAAAATATCCCTGGGGTATTTTAGAGTATTCCTCAAAACTGTAAAAATCATGGAAAATAAGGGAATCCTGAGAAACAATCACAGACCACATGAGACTAAGGAGACATGTGAGCCAAATGCAATGTGCTTCTTGGATCAGATCCTGGAACAGAAAAAGATCAGTAATGAAAAAACTGATGAAGTCTGAATAGAATCTGGAGTATTTTTAACAGTAGTGTTGATTTCTTAATCTTGATAAATATAGCAGGGTAATGTAAGATGATAACGTTAGAGAAACTGAAACTGGGTGAGGGCTATCTAGGAATTCTCTGTACTATCTTACCAAATTTTCGGTAAGTCTAAGAAAGCAATGCAAAATAAAAAGTGTCTTGAAAAAAAATACAAGAATTTTATTTCTTGACTCCATGATGCATCAAAGCTTTTCTTCAGATTATCTAGTTATTCTTTCCTAGACTTTTAACCTTCAGCTCCTTTATCCCAGTGCTATATGTTTGATTTTGTCCTTTCAGATAATATCAATGATCGGGTTGTCATATCAGATCGATATGCTTATCCAGTATCAAACTGCAGTAAAAATTTCAAGGATCTAAGTAATCATGAGGCAAAGGAAAACAGGAAGGTGCAAGACCACCAATGCAGCCCCTAGATGCTATTTTTGGCTGCATCTCTTAATCTCTCAAGCAATAAATTTCCTAATTAGTCTCCATTCAAAACCTTTCAATAGGTTTCAGAAGTAATTAGTATAATATTCACGATCTTAAACTGATCTGCAAGAAGCTGAATAATGTTTTTTATATTTCCCTCTCCAATCTCACTTCATTCCACCCTCCCTCATTTCCTCTGTTTCAGTAGGATGAGCCCGTTAAATTATCTCAAATTCCTCAAGATTATTTTTACCTTATGGTGTTTGTGTTTGCTATTGCTCTGTTTGGAAGAGTGATCACTGTATTATTTGCTAGAATTGCTACTTCACATTAAACATTATTTCATCAACAGATTCTTTTGAGCACATAATCTAGGGAAGCTCCCCCCATTTTCTCTCAGAGCTCCCTATATTTCTTCTTATAGTAATCATCACAGTGTGTAATAATTCATTCCTGTGCTCAACAAATATTTATTGAAGACACTTATGTGTTGAGTATTCAATTAGGCACTTTGAAATAGAACAATTAGCAAGACAGACCAAATTCCAAATTTCATGAAGTTCACACTCTAGCAGAGGAAAGAGAAAGAAAACTCTCTTGCAAATAAATACTTAATACAATGTCAGGAAATGACAAATGCTATGAACTAAACTTGGGAAGAGGATAGAGCATAATGAGGATAGGCTGAGAGGGAGAAATGTTAATTTAAATAAGATTATCAGGTAAATCATCTCTAAAGTGCTAAATACTATTTGGAGCTTTGAATTTATCCTTTTAGTAATGAACAACCAATTGTAAGATTTTAAACAGAAGAGTGACAAAATCTGAATTGTTTTTTATGGAACAAGAGCACAATACAAGTGAGAGAACCACCAATAGATAATTTGATAGAGAAGACTTTCAGGCAAGAATAGTGAGTAAAATGTTACTGAGGTAGGAATAAACTTGGCATATTTTATTAAAGGCAAGAAGTCCATAATAGCTGGAGTAGAGGGAGCATGGTAAAGAAAATATTAAAAAGAGGTAAGGAACTTAGGCAGGAATCTCATTATATGGTGCCCTCTAGGGTAGGTAAAGAATTGGGATATTATTATAATTAAGGCAGCAAATCATCAGAGTATATTAAAGAGTGATATTATTAGATCTAATATTGTGAGAGGACAAGAATGGAAGCAAGACATCAGTTAAGATGCTATTACCAGCCGGGCACAGTGGCTCACGCCTGCAATCCCTGCACTTTGAGAAGCCCAGGCGGGCGGATCACGAGGTCGGGAGATCAAGACCATCCTGGCTAACATGGCGAAACCCCGTCTCTACTAAAAATACAAAAAAATTAGCCAGGCGTGGTGGCGGGCAACTGTAGTCCCAACTACTCGGGAGGCTGAGGCAGGAGAATGGCGTGAACCCGGGAGGCGGAGATTGCAGTGAGCTTAGATAGCGCCACTGCACTCCAGCCTGGGCGACAGAGCAAGACTCTGTCTCAAAAAAAAAAAAAAAAAAAAAAAAAAAAAGAGGCTATTCCCTAGAAAAGAAATTAAGTTAAATTGTACTAAATTATAAATATATATGTGTATGTGTATATATATATATATTATGTATCATACTAATAAAATAAAGATATAATATGATCATCTCAAAAAATGCAAATCAATGCACTTAACAAGATTTAATAGGATTTAATGAAAACAATTTTCAGAAAACTATGAATAGAAAGTAACTTTCTTATTCTAATACAGAGCATCTGCAAAATCAATCCCTGAGCTAACCTTATACTTAATAGTGAATGAGTGAATGTTTTTTCCTTTTTTTCTTTTTTTTTTAATTATACTTTAAGTTTTAGGGTACATGTGCCCAATGTGCAGGTTTGTTACATATGTATACATGTGCCGTGTTGGTGTGCTGCACCCATTAACTCATCATTTAGCATTAGGTATATCTCCTAATGCTATCCCTCCCCACTCCCCCCGACCCATGACAGGCCCTGGTGTGTGATGTTCCCCTTCCTGTGTCCATGTGATCTCATTGTTCAATTCCCACCTATGAGTGCGAACATGTGGTGTTTGGTTTTTTGTCCTTGTGATAGTTTGCTGAGAATGATGGTTTCCAGCTTCATCCATGTCCCTACAAAGGACATGAACTCATCATTTTTTATGGCTGCATAGTATTCCATGGTGTATATATGCCACATTTTCTTAATCCAGTCTATCATTGTTGGGCATTTGGATTGGTTCCAAGTCTTTGCTATTGTGAATAGTGCCGCAATAAACATATGTGTGCATGTGTCTTTATAGCAGCATGATTTATAATCCTTTGGGTATATACCCAATAATGGGATGGCTG
This sequence comes from Homo sapiens, assembly GCF_000001405.40. Classification (NCBI taxonomy): domain Eukaryota; kingdom Metazoa; phylum Chordata; class Mammalia; order Primates; family Hominidae; genus Homo; species Homo sapiens. The sequence goes on along the minus strand of NC_000006.12, from coordinate 49,724,770 downwards.
GGTCAAATGGTAATTCTAGTTCTAGAACCCTGAGGAATTGCCACACTGACTTCCACAATGGTTGAACTAGTTTACAGTCCCACCAACAGTGTAAAAGTGTTCCTATTTCTCCACATCCTCTCCAGCACCTGTTGTTTCCTGACTTTTTAATGATTGCCATTCTAACTGGTGTGAGATGGTATCTCATTGTGGTTTTGATTTGCATTTCTCTGATGGCCAGTGATGATGAACATTTTTTCATGTGTCTTTTGGCTGCATAAATGTCTTCTTTTGAGAAGTGTCTGTTCATATCCTTTGCCCACTTTTTGATGGGGTTGTTTGTTTTTTTCTTGTAAATTTGAGTTCATTGTAGATTCTGGATATTAGCCCTTTGTCAGATGAGTAGATTCCAAAAATTTTCTCCCATTCTGTAGGTTGTCTGTTGACTCTGATGGTAGTTTCTTTCACTGTGCAGAAGCTCTTTAGTTTAATGAGATCCCATTTGTCAATTTTGGCTTTTGTTGCCATTGCTTTTGGTGTTTTAGACATGAAGCCCTTGCCCATGCCTATGTCCTGAATGGTATTGCCTAGGTTTTCTTCTAGGGTTTTTATGGTTTTAGGTCTATCGTTTAAGTCTTTAATGTTTTTTTCTTTTTATTACTTATCATTGAAACGATGATTGCATCATTTTTTATCTGGAATCCATAATCAGGAATAAGGCAAATATGTTAGTTTGTACCACTTTTGTTCTGTAAACCAAAAAGTATCTGAAACAAGTGTCAATCAATTTAGAAAGTTTATTTTACCAAGGTTAAGGATGCGCCTGTGACAGAGCCTCAGGAGGTCCTGACGACATATGCCCAAAGTGGTAGGGCTACAGCTTGCTTTTATACATTGTAGGGAGATATAATACATCAATCAATACATGTAAGATTTACATTGGTTCAATCTGGAAGGGCAGGGCAACTCGAAGCAGGAGGGCTTCCAGGTCATATGCAGATTTTAACATATTTTGAATGGCAATTAGTTGAAAGACTTATTATCAGTAGAAAGCAATGTCTGGGTTACATTAGGGTGTCGTGGGGACCTAGGTTTATCATACAGATGAAGCCTCCAAGTAGCAGGCTTTGGAGAGAATAGACTGTAAATGTTTCTTACCAGGCTTAAGGCCTGTGTTGATGTTAATGCTAGAGAGGTATAATGAGGCATGTCCGACCCCCACTTCCCACCATGGCCTGATACAGTCATTCAGGTAAAACTTCAGGGTGCCCTAGCCAAGGAGAGAGTCCGTTCAGATGATTATGGAGAACCTTTGAATTTTACTACTGGTTTACAGTTCACTATTTAAATTGTAGCCAATGCAATAAGTAAAGGAAAAAAATTAAAGGTATAGAGATTAAAAAGGCAGAAACTGCCTTAATTTGAAAATTAAAATGATCTTGTAGAAAATCTGAAGGAATCAACAAAAAAGCTACTAGAACTAGTAAGTTTAGCAAGGTCACATGATTAAAAGGAGGGAGGGTATCTTACTGATAGAGGAACAGAATAAGAATTACAGTGGAATTCTCATTAGAAACCATGCAAGCCATGCAAGCAAAAGAAAAAACCAAGATAATGATAAAGAGGATCACAGTTTTTACTGCTGTATGCCAGGGGAGGTGGCAACAAATATAGATCGGAACTGATTTAGAGATTTGTGACACAGAACATGGCAGGACTCTGTGTCTTTAACTCTCTTATTCTATATCAAGAGCCAAACTTCACTCATCACTTTTGTTGATAAGATCTACAAAGATTGTATTGTACAGCTGAAACTAAACATGAGAAAATAATGATTTCAAAGAAGCCTTGTGCTACATACGTGGGCATTATCTCAATAAGAGCCTTCTGATCCAAATAGCTTTCAATGCACAGAAAACAATATTCATCAAAATAAGAGTATGTATCTTTCCACATGCATAAAATATATCTGGTATTGTTCTAGCAGTGAATCCATACAGGTCTGCAGCAACCTCAATTCTTGCCTCCTCAGAAGAAATAATTAGACCAATGGAGCATAAGGCAGAAAGAGAGAACAAGGCAAGTTTTAGAGCAGGAATGAAAGTTTATTCAAAATCTTTAAAGCAGGAATGAAAGTAAGTAAAGTACACTTGGAAGAAGGCCAAGCAGGCAACTTGAGAGATCAAGTGCATGGTTTTGTCAGAGGTGTGTGAACCAGAGAAACTCCATCTTAAATAAGGGCTATGTCAAATGAGGCTGAGACCTACTGGGCTGCATTCCCAGATGGTTAAGGCATTCTAAGTCACAGGATGAGATAGGAGGTTGGCACAAGATACAGGTCATAAAGATCTTGCTCATAAAACAGGTTGCAGTAAAGAAGTCAGCTAAAAGCCACCAAAACCAAGATGGTGACAAGAGTGACCTCTGGTTGTCCTCATTGCTACACTCCCACCAGCGCCATGACAGTTTACAAATGCCATGGCAACATCAGGAAGTTACCCTATATGGTCTAAAAAGAGGAGGCATGAATAATCGACCCTTTGGTTAGCATATAATCAAGAAATGACCATAAAACAGGCAACCAGCCGTCCTCATGGCTGCTCTGCCTATGGAGTAGCCGTTCTTTATTCCTTTACTTTCCTAATAAACTTGCTTTCACTTACTCTATAGACTCACCCTGAATTCTTTCTTCTCTGAGATCCAAGAACCCTCTCTTGTGGTCTGGATCAGGACCCCTTTCCTGTAACATCTTTCCAGTGACCATGAAGAGATAATACTGAGGAGACTCCCAACCCAAAGGAAATAGACTGCAGCATTGATTGGCTGACTTTAGGTAAGTGGGGCACATATACCTGGGTAAAGAATGGGATTGCGTTAGAGGCCCACTTAGGGGAGTTAGAGTCTCTCCTAAGACAGAGTAGGTTAAAAGGCTCCTCTTAATAAAAGTAAGGATGCTTGACTGAACTTGGGTTCAAGGCCCAACTTAGGAAGGTTAGAGTCCTTCCTAAGATGTAAGGGGTTAGAGGCCACTGTCAGTAAAGTCCCTTTTGGCTAAAAACAGGTTTGCCACTAGGAATGTTTACCACTATTCTCTTTGTATTAATCTGCCTTGCACTTTTTGGTGACAGCTGCGGGTGACAGAATTAGGCATGTAAAGGATCATGGGACATGGGGAACTTTTTCCTCCATAAAAGGGGAAACTTGATTGCCAAAGGGAGTACTGGAAAAGATCCCTTCTCGACTGACAAGCAGCTGCCTGAACTTTTGATTCAGTGCCAGCTGCAATGGGTGGGTCTTTCTCTGGCCTCTCTGAGCACCTCACTTCCCCCATTCTGCTGTAAGCAATGCTTTTCTCCCTTCCCCTTACTTTCTCTCTCTGTGCAAACCTGTTGAATGAATGGCAAAAATCAGTGTTTATTTTCTCTTTAAAGTTTTGATTAATGAGAAAAAGGATTTGTGAGGCTAGTCTTAAACTATAATAAATATGGTGTGCTTTGTGTGTTTTTTTGTGTTGTTCTGTCATAAAAGAGTGGTACCTTAGGATAGAATGTGGGCTTAGTACTCCCATAAGCCCACTGTTCAAGATGACCCAGCAAACTGGTCAGTTACAAACTTTGCTGCAAGTCCCTGAAAAAAAAAAAAAAAAAAAAAACCTGGATGAGGTTTCTATCTTGTCTTGTATGTCCTTGGGAATGTCACCTTGTAACCATGTGGCAGTACTTTCTCTTGGTCTCCACCATCACAATGGCAGCCCAGGTTCAGGGTTCAATTCCCAGCTTAGGGAATGACTCCTTTCTTATTCTGTCTATGTATTTATGTATGTTGTGTGTGTAATATAAAAGAGCTTTAATTAATTGGTTTAATATAAGAGCTCAAATAGAATATTTTGTCAGAAAAGTAAAAAGTGTAATATCTTTTATTTAGTTCATGTGACTTAAGTAATCTTTGGGAAATAAAGATAGTTTTAAACATTATTGGTAAAATAAAAATATCTTCAAAATGTAAACATTTGGTCTAAATTATACAGGTTAGATATTAGGTTTGCTTTAAGGTCATAAACTGCTTCTTCAACTTTCAAAAATTGTTCAATTTATTTTGGAGCATTAGATTCTATATAAAGCCTGGGGACATGCAGTTGGGCGCAGGGGCTCACGCCTGTAATCCCAGAATTTTGGGAGGCTGAGGCAGGTGGATCATGATGTCAGGAGGATCATGACGTCAGGAGATCAAGACCATTCTGGCTAACACGATGAAACCCCATCTCTAATAAAAATACAAAAAATCAGCTGGCCATAGTGGCATGTGCTTGTACTCCCTCTACTCAGGAGGCTGAGGCAGGAGAATTGCTTGAACCCGGGAGATGGAGGTTCTAGTGAGCCGAGATCGCACCACTGTACCCCCCTCTGGGTGACAGAGAGAGACTCCATCTCAAAAAAAAAAACAAAAAAACAAAAAGCCTGGGCACATGTTAAATTAGCCATGTGCCCTATCTATGTAAACAAGGTTATAAAGAAAAGAGATTTTATATAAGAAAATATCTTGTATGGTAAATTCTTGTCTAAAGTAAAATAACTGGTTGTTTAAAAAGAGGGATGTTTAGGACAAGTCAGAAAGCCCAAGCACTTCGTAGATGGTCTGGTTAAGTCATGAAAGAATTTATAAAATAGAATTTATGAAAGAAATGTGCAATTTAAAGGTGGCTAGTCCTCTTAAATGCTTCATAAAATGCCACTATGACTCTTAACTGTACAACTTGCCTACTTTACAGCTAGGTAAAGCCTGAGACATGTGGAGTTAGACATTGGAAAAAGTCAGACCTTATCTGCACTTCTATCTGGATCCTAGGCTCTACATTTAGTAAACAATTAAAATCCTAACTTACCAAGGTTTTCACCATAAGTAAACGTTGATAAGAGTTAACATTATAACATGTAATTGAGACTACTGAAGAAAAAGTTTTACATGAAAGGTGTACAAAGAAAGTAAAATGTGTTTTCAGTTTAAAATAAATTATAAGAAGTCATGGGAATGTGACTTGTTTTTTGCCTAAAGGGTAAAGGATTGTTTGAGTTCAGATGAAGCTGAAGCTTTAAGCAAGTTGTGAAAGGTTTGTGAAAAATTAATTGTAAAAGAAATTCTGGGTGTGAACATATTGACTAAAGTTAAAGCAGTATTATTTCAGTTTTTCTAAAAATTAAACATTGGAATAAAAGCACAACAGGTTTTTCTGAGAGCACTGATCTACCATTTAACAAAAATTTATAAAGAGTTATAAAAGATTTAAGAGAATATTACCTTATGGTCAGACATTAAAATTGGATAGATTTGTCTATAAGGTTTTATTAAAAATTGGATTTAACATTAATAGTACACTAATGCAGAAGTGAAATTTGGTTTATTTGATATAAAAGTCATACAGGAAGCATTGTCAAATATGAAATGGTGTTTGGCCTTCTTTGGGCTGTATTTGTATTAGTATATTACTGGTATGTGTTCCAAAATTATAAAAATCTCCTATAATTTTGATATGACTTAGTGTATATTATTAATAATTGTTACATAAAATCATTGTATACCACAAAGGTAACCTAATTTCTTTGTCAATCATGTTTTTGACTGTGGCTGCCCTAAAACATTTTGTCATCCACAGACAATTATTGCCTTGTTTTAACCCTCTTAAAAAGGTGGTTTTATGATCAACTATAGGACTTTCACAGGTGCTAAATGCAGGTTTCCTGATATCTTTGGAAATTGTGACATTAGAATAGAGGAAAACACTTTCAGGATTCTGATGAAGAGCTGAAATATTTATGACTATTTTTCAGAACAGGAGTTAACTGCATGGACTAAACTAAAAAAATAATCTTTTTGACTGTGCTTAAAATGTTGCTAATCCTTTGTTTTGTTTTTCAGGGTCTAGAAAATTTTATTTTAAGCTATTTACAGCTTTTAACAATTAGGTAAAGTATTCTTCTATAAACAAAATCAGGAGCACATTTGTTTCTCTCTACTGATTTATCCAGAATTTGAAAATGGTTTGTGGGTATTCTTAATTTATGGCAATGTAGTTATTTGCATAAGTGCAATAAGAATCGGTTTTCTTTTGCAACAGGACACAATTGGAGAAATTGTTTATTTTATCAAAGCTTTGACTGGAAGGCTGTGCTTTCCTTTAAGGAATCAAACTTGACTAGTAAAGCCAATAAAGGCCCCTTCAGAAAACTGGCCTCATACCTTGTCTACACAGTCCCTCTACAGGGTTCTTCACCTTTGGTAAGTAAAGAATGTCACTTTCTGACAGACCTAAAAGCCCCAAATTGTCCTGAAACCTCAAGAGTAGAGGAATTTAGCCAACTGTTAGGTATTTGAGGGTAAAAAACCCATGGCTGGGCTTGGCTTTAAAAAAACCTTATCTGAGATTCCTTTTATGAAACAGAGTTCCATCAAAGCCAATTTTTAAAAAGCTTACATGAAAAATAATTATTCTTGCTATACTTTATACAAAGAATCCAGCCAAGCATAGTAAAGCAAGTCAGTTTTACCATTATTTGTCCTTTGTAAAAATGGGAAACTGGAGAGAGAATTATGTTTCAAGAACTATGGTGTACTTGCTCTTAGATTCTAGTCTCATCAGTTGTTTTGAGTTTTTTTCTGCAATTTAGACTAACCCTGCTTATTCCTGTGAACCAACCAGCAATCTCTGGCTGCTGCTCAGAAGAAAATAAAGGAATGGGTAATGTAAAAATATGAATCAATATTCCAATTCTGGGCACACTGGAATCAGCTAGTGACCCCATATCAGCTTGGTTTCAATAGTTGCCCAATTCATGGAAAGCCTTCTAATTTAGTTAACTTAGGACAATTTTGCTTATTCTGCTTTACTGTTTTAAAATATCTTGCTGTTGTGCTCTTTGTGTAGGAATAGAGGATAAACTTACTCAACTTTTTAAAAAAATCTTCCAGATATCACCTTTTCTTGGAACTTAAGAGTTATGAATGGCCTTCATCATACTAATGCATTCTGACTGAACTCCTCTGTACCCTGAACACAAGAGACCCTAATAGTTACACAGAAATATCATTGCCCCATTCAGCCTGAAGAAGTTAAAGAAGATGAATCTTCATCCTTCTGCAACTGTTAGGATTAAGGGTTCTTTTATAAAAGGGAGAGGAGAAATGTCAGAGGAATGTGAACCGGAGCAACTCCATCTTAAATAGGGGCTGGGTAAAATGAGGCTGAGACCTACTGGGCTGCATTCCCAGACAGTTAAGGCATTCTAAGTAAAAGGATAAGATAGGAGTTTGGCACAAAATACAGGTCATAAAGACCTTTCTTGTAAAACAGTTTGCAGTAAACAAGTCAGCTAAAACCTACCAAAACCAAGATGGCAACAAGAGTGACTGCTGGTCGTCCTCACTGCTACACTTCCACAAGGGTTGTGACAGTTTACAAATGCCATGGCAATGTCACGAAGTTACCCTATATGGTCTACAAAGGGGAGACATGAAAAATCCACCCTTTGTTTCGTATATAATCAGAATAACCATAAAAATTGGCAACCAGCAGCCCTTGGGGCTGCTCTGCCTATGGAGTAGCCATTCTTTCCTCTAACAATTTGACCTTTTGACTTGGGGTTTTATATGTTGGCATACTTCCAGGGTCTTGCATTACTCTTCCCTTGGATTAGGCCATCTGCATGTGCAGTAGCCTGCTAGCACTTGGGAGCAGCCTCATGCACAGTGTGTTTAATGGAGTTGTACACATGCTCACTTGAGAAATTTTTTCTGTACCAATACAGTGTTTCTAGAAGAAGTGTTTCCCCTTGATTTAGTTCTAGAAAGTCCTTTCGTTCTCTGCCTCTAGGCCCTATTCTCCTGCCTCAATTTCCCCCTGAAAGATGTGATCTCCATAAGTCTTTATGGGAGGTGGAACAACCGATGGTCTTTCTTCTGTAAATGCTTTATGACTGGTGTGGGGATCACAGACCTCTTGCCTTGCTCTCTCTAGTGAAGGAAGGGTAGCTCCTTGATGGCCAGGGGAGGCATCTTCACCTGGAACTGGCTGGAACCCTTGTCACATGATCATCTAAAGCTTAATCGTCTCTAGGCGAGAGGAAATGAATTGGGTTAAAGATTTAATGGGAATTTTAGGGGGTGGATACCTATTCTTTCAGCAATGTTTGTTATGGAAATTTGCAGGAGAAAAACAAAACCTGGTCTTTTCTAGGATCTATGTGTTTCCTTAATGTCTTAGCACAAGCGACTCTGTTTTGGTTTGGTTTGGTTTGGTCTTTTGGGGCCTAGTGCATGAACTCAGTCCAAAACAATTGCCTCCTATGCTTTTGCTTAAAAAGAAAATTCCCCCCTTTTTGATAAGGTTCTCACTTAGGTGAGAGTGTGACCAAAACTTAGGGCCTTAGCACCACTCTCAGTTACCATTATTTCGGGTTTCTGGTCTCACCACATCATTCATAGGTTATGGTGTCCTCATGGTCACACATTTCTTTCAGCTCTTGTCATTCTAATTGAAGAGAGACCATTTGACATTCTAGCAATGGCTGCGTGGAAGCACTTAAAACCTTTGAGAGAATACAGTGTACCAGGGAAACTATTATTATGACTATCGGGAGGATAATACCAAGAGTTTGGAGTATGCTCTTTACCCAGGTTACCCATAAACCAAACCACCTAAAATTAAATAGATCAAAAAATGAGCTAAAGAGTCTACTTACTTAACTAAGCAATCTCTTCATTTATCCTCTACAGCTAAATCTCTATAGTCTTCATCTGATGTATTTCTCCATAGGCCACAAGTGCCAGCAGCTGCACAGATACTTCTCTATTCAGCCAATTCTATCATAATTTTCACAAGAGAATTTAAAGTCTGGTATTTAACTATATCCTATACAGTAGAATCTGCTATAGAGCCTACTATGAGGAATGCATTTCTAATCATTGCTTCTTTTACTCCAAACCATAGAAAAAGGAACTAACAAATGATGCCCTTCTAGAAAAGCAAAGGACTCCTGGCAATGTTCTTAGAAGTACCTGTACTATTCCTCTCAGTAATGGAGATCTACTTTCCATGTGCTCTCCAACACATTCAGGCACCAAACTTACAAGTCTTCTATTCTGGATTTGCCCTTCATACAAAATCTATCAACACTTTTTAAAAATCTCTTCATATTCCACCCTTTTGTCCTATTTCTACTACTACAAAATTAATCTGGGGAATTGTTACCACACTTATTTTTGCTGCCATCAATTTCTCAGCTCTGTAAATCACCCCATGCAGTGAGATCAGGTGGCTTTTATGAAACATTCTTTTGATCAAAGAATTTCCCAACCCTCCAAAATGTCAATGAAATTACTTTCCCATGTTATACAGAGAAGCAAATCTCCTTAGACTTCTATACAAAGTTTCCCCAACCTTTTCAACAGTCTTTCTGTCTTGAATATGCCTTGTGATATAATGATTTATCTGCTTTTGTTCTTCAACTCTTTCTCCCTTCAAATCAAGCCATACGCATTATTCAATAACAGTTCAAATGTCAAAACTTTCCTAGGTTTTACCCAGATCATATCAACTCACAGAACTCTCAATTACTGTATATATTTTTGGTCGCCCTACTTAGCATTAAACTACACTACCTAATAGTATTCTTTACTTATTCATATACATACTCCTTTCTCTCATAGTACTATGAGTCTTAGAAGAAAGAGATTTTATGTCCTTTTTTCTGTATTTTCTAAGAATCTATGTCGGGTCAATATTTACTCACTTAACAAATATTTACAAACTACCACCTATATTTGGTATTGTGTTAGTTTTGGAGATACAGCAATAATCAAGACAGACATAGCCAATTTCTGAAATTCAGGTTCACCAACAATATCTGGCACCACAGCGCTCAAGTTGCTCTCATTCTGATATCATCAATGTGAATATGGGAACAAGTAATAATTACAGGAATGACTCTTCTCCAAAAATGAAAAATAAGATATTCACAGTAAATGATAGACTATTATAGTGCTGAGAATGAATTGTTCGGCACTAGAAAGAAAGAACAAATAGGTAGGCAGAGATTTTGTGCATATAGGTATTTGAAATGTCCAATTAATAACTTAAGCAAGATATGGTGAAAACATGAATATAGAAGTGAGGGACAGATTGAGGACTAGATTTCATAAATATTTAGAAAGGCAAACTGTCAGTAATGAATTTTGATATTGGATGTAGATATAAGCGTTAAGCAGTCTAAATTCCAAAATTTTTAGTCAGTGCTGCATGAACTGAAATAAGCAGCAAAAGAAAACTAAAACAATGTCTGTGTGCTGATCCCTTGAAATTACCTTGTAACACTGCCAAAGGAAAATGGCACTGAGCACCAAGTTTGTTATAGTTTCAGTTGTGCCCAAGTGAGTCTCCAGAGTTGGTGAAATCTCAAGCCTCTTATTGCATGGCTTACAGAGAACCAAGGTATGACGGATATTAATCCTTGGCTTGACATCTTTTGACCCATCTCTCTTCCTCTAGGTCATAAGCGAATTCACTCCTTTTCGCTTTGAAAACAACTGTGAATAGAAGAAAATGCACCTATTACTCATCCGCCTTCTGAGAGAGAAAACATGTCTTTAACCCATGCTTGATACGTATGCTAAACTTGCAGCCAGTAGCCTTGGGTCAGGAGTTCTGCGTATTTTCATAAGAGTTGTTCCTGTTACTCTTCGTGAATTTTCTCACCATAAAACTGTTGCCAACGGGGAAGAGGGACAAGAACATGAAGTGTTTATGAGGGAGCCTGAAACTGACAACCTGTGTAACTGGAGTGCGTCGTTGGCATGACACTGGCAGCGCACTGCAAACTTAAGCACCTGTGGACTCCTAATTAGCTCTTTAAATTGAACTACATTAATTCAGGCATTCTTGTTTGAATGCGAACGCCTCCTTTTTCAAGCCACCCCCTGGGCAACCCGAATCCTTATATGACCTCCCTCCTCCTCCTAGTACGGCGCAGGTATGCGAACAGACATTTTCTTTCCTCATCAACTGGTGGTAATGAGAAAAAGAGAACTCTGCTTTTCACAAGGGAAAACGTGCAAGATTTTCTCCGTAGTAGGGGAGGCGGGGGCGATGGGAGGAGAGCAGCTCACGTAGGCAGATAGCGGCGATGAAAGCATAAAGCCCAGTGACGTCGCCCACACGTGGCGCCTGGCAAGTGAACAATCGCGGTGAGAGGGGCGCGCCGCAGCTCCTCAACGCCGCAACGCGCCGGCCCAACTGCAGGAAGGTCTGTGCTCTGGAGCCAGGGTAAATGTAAGACCCGGATTGGAGACTAGAAATGGCTAGGGACGGGGAGGTGGGGTGAAGCACAGGGGAGAGAACCATCGTTGAGGTGAGGGGGTTTCTGATCCTCCTTCGCTCCTCTTCCGGCATCTGGAGGGCACATAGCTAATGCCGGGCAGACTGAGAGTTCAATTTTGTTGCTTAGCGCCGACCTACCATAACTTTCAACATGCTTCTCTATGTTTAGTCTATTGAAACTCTTTACCTACCTTAAAAGAGAAATCATTCTAAGTACATAAGACCCATTGAATCATAGTAGAAGCCTGAAGTCATTTCTCAATCTGCTTTTTACGAAGTCAAATTAAGACTCTTAGTTTCTAATTGATGTTTTGAATGTACAGTTATTAGAAACTGTAATAACAATTAGAGTTGGGGTCATTGACTCTGCTGGACTTTATATCATCTATTGGCTTCCAGAATTTAAAAAAAAAATGAAGAGACAAAGCTGTTACCCCCAAATCCACGTAGTTAATACTTACCATGTGGGACACTGCTTATGGAAATGATCTTTTAAAGAATGGGTTGAAGTCCTAGATAAGGGGTTGGGAGTCTTGAAAAAAGGTTGCAATTTTCCAAGCAAGTTAGCCAACTAGTAGTTACTGAACTTCAAGAAGTCCACTTTTTTGTTAGTGTTTGAAGGAAATATCAGGGCGTTGAAATACAATCTGACCTCAGAAGGACAATATGGTCTTAACGCTGAAATCAAATAAATACAGTAAATTATTAGAAACAATACTAAACAATTGAGTCAAAATTTAAGTTTGTGACAAAGATTATAGATACCATCTATAAGGGTATTCTTCACATCTTTATTTTAAATATTTTGTTTCCTTGTTCTAGGGTTATAAAATTATACACCATGGCCCTCCTAAAGACACTCTAGGAAAACCATGTCATCCTGATCTTAAAACACCTGCAAGAAAGAGCACAGTACTTCACCATTAGTAAGTAGCAAAGAAAAAAAATGGTAGCCAACTTTTCAACTATATATCAATATGGGTTTAAAGGAATAAAATGTAATTATATGGAATAGAAAAAAATATTTTTCCTTGAATATACTCTCACCAACAGTGACATTGCTTTCATTGACTCAATGAAGATGAGTATAGGTTAGATGGTTGAGGTTATGAGAGAGAAGAGCAGCAAAGAGGAGAGTATGGCATCATGGCCTATTATAGAATTCTGGCTCATCAGATGCATACACTGGGTGATTGAGCTATACAAAACTCTTCAGGCTCCTGTGTATGGCTTTCAATGAGCTGATGAGGATACAACAGCCCAGATGTTAGAGCATTTTCCTAAAGTCAGCCAGAAGGTGTCTAATAGAACCAGGCCTTGAACATGTGAATCTCGAATTAGATTATACTGATTGTATTTTCCTATAACACCTGGAAGGAAACACATGTCTCTTAAACACTTAGTAATTAGCAATTCAATCAAACAGCATATGTTTATAGAAAGCTCTTATGAGCTCAACAAACTAGCAGACATTGCAAAAGATAATAAAAACATGAATAATTTCCGTTTATTTGTATTATGTGCATAATGTGTTTATTGTATTAGAGGTGTTACATACATTGTCCCTTCCAGTCTTCAAAGCAAAAACCTGTGATATAAAAATCTACATTTTACATAAGAAAAACACTGAAGCTTGGCATAGATTTCCCAGACCTGATGGTTTCCAAAGAATGCACCCGTAACCAATAAGCTACAGGTAGTTGATAATTAGAAAGTAAAAATCATAGACAGCTGAACTATGAGAGTTCAGCTATAAGGCAGAATCCTGGTAACCTTCACAGTAGTTAACCTGTCTTGGGTTGTCAATATAGAAATACTAGTCCAAAAAGGCCACATGCAGATTATCGTGTGCCTAAGGAGAAGGGAGAACTGATTAGAAAGGGAGGGCATGATTTACTTACTCATGTTAAAAACTATGTGGGAAGCAAATAATGTCAAAAGCATTATCAGACAACTGACAATGAAGTTTAAGGTTACTGGTATGAAAAATACTACTTCAGAACTTTGTTGACTTAGATTTATTTAACAAAACCAGAGTTTGACAAAACAGGAATATGTGTAATATATATGCTGCTCTAAACCTTCCACCTTCTTTCTTTCTAAAGATAAAGTAGATATTTCATCCTGCTCAGAAAACCAACAGTAAGTGTTAAATCATTGATTTTAATGTGAATATTTTATCATGCCAATCATTTTTATGTTGTCAAGGGTAAAATGATTAATGAGTTTGCCCATGATTTTATTTTTTTGTTTTTTGTTTGTCTGTTTGTTTGTTTGTTTTAGAGACAGGGTCTCTTTCTGTCACCCAGGCTGGAATGCAGTGCTGTGATCATAGTTCACTGCTGCCTCAAACTCCTAGGCTCAAATGATCATCCCACCTCAGCCTCCTGAGTAGCTGGGACTACAGGCACTTGCCACCATGCCCAGCTAATTATGTTTTGTTTTTGTTTGTTTGTTTTTAGTAGAGATGAGGTCTCACTGTGCTTTCCAGGCTGATCTTGAACTCCTGGGCTCAAGTTATGTGCTCTCACCTCAGTCTCCCAAAATGTTAGGATTATAGGAATGAGCCACTGTGCCTGGCCTATCCATGATTTTCAAAACTTTAATAAATTTGTATTGAGAATGACCTCAAGTTAATTTTATTCTTTTACAGTTAAGAAGGTAAATTACAGCAATATTACGCACACACACAAAAAAATTTGATATGTAAAAATTTTTTACATTTTATTCTAAAAATAAGTAATGGAATTAATTCTCATGTTTGTGACTTGAGACAATTATACTAGAACTACCTTTAATAGGAAAATGGAAAAGTATGGCTGTTTAAGTATATTGTATAAGCTGGCATATTAATGATTTTACTATTAACATATACAGTTATGTATTAATAAGGGAATTATTAAAGTAAAAATAAAGGGTCTCCATTGTGCTGCAACAATGTCTGCCTTTTCCCAATTAAAACTGTGTCTCTTTCAATGAGTCAATGTCTCTTTCAAAGTCATTGACTTCGAAGTCATAATTGGATGAAGACTAATTTCTGACATTACCTAAGAACGTAGCATTGGCATAGGTTAATTAACTGTCTTAAGCCTCAATTACATCATCCATACAATATAAATAGTAATACCCAGTAAGGTATGGGAGTGAAATTGTATATCATTTTCCATGAACCGTCAATAATTGTTCATCCCTCATCCCTTTTTTGCACATAATTGAGCATAAAGGCAATGGATGGAACAAGTATCAATGATACACTATTTACAGTAAGTGAAGCCTGAGAAGCATCACAGATAAATTGTTCGGAATTTTCTTTCTTTCCAAGAATTTGGGAGTGACAGTCTCACACACAAGAAACAAATCTAGGCAGCATAACTTTAATTTACAAATTAAACAATTTATATGACTAATGACAGAAAGGTGAGTGTTTCCAAAACTAAGTGGTCTTGTTGTTTCATCTGAAGGACGTGAGACTTTTTGACATATTGAGAAAGGACAACATGGGTAACAAAATGCTGAGTGTCTTTTTAGGAGATAATGAAAATACGAAACAATCTTCTTACCAAATAATGGATTGAGTAAACTTGAATAAGCTATATCTTCAATGCATTAATTGTATTTTTTGTATACAGAGAAATTTGAAAATATTCACAAGTATAAGGAAGAAAATAAACATAACTTCTAGTTACTCCATTAGGGAAATAACAGCTAATAAAGTATTTGCACAACCATATCTGTGTAATCACAACCTTGTCATCTTAATTAGAGTCTGGTATAAATAAAAGGACAAACCGTTTTACTTTTCGTATAGAATAGCCAATTGAGAGATGGTACATATTGAAAATAAACTTTCCTCCAAAAATTGAGATGAAGAATGAATGTCAGTACTATAATTAACTATTAAGGAATCTATTTTCTTTTTGATGGCGTAAGGGTAGCAGAAGTAGGCAGAAAGAAGGGAGTAGGTCTCTCTCTTTTATAGATGTACCTCAAGGGCATCAGTAGAGTTCTTCAGCTTTTTCTTTATTGTCACTATCAAAGACAAGGTTGGCCTCATTATGATTCTACTAGTACCATAGGGCAATTCTTCTTTTGTTCCATTGTTAATGAATCTGGGAATCACAGTTCCTTTGAGATAATCGAGATCATTATATTGGTATTCCCCCTCTTAGAAGTTTTTTAAACTACATATTTCAATGCAGACCTTTGTTTTTCTTGACTTAGTTTCCAGCAATGGCTTTACTACCGGTGTTGTTTCTGGTTACTGTGCTGCTTCCATCTTTACCTGCAGAAGGAAAGGTAAGGTTAAAATGGAAAATCTTTTCAGAGCTATCCAGCAACTTTGTGGTATGGCAGGCTATTCTGAAAGTAAAGGGGGGTAAGAGAGTTTGGTATGTCAGAGTTTCCACTGGTTCAGAGTTCTCAGAGCACTTAACACAATTATTGAGATGAAAGGCCAAGGTTATGCTGTATGTGTTCTGCATGTGTATGCTAGCCACCGGTCACATGTGACTACTGAACACTTGAAATGAGGTTTGAACAGGCAAAATGTACTCTGATGGTAAGAAACTCACTAGATTTCAAACATTTAGAACAAAGAAAGAAGGAAATATCTCATTTTTTTAATATTGCATCCATGATGAAATGATAATATTTTGGATATTCCATTAAATAATATATTAGGTTCTTAGGGTGGTTGCAACAAATTATCACAAGCTAAGTGGCTTATAACAACAAAAACTTATTCTCTCACAGTTATGGAGGCCAGAAATCTAAAATCAAATTATCTCCTGGGCTGAGCTCCCTCTGGAGGATCTAAGAGGGACCTGTTCCATGCCTTTCCCCACCTTCTGGTGGTCTCTGCCACTGCTTGGCATTCCTTGGCTTGTGGCTGCATCACTCCAATCTCTGCCTCCATCTTTACATTATCTTCCCTTCTCTGTATGTCTCATAAAGGCACTTGTCATTATATTCAGAGGCAACTGGATAATCAAGGCTAATCTCATCCTGAGATCCTGAACTTAATTACATCTGCGAAGACTTTTTCCAAATAAGAACACATTCACAGTTTCTGAGCATTAGGATATGGACATGTCTTTTTGGAGTCTACCACCTAACTCATTACAAATAAAATGTATTATTTAAATTAATATCACTTAAAAATTAAAATTGCATATCATGTTTAAATTATTTTTCTAGTAAACACTGGTCTATGGGGTTAGAAAGCTGATGATAGTCCTCTTGCTCCAATCTATTTTCTGATTTCCTTAATTTTATTTCTTTTTAATGAGATCCCTATACAAAATTAACAATATACTTATATAATATTAAATTAGCACAATTTCTCCACTATATTAACACATTTAATTTGTATAGTTAGGGTATAAGAATAATTAGATTTATATTTTTAATTAAGAAAACAAAAACCCTAACTCTAAAAGCCTTAGTGCTTTGTTTAGTAGTGATAATAGAGTTAGTATGTGAAGGGCCAAGAGGATTTTGAATTCAGGTCCTAGAGTTATTTCTAATATGCTACTTTGTTGAATTGACCCCATAATATGGTCAGCAATCTTCAGTGATAAAATGTGCAGTGCTCACATGCAGTGTGTATCTCCTGAGCAGGTAGCCTCTGAAACAGCTTTGGCATTGCTGTTTCTTGTCATATCTTCCATTAACTCTGTGCACATTAGACTCGCTAGGACTTTTCAGACTGGAGGACTCTGACACTCAGTTCAAACTTCATTTGGCATTCAGAAATATAGTCATTGTATTACTGTAATTAGATTATCAATGTGCAGATAATTCATTCATCATCTAGGGCCTCATTCAAATAATTTGCTGTTCTTTTCATTTCTTTCCCTGAAAGATTTTCTTTCATACCTGTTTCCAATCCCCTGTAACATCTCAGCTCATCTCCTGGTCTTCATTTATAAAATTATTAAAAAGTGAGATGTCATTTTGTCTTTGGCACCACTAAATGTTTGAAATCAGATGCTCTATAAACACTCTGCCCAGTATGATTTTCTGATGTTTTCAAGATGCCTAGAAAACTCTGTTCATCTTTCAGAACCCCAGAATCACATTTTATGAAGCTTTCTCTGACTTCAAAGAAAAATTGATCCCTCCTTCCTCCCTATCTTGTAGATCATTAAGATCAGTTTTGTTATCATGTGTATTGTAATTTTTACTTATGTCACGTCACTTATTCAATATAAACTCTTTAAGGATAGATACCATATTTATTTTATTCTCGATATGTTTAATATTTCTAGTCATGTAATAACTTTATTAACACATTTAAAAATACATCTCTTTTTCAGTACAATTTTTATCTACAAAGCAAAAAGGTGTAAGAAGCAGGAAATAATTTAGAAATTAACTTTTTATGTGTTTTGAGATGAAACCACAAAAACCAGATTTTTTTAGGTCGAGAGAAAATATCCAGGGATGTTATTTTATGCTTTGATGTGATTTAGAAATCTGCCTTTACTGATATTTTATATGCACATCCTTTCTAACTTATGAGTCAGTAACTTTGCCATATTTATTGGTACAGTGGCGTCCACGATCAGTCCCTGTTCTTAGGAACATAAAAGCAGGAAAGAGAAATGTATATATTGTAGATAATGGCAATAAGATGCTCAGACCAATGGTGTAAGTATTTTGAGAGACTTAAATGAACTCAGTATGGGAGGAGAGGAGGATAACTTATTGCAAGGTGTCAGAAAAAATCCATGAGGAGCCCTGTTCCTTTCAGACTTATACTTCAAAATCTTGCCCATTCCTATATAACATCATATTCTTGTGTAAATTTAGGTCATCAAATGCTTGGACCTTTACCCAGGAATTTTCACATCCTATTCCACCTCCAGGCTTAGCAGGCCCCATACCATACACACAGACAAATATACAACCACAAAGATAAACCAAACATATTAGCACCCAATTTAATACCTTATCAGTTATGTTTCTGTTACTAAAAGGAACAAAGTCAGCAATAGTCCATTCATTAGATAGATTTGATCCCTCCAAATTGCTTTAAATTTTTTTTAGTTTTACAAAGTTATCTTTTAAGCAACCCATAAAATTTGCTACATAATAGGTATAATGGTTTCACTATAGTACTGAATGCAGACATGCACTTCAACTGGGCCTAAACATTTTTCCTTAAAGGCAGATACCATGTCAAGGAAAACTGCCCCATAAAATTTAAGATGAATCATGGGCTCCAGCTTTACCCTACCTTGCAGCCTGATCAAATGTGAATGAATATATCTCAAGGTTTTAAATTTGTATGCTTGTAGTTATAAAATATTATTATTCATATGTCTATACAAATCATATTAAAAGTTCCCTTGCTGGGGGAAATGGCAGATAGGAGGCAGGACTAACTTGCAGTTGCCACTTGGATAAACAGAACAATATGTGGAGATTCACATCATGAACTTTTGTGCCAAGAACCACTGCAGGAGCATGGCAGGAAAACTGAAAGAATTCACAGACCATTTGAAAGAAGTGGCTTGACGCTACAAACTCTGTGAGATAGCTGAAACACTATGAGGGCCCAAAGCGTGAGGGAAGAAAATCTGCCTCTAAACACACATCCTCACTGAGGAAGCTGAAAATCCAGATCATGGGAGAAAGATTTAACCTTACTTAAGGCTGAAATGAATTTAGAGAGCCATGCAAAATAAAAAAGAAGAAGAAGCAGTGAGAAGAGCCCTGTAGGCACTCCCAGTTCCCACAGAAGCCCAGGGAAGCCATTTCTGACTTTATCTCACAGAGATCCTCAAAGAGGAAAGCCAGTGGAATTAGAGAAGGGCCACAGGGAGGAGACTTCCAGCTGAACTTTGTAATAATTTTGACCAAGTGCAAATTTTTCTGGGCAGATCTGGGATTCTGAATGGGAAGTACGGATATGAGTACAGAAGCTGCAGTAGGTGGGAAATGGGGAAAGGCCTGAAAGCCCTCCTTAGTCTCTCCTTGGGGAGGGTTGTAGCCTGGACCAAGATCTCAGACTTGCACAACAGAGGCTTGGATATAAATTCAGCTCTATTGGCCATTGAGGGAGCACAGCAGGGGTGAGATTGGCCTTGCTGGCTGACTAGGAGCTTAGTGAAGCCTGTCACTTCTGGCTTTCCACCACTTCCCTGGTGACCTCTATGAAGCAGCCGAGGCAGCCATAGCCCCCTTGGAACATAACTCCATTGGCCTGAGAACCACACCCCCATCTTGCACAGTGGCTGCAGTAAGCCCCCACCAAGGAGAGTCAGAGTTCAGATATGCCTAATCCTGCCCACACATGATGGTCTTTCTCTACCCAACCTGGTAGCCAAAGACAAAAGACATAAACTCTTGGGAGCTCTATAGCCCTACCCATCACCTGAAAAACCTGAATACTTATCCAGGTGACCTTAGGGCAAACTTGTATCCCCCCATACTACCACAGCTTACACTGTCTTGAAACCAACTCGAGCTGTTACAGCAACTCAGAACAACTCTACTCCAAGGAAAGACAAAACAGCAGTTAATTCCACTGCCTGTAACATCCTGGCTAACCAGAGGTCCTGAGACTGTCCACATGACAACTTCACTATTAGCATAACCAACATTCAAGAAAACCAGTGCACTAAACAAAACTACAGCCAAGGACTCTCACAGAGTCCACTTCACTCCCCTGCTACCTCCACTGGAACAGGTGCCAGTATCTATGGCTGAGATACCTGAAGATGGATCACATCACAGGACTCTTTGCAGGCATTCTCCAGTACCAGCCTGGAGCCCAGTAGCTCTGCTGGGTCGCTAGACCCCGAAGAGCAATAACAATCACTGCAGTCTGGCTCTCAGGAAGCCCCATCTCTAGGAGAAGGGGGAGAGTACCACATCAAGGGTTCAAGGCAAAAGAACCTGAACAGCAGCCCTTGAGCCCCAGATCCTTCCTTGGACATAGTCTACCTGATGAGAAGGAACCAGAAAAAAATTCTGGTAATATGACAAAACAACGTTCTATAACATCCCCAAAAGATCACACTAGCTCACCATAAATGGATTGAAACCAAGAAGAAATCTCTGAATTGCTGGAAAAAGAATTCAGAAGGTTAATTATTAAGCTTCTCAAGGAGGAACCAGAGAAAGGTGAAAACCAACTCAAAAAAATTTAAAAAGTAATACAAGTATGAATGAAAAAATTTCCAGAAAAATAAATATCACAAATAAAAAAACAATCACAACTCCTGGAAATGAGACACACTTAGAGAAATGCAAAAAATACTGGAAAGTTTCAACAATAAAATGTAACAAGTAGAAGAAAGAACTTCAGAGCTTGAAGATATGGCTTTTGAATTAACCCATTCTAACAAAGACAAAAAAATGATAAAAAGAAAATGAACAAAGCCTCCAAGAAGTTTGGGATTACATTAAATCACCAAAG
Organism: Homo sapiens; assembly: GCF_000001405.40. Taxonomy (NCBI): domain Eukaryota; kingdom Metazoa; phylum Chordata; class Mammalia; order Primates; family Hominidae; genus Homo; species Homo sapiens. The sequence continues at coordinate 49,703,999 of NC_000006.12, read as the reverse complement.
CTAAGAATAATTGATGTTCCTGGGGAAGAAGAGACATCTAAAAGTTTGGAAAACTTATTTGAGGGAATAATTGAGGAAAACTTTCCTGGCCTCTCTAGAGACCTACACATTCAAATAAAAGAAGCTCAAAGAACACCTGGGAAATTAATCACAAAAAGATCATGACCTGGGTACATAGTCATCAGGTTATCTGAAGTCAAGATCAAGAAAAGAATATTACGAGCTGTGAGGCAAAAGCATCAGGTAACCTATAAAGGAAAACCTATCAGATTAACCACAGATTTATCTGCAGAAATCCTGTAAGCCAGAACAGATTGTAGTCCTATCTTTAGCCATCAATGTACACAAATCAGTAGTACAGCTATACACCAACAGCAACCAAGATGAGAATTAAATCAAGAACTCAGTACCTTTTACAACAGCTGAAAAAACAATAAAATACTTTGGAGTATACCTAACCAAGGAGGTGAAAGACCTCTACAAGAAAACTGCAGAACACTGCTGAAAGAAATTATAAATGACACAAACAAATGGAAACACATCCCATGCTTATGGATGGATAAAATCAACATTGTAAGAATGACCATACTGCCAAAAGCAATCTACAAATTTAATGCAATTCCCATCAAAATACCATCATCATTTTTCAAAGAACTAGAAAATACAATTCTAAAATTGATATGGAGCCAAAAAAAAAGCCTGCATAGCCAAAGCAAAACAAAACAAAAAGAACAAGTCTGGAAGCATCGCATAACCCCACTTTAAACTATACTACATGGCTATAGTCACCAAAACAGCATGGTACTGGTATAAAAATAGGCACATAGACCAATGGAACAGAATAGAGAACTCAGAAATAAGGCCAAATACTTACAGCCAACTGACCTTCAACAAAGCAAACAAAAACATAAAGTGGGAAAAGGACACCTTATTCAACAAATGGTGGTGGGATAGTTGGCAAGATCCACGTAGAAGAATGAAACTGAATCTTTATCTCTCACCTTATACAAAAATCAACTCAAGATGGATCAAATACTTAAATCTAAGACCAAACCATGTAAACTCTAGAAGATAACATCAGAAAAACTCTTTTAGACATTGGCTTAAGGCAAATGTCTAAGACCAAGGCAAATGTCTTATGACCAAGAACCCAAAAGCAAATGCAACAAAAAGAAAGATAAAAAATGGGACTTCATTAAACTAAAAAGCTTCCTCACAGCAAAACAAATAATCAGCAGAGTAAACATAAAACCCACAGAATGGGAGAAAATCTTCGCAAACTAGTTATCCAACTAAGGACTAATATCCAGAATCTACAAGGAACTAAAACAAATCAGAAGAAAAAAATCCCATCAAAAAGTGGGCTAAGGGCATGAGTAGACAATTCTCAAAATAAAATAGAAAAATGGCTGACCAACATACGAAAAGCTGCTCAACATTATTAATTATCAGGGAAATGCAAATCGAAACCACAATGAGGCTAACACTTTATTCCTGAAAGAAAGGCCATAATTTAATTAAAAAAATAATAGATACCGGTGTGGATGTGGAAAAGGGAACACTTTTGTACTGCTGGTGGGAATGTAAGCTATTACAAGCACTATGGAAAACAGTATAGAAATTCCTTAAAGAACTAAATGTAAATCTACCATTTGATCCAGCAATTTCACTACTGAGTATCTACTCAGAGGAAAAGAAGTCATTATATGAAAAAAAGACACTTGCACACGCATGTTTATAGCAGTACAATTCACAATTGCAAAAATATAGAACCAGCCCGAGTGCCCATTAATCAATGAGTGGATAAAGAAAATGTTATATATATATATATATATATATATATATATATATATATATATAGTACACATATATATAATGTATACATATATAAGTATACATATATAATATATATAATATATATTACATTATATTAATGTATACATATATAATATAAACTTATATATGTATACATATATAATGTATACATTAATATGTATAATATAATATATTATATTATATATATTATATATTATGTATAATATAATATATTATATTACATATATTATATATTATATATAATATAATATATAATACATAATATATAATAATATATAATATATAATACATAATATATAATAATATATATTATATAATATATATTATTATTAATGTATACATTATATATGTATACATATATAATGTGTACATACATACATATATAATGCATACATATATAATGTATACATTATATATATACCGTGTATATATACATTATATATACATTATATATGTATACATAATGTATACATATATAATGTATACATATATAATGTATACATATATAATGTATACATATATAATGTATACATATATAATGTATATATATATACCGTGTGTGTGTGTATATATATACACACACACGTAATACTCAGCCATAAAAGCCATATATATATACTGTGTGTGTGTGTGTGTGTATATATATATATATATATATATATACACACACACACACACGTAATACTGCTCAGCCATAAAAAGAAATGAAATAATGGCATTTGCAGCAACCTGGATGGAGTTGGAGACCATTATTCCAAGTGACGTAACTCAGAAATGGAAAAACCAAACATCATATGTCCTCACTAATAAGTGGGAGCTAAGCTATGAGGATGCACAGGCATAAGAATGATACAATTGACTTTGGGGACTTGGGAGAAAATGTGGGAGGGTGGCGTGGGATAAAAGACTACACATTGGATACAGTGTACACTGCTGGGGTGATGGGTGCACCAAAATCTCAGGAATCACCAGTAAAGAACTTATTCATGCAACAATTTACCACCTGTTCCCCCAAAATTATTTTTTGAAAAGTTCCCTTGAAACCAGAAATCGGCATTTGTGGCCTCAGAGGGGTTTTTAGTTTGTCATGCCATGAGTTACTCACAATTCCCAAAGCTTTAATCTACTACTTTCCTATTTAAATGTTTCAGTCTACTACTTTACTATTTAAAAGTTATATCTTCAACTCAGATTTAGTGGCAATGCTTAACAACTAATATTGGCTTTTATTATTTAAATAACTTTAGTATTTAATATATGTACATGATAACTATTTTGCACTTTTTAAAGTGACCTTTGTTCTCTTGAATTAACTTATTCACTATTATATGAAATTTACAATATTGTTAAATAATAATTCCAATTTTATTTTCTTTTAGGATCCCGCTTTTACTGCTTTGTTAACCACCCAGTTGCAAGTGCAAAGGGAGATTGTAAATAAACACAATGAACTAAGGAAAGCAGTCTCTCCACCTGCCAGTAACATGCTAAAGATGGTAAGAGGCAGTGCTGTAAGGAGATGGGTGTGAATCAGCTGTGGAAGGAGCCGACGGCTGGCCACTGGCATCTCTTAAGAACTTTGTGGTTTACAAAGTTGTGTCTCTGTTTTGTTATTTTATTTGAACCATTATATGGAGAGGATTGTATTCTTGTTTTTGTTTTAAAGCTGGTTAAAAAAACTCAATTATACAGAGTTTTTAAATTTGGAAGGCATAATTGGAAGTCAAATATTCAGGCATTCAGTGTTAAGCCATTACACTTTTTGTTAATTCTCTTTTCTGGTTTACAATCAAGAAATCCCCCTTCCTTCAGGATATGTGTCAGCTGTTGTGAGTAAAAGCCCACTTCCCAGGGCACAGTCCCTGAAAGACTGGTATCTCCGATATGAAAGCAATGGCTTACATATGAAAACAAATGGAATTGGAAATAACGTTGGCCATCTTATTACTATTAAAATATAATTAGAATATTTCACATGCTTATCAATATTTAGACTAGCATCATTAATAAATATCCTAGGTATGGCTGCTTTGCTATCATAAATAATCACATATTATTGTCTTATTTTGCTTTTTAGATATATTACCTATGGACTACCCATCATGTGTAAACTGGCACCAGAAGAGATAAAAACACTTAAAAACATTTTAATAACAGTAGTATTAGAGAATACATCTACAGAAATTTTAAAGTATTTACAAATCAGATTATAAAGTGTATGTTTCATTGTGGCTGAATCATTAAGTGTATTTTGTTTTCTTGTGACGTTTAGGAATGGAGCAGAGAGGTAACAACGAATGCCCAAAGGTGGGCAAACAAGTGCACTTTACAACATAGTGATCCAGAGGACCGCAAAACCAGTATGTAAATTAGTAAATATTTGTTGAATAAATAAATGAATAAAATAATAATAGAGCATTGTAGGATGCTCTATAATAAGAAGACTTTGAAAATAAATGTTACTTATACTGCTGTCTTTTTGAAGTCAAAGTATCTGTATACAGAGGGGTATTTACAATAAGAACAATTTTGTGTTTTTTTATTGTGTACATTATGCAAATAATTTTGCTTCTTGCAACCAGCTCATGAGTACAGCAGATTTTATATCATCTTTCTTTTTGTAAGTTTAAAGATTAGAAAGCCAGAATTTGAAAGAAAAGTGACTTACCCAAGAACATAATCTGAAACAGTGTCATACTAGAAATTTTTAACCAAGCTTTCTGATTTCTAACCCACTGCCCTTTTTGTTAATTTATGTAGCTGTCTGATGTTTTGAAATCTATTTTTTGTATCCATAAAATATATTGAACTTATGATGAATTATTCCTAAGTTTTGCTCTAAAGTGGATAAAAGTGGATAAAGTGGATTTAAATTTATCGTATTCAAAATTTCTATAAAAATGAATATTTTTGAATATATTAATATATTAATTTTTAATATCAGACTAGCAAGTATTTTGTGTGGACTGGATACCTACAATGCACAGAATACTATATTCGAGTTTTAAAAAGACATATCAAGGATTATAAAAACTAGTAAATGCCCAAATAATTTATGAAGTGTTTCTGGGCTGTAAGGCACTTCTTGACAAACTCACAAGGATTTCAGCTTGTGATATCTGATTTCCTGGTTAAGAGAAAACCCATAAATTTTGAAAACTGTTATCCTTCCTGGTGTCAGTTTTCTCTTGATTGGGACTCTTAAAGACAGCCTATAAAGTCTTTTTTTCAGATTTCACACAAAGTCTTATACATTTATTTGGGGTCCTATATTTGAAAAATCTCTGTTGAGGGTTACTAGAGCAGAAAACAGAATATAAGAGTTGGTCACTGCCTTTAGCAAGCTTACCATATACAGCTGGGAACACTCAAGGCATACACATGTGGAAAATTTAGCATGCAAGGGCATTTTTAAGGAGCAGAGTGTTAACCTACTCAAAGTTTTATGTGGTCAGGCCAACCTCAGTGTGTCAGGCAGTTAAGTGTTCTAATCAGCTTTATAGCTGATAAGGAACTGAGGCACTCCTTTATGTATTAATCAACAGTTAGCATCTGCTGGACCCTGGGTTTGAAAGGCAACATCTTTGTGTTTGTGTAGTCAATTTCTTTTACCATTGCATGTTTATTACCTTGCTCATGAATGATCTGCCCCTTAGGTACAAGATGTGGTGAGAATCTCTATATGTCAAGTGACCCTACTTCCTGGTCTTCTGCAATCCAAAGCTGGTATGACGAGATCCTAGATTTTGTCTATGGTGTAGGACCAAAGAGTCCCAATGCAGTTGTTGGACATTATACTCAGGTAAGAAGAATGCATGAAAATACCTATGTCACAGATGTTCTAATAGAGGAAAGCTTCTCCAAATTATGACCACTGTAATGTTCAATTTAGGAGAACAGTCCGAGTGGGTAGAATACAGTCTTGGCATTTGGCTGTTGTAGAGCTGTCATTTTTGTCCATGGTCAGCCAAACTCTTAGTAGGAAAGCAGACTCTGTATTGTTCCTACATTATAAATTTTAAAGTGATGAATGTACATGAAAATTAAATATTTTTAAAGTTTATGACTTTGGTTCAATAATTTAAATATTTTTATGGTATATGTCTATAAAACTAACATTTTTCAGTTTTATATTTGCTACTTTTTTAAATATTTTTCATCTTCTCTAATGTACTTTTATATATTTATTCCATTGTTAATTTGCAGCTTGTTTGGTACTCGACTTACCAGGTAGGCTGTGGAATTGCCTACTGTCCCAATCAAGATAGTCTAAAATACTACTATGTTTGCCAATATTGTCCTGCGTAAGTAGACTGTTTAGAGTTTAATGGCAATAATTCTATCTGCAATTTATTTTTTAATAATTCTCATATCTTAAACCAGAATGAAAACATATCTCAATAAAAGGGAGGGGATAAACGTTTGGAAATGTTTTTTAAGGTTGAGACACTTTCAACTTCTCAGAGGAGAACAACTTCTCACTTTCAGGTATAAAAACTGAAGCTCTCATTCCTCATTAACAGAATAATGTCTTTTCTTTCAATTGGCCTTCCCTCAGCTTAGGGTTACTCTGTGAGCATGTGTAATATGTATTTCTCTAGAATTGGTATCATCACATCTTGCTAATTTCATACTCTAGGAGTATAGATGCTTTAGGGTGCTGGTGAGATTGCAAATGGAAGATGGATTGTGATTTTGGCCCTTTCTGCTCAAATATTCCTACTTCTGCTTATGTAAAACACACACACACACACACCACCACACACAATTACCATTACAAATTATTCATTCATTTGGATTTCAATGGCTTTTCAGGACATCTTTATTTCAGAATACAGAAAAGATAACATCTTAAGTCTCTGATTCTCAGAATTGTTCACAGAAAGCTCTTTAACCATCTTGTAAGGTTTGATTTGTAGCAGTAAACATGCTTCTTCATTAAACAATATGTTTAGAGTTATCCACAATAAATCCTATGGATATTTTAAGAAGATATTCACAATATCAAATTTAGTGTTTGAAATTCTTTACTACTGGAGGCTGCGGTGGGGGGCACAGCTACAGGATTTGTTTCGAGACTGTAGATAGCGAAGATGATGTACGATTCCAGTTTGAGAAGTATAACCTCCAAAGTCATTTTCTTTAAAGTACCTATTAGGATTCAAGTAGAGAGAATTGAAAGGCCCTGGGAGAATGTATCCAAACTCACTTACTGGCCCTCAGAGGGAAGCATCAGCAGCCAGGTGTCAGAAGTGACAGTTGGAATAGATCATGAGGGAAGCCAAGGGAACTAGAACTTTTAAAATCCTTTTATATCTGTTTCACAATTTTCCAAGAGCTCATACACACACAGCTATATTCTAGGCAAAGAGACTGAGATTCAGCTGCACTTCCTTGGGTCCTTACCCCACTTGGTCTATTGAGATTTGGACTCCCACATAATTTTAAATGAATTTAATGGCCAATAGAATAATGATCATCATTATCCTATGGTTAATCATTGCAAAACTATTATATCCTGGATATCAGTATTTATCAAAACTTTTCTTTAATCTTTTTTTCTTTTTTTTTTTTTTACTTTAAGTTCTGGGATAACAAAAACTAATATTCCATTTTGGTAAATGTAAAAATCTCATACATGCCACCTCTAGAAGCTCACAAACCTTCCTAAGCACACTCCTACAAACACACACACCACTAACTACTGAAAAATCGCAACCTCCATCTGGAAGAAAAAAATACTCTGGAGCTATATTTTTCATAGTTTCTGTTAGAGATACTATGGAGTTTTTTCCATTTTTCAAATGGAAAATGATATTTTAACATTGCATATTCATTTCCTGCCACAACCTGCTACTCCTAGGATCTTCTCCTTTCCCTCTACAGGATGTTTTACCCCTAATTGGCACCTTGGGGTACACTGCCTTAGTAATTTGACTAAATATAATGGGAGATAAAGATAGTGTTGCCACACTGAATATACTCTCAAAATTTCAGACTCTTGTCATCAAATTTAGTTACCCAGCCTGTGAAATTATGGTCAAGAAGATATGTCCATGTGTGAAGCATTTTCTTAATTTGGATTGTTATCTGAAATACACATTGGGAATTGTAATTTTTCAGTTTTGTTAACATACTAAAAACCCTGAATAACTATTTATGTATATTTGATGACTGATACTGCCCTTAGAGTATAAACAGTAAAGTGAAAAATATTTGACATGTATTTCAAATTTCAGTGGTAATAATATGAATAGAAAGAATACCCCGTACCAACAAGGAACACCTTGTGCCGGTTGCCCTGATGACTGTGACAAAGGACTATGCAGTAAGTTTGAAGTGATTAGCTTGCTATTATTTATTATAGAATTGATATTATCTTTTCTTTATATAATTTAACAAATCTCCTAACGTAATGAATTGAAATAATGTATTGGTGAAAAAACCCAAAATTATTCAACAAAGTATGCTTAAACAAACATTTTACACACTGCAGGAGCTACATATTATTTGTAATGAAAAGCATATTGCCGTATGTAACATAATGGAATATTTATCATCAATGTGTTTTTGTGGCTCTTCAGAGCCATTTAATATTAACCATATACCATTTTGGTAAATAGTTCAATTCTCAAAGTTCATATCACTATACCAAAAGTGGTATTTTAAAGGAATCAAAATGTATAAATCTAAAGTGTGAGACCACATTATGGCTCAGTCTAGACAGGCACGCCAAATATTACTGTTTATTTGTGCTAATGTGTTTGTCATGCTGATTTCCTCACTTCTTTTTTATAGTATAATTAGGATCATAGTGTTTGCCTTAATAAATGATTACTTGCCCTATAATTTCATAATTGTTTTGTGTACATTTTTATGACAAAACTCAATCTATATACAATATTGGCTCATAGAAACTGTGCACATATTTTTGCAAAAGGAGAAAATGAAATAAATACCATATATCTCATTTAATAAATTGCCATGAATAGAAGTAAAAATAGCTGCTGGCTTTCTGTAGTTGGGATACTTTTATTAAAATTATTATGAATGATAAAGTTGACACCATCACTGAAATTTTTACCTCTTCAATGCATTCACCTTTACTAAGCATTTTTTCTGACTCAGTTATATAGCTATATTTCAGAATATTAATGATACCAAAGCTATAAATCAGGCAGAGGTGGGCGGATCACAAGGTCAGGAGTTCGAGACCAACCTGGCCAATACGGTGAAACTGCATCTCTACTAAAAATACAAAAATGAGCCAGGTGTGGTGGTGGATGCCTGTAGTCCCAGCTACTCAGGAGGCTGAGGCAGGAGAATCGCTTGAACCCAGGAGGCGGAGATTGCAGTGAGCCGAGTTCGGCCACTGCACTCCAGCCAGGGCAACAGAGCGAGACTGTCTCAAAAAAAAAAAAAAGAAAAAAATAGTTGAATACTTATACATTTTGCTGAATGCTATTTGCTAACAAGTCTGGAATTCATCTGTCATGGTATCAGCTGGTATCAGCTGCTGTGTCCATGGGATTGCCTGCATCACCCCTCTCATAAACCCTAGGTAACACAGAGGGGAGAGAGACACTGTCCACTTGGGGGAAAGAGAAGGAAGTGTGTGGGGTACTCTGCCTTGGATTTAGTACTGAGCCTGCCACAACAAAACACACACCAGTAAGAAACCCACAGCTCCTAAATCCAGATTGGTATGCAGATTGGTATCCAGATTGGTGGGCCTCTAGACCCACCATAGCACCAAAAAGGAATCCACTGCCCCAGTGGGACAGACTCAAGTCCCAGTACTACTGGTCAACTAAAATGGCCTCAGACCCCAAATGAATTGTAGTAGCTGGAAAGTCATAACAGCTGCTGGCCTTGGGCAAGCCCTGGTTCTGTCCTGGTCTGAGAGTCCATGGGCTTCAGATGCATCAAGGCACAGTGCCAGCTGTGGCATCCAGGGAATTGTCCATGTCACCCTTCTCGTAACCAAGTTTGCAGCAAACCTGGGTTTAGAACATCATCTAATAATGAAATAACTGCCATCTTAGGAGACTTATTCGCTCCTTTAAATTCTTGGAAGGCCTTCTGAAGAAAAACAGGTACAAACAAGCCCAGACTGCAAAGACTAGGATAATTAATTCTTTAGTGCCTAGATATTGAGATAGTAATCCACAAGTTTCAAGAACATTCAGGAAAATATGACCTCATCAAGAGAACTAAGTAAAGTACCAGTGACCAGCCCTCGAAAGATGGAAATGTGTAATCTTTAGGGTACAGAATTCAAAATAGCTGTTTGGAGGAAGCCCAACAAACTTCAATAAAACACAGAGAAACAATTTAGAAATTTATCAGAGAAATTTGAAGAAGAGATTGACATTTAGAAAAACAGAAATCCTGAAGCTGAAAAATACGATAAATAAACTGAAAAAAACATTAGATGGTCTCAACAGCAGAATTCATTAAACAGAAGAATCAGTGAGCTTGAAGACAGGCTATATGAAAAAGAGAAGGAAAAAGAATGAACTTTCTTCATTTCCCTTAGATTGTGGGTGGTGCAGGGAGATCACTGCTGAGAATTGTCAGCCTTTTAGCTAATACAAGGAGTTTAATTTGAGTTTTATTGAGTTTGAGGTCCCTAGGGAACATCCAAGTAGAAACATCAAAAGGAAAAGGGCGTATTGTCCTTGTTTTACACTTTTATCCACCCATAAAGATTATTTACTCAAAAAAAGCATTGGAGTGTAATGCCATGCTGCCCAATATTATGATATGATGGAAAGAGTCTCTATCAACATGTGCTACTAATCACACTTTGAACACTTGAAATGTGGCTAACAAGATTAAGAAACCAAAATTTTAATTTTAATTTAAATACCTCTGTGTGGCTAATGGCTCCCATATTTGGCTGTGCAGGCATAGAAAGATTTAATTACATTCATATTATTCTGCTTGCTGAGGGGGAAAAATAGGTCAATTTATTTTAGAAACATATCACTAAATGTGGAATTTAAAGAGTGATGGATTTATCAGTGAGCTCAACTAAGACACCTCATATGTCCCTGGATCCAGATAGACTGGATTAAGAAAATGTGGCACATATACACCATGGAATACTATGCAGCCATAAAGACATGAAAGACCCATTGTAGTGTAAGCGATGCTAACTTGTTTGTTCCCTCCTACCCCCTCCCCACACACTTTGAATGTATGGTTTTGCTCTTACTGAGGAAAACGATAATGAGTTAACTAATCTGTTTTTGTTACAGCCAATAGTTGCCAGTATCAAGATCTCCTAAGTAACTGTGATTCCTTGAAGAATACAGCTGGCTGTGAACATGAGTTACTCAAGGAAAAGTGCAAGGCTACTTGCCTATGTGAGAACAAAATTTACTGATTTACCTAGTGAGCATTGTGCAAGACTGCATGGATAAGGGCTGCATCATTTAATTGCGACATACCAGTGGAAATTGTATGTATGTTAGTGACAAATTTGATTTCAAAGAGCAATGCATCTTCTCCCCCAGATCATCACAGAAATCACTTTCAGGCAATGATTTACAAAAGTAGCATAGTAGATGATGACAACTGTGAACTCTGACATAAATTTAGTGCTTTATAACGAACTGAATCAGGTTGAGGATTTTGAAAACTGTATAACCATAGGATTTAGGTCACTAGGACTTTGGATCAAAATGGTGCATTACGTATTTCCTGAAACATGCTAAAGAAGAAGACTGTAACATCATTGCCATTCCTACTACCTGAGTTTTTACTTGCATAAACAATAAATTCAAAGCTTTACATCTGCCGTTGTCTTAATGACCTTTCTTTTAAACAAAAGTAATCAGCTTTTCGAACAAAGAACTTTTCTAAGCAACCATATGATATGATTCTTATGCAATATTTATACCATTCATAATTAACTCCAGCTAGATTCATCTGAGATAAATGATAAAACAGCAACATTTTCAAAATAGTTGTCTATAAAGTTAAATTTTAACAAAAAATTAATCAGTTCTACTCTTACTTGCTTTCTCCTTTTTGATATTTTGATCTCCCTACTGGTTTAGTTGATTTTTTTAAAGCCAACGAAAAGAGGACATAATTTAACCAAATATACAAATACAGCCTTCCAAGAAAACAAACAAGTGGAATAATCAATATTAGGTTGGTAACGACAGGGTAAAGTAAGCCCATCTTATAGATGAGAAAACATATACTAAAACTTTTTTTAAAAGTGGAAAGGTTATTGAAAACCAGAAAGTAGATCTGGCTAGACAGATGGTGAAATAGCATGAGCTACTAATGCCTACAGAATTAAACAGATTATCTGAATCATCCTATAACCATTAAGGAAATTGAATTAATAATCTTAAAGCTTCCAAAAAGGAAATTTCTAGGCCCCCAAATGGTTTCACCACATAATTCTGTCAAATACTTAAAAGAATAATTAATAGCAATTTTACAGTTTCTTCCAGAAAATTACATGGGAGAAAATACTTCTTAATTCAGTCTTTAAGATAGTATTATCTTAGTACTAAAACTAAAGACATTTCAACGGAAAAAATATATAGAGAGAGATCTATCGCTATCATGAGCATAGATGAAAAAATTTTAAACAAACATTTAGTAAATGTATCAGCAATATAGTAAAAGGAAAACATACCCTGACACAGACTTGAAACAAATTACAAGAATAAATCAAAATTAAACTGTGTCTAGAAGATAAATTGCCTATTATAGAATATATTCATTGTATATATAGCTCCCCAAGAATTTCTTTGGAAATTGATTTTTTGACAAGATGAGCGTTTCTTCATCCTAATCTTAATAATTCAAGTGTCTTACAAACTATGTTTTAAAATATTTAAGCCTATTTTAGGAGAGAAAAGGAATATTTATATTTGTAACTGCAAGAGCACTGAGGTAGTGTGACAATGTGAGAGAGAAGCAAACAGAATATTCCACTTGAGTGGTTCTCATATGAAGCACTCCGTTATTGGGGTGGCATTTGAAAGGTTTTAAATACAGAGTTTTCTTTAAAATTTTAAGATTAGAGTTAGCTTTGTGGGTGGAAGATCTGATCTGGTCCTTAACAGAAGTGACTAAAAAATAACCTTTATAAATACTTTCAGGTAGTAGGAAAATCTTTGCTATTCTCATAGCATTCTTAAAATTTATCTAACTCTAGTGACTGGTTAAAAAAAAAAACCCTCTATACCAGAATCTTTAAAATTTAATTGCTAATTAAGAGTTACACTCAAAACACTTTTTCTCCCACTAAACTGAACAGTTGTTTTAGTGTAATGTATGTTTTGTCTTATATAATTGAATTTGTATCACTAAGCTTACCTTCATTCTACAATAATAATAGTAAATTCTTAGATACTGTATAGTTATTTAATTTTTCAAAATGTTAATGACGATTTTGATATATACCTTTTTAACCAACGAAAATGTCCAAATCTAAAGTAAAATGTCTTCAGAAATACTCCAAATACCCACAAACATTTGATTTTATAGATTTTGCTGAATCTTTTCCAAAATGAACATTTTCAGTGAACATTATGATATCATTGCTAACTCAAGTTCCTCCTTCATTTGGTCATGTATTAACTATTAATCTGTGTTTCCTTCTACATTCATGCTCCCATAATTCATTGATTTCTGTCATTTGATTGTGCCTCAGCCTATTTCTTTTCATACTTCCTTGCTTTTGTTTATCTTAGTTTTTCTTACTTAATCTGGTCAGAATCGTATTTAATTTTAATTTCAGTCAAATGTTTCATATGAAATTACTCCTTCCTCTTGGATCACACAGGATTTGTTTGGGTTTCTTTCATGAAAACGTGCTTTCTCTATTAAATATTAAGTTACCCCAGGAGAAACCTGTGACTATTTATTCCTATGGCTTGCAGTGCATGCACACTGTGGTGTACATATGGTAGGCTATCATTCAGTATTTACCACATGAATGGAGATGTCTTTATCATCAATTCTGTTCTCAATCAGGTATTGACTAAATAGGAGACAAGATACCTAAGGGTACAGAATATTAAAAACTTTTTTGATAAGCAAACAATATGAATTTTACATTAGGAAAATCCATAACTATGTTCCAAATGCAAGTTCTCTTTAAATTGCTGACTGATATTTATTAATTCCAATAAAGCAGATATAGAAATTTTAAAGATAGAAGATGCTCTTATAAACAGCTGAGAATTTTTTTTAATATACTCATTTTTGTCTTCTGCTTTGAAAACCCTCCCACTGTCCTCTAACTTGGTTTCTCTCTGGAAAGAAAGAGTGATGTGGAAGAGGGTGAATTTATCACCTTTTTGTTAAGAATAGTGAGGAGAGGGGGATTCTGATTAGAACTTAGATTAACCCATACTATCTAAGAATGTGATAAGTTCCTCCATTTACTCAGAGTATACTTTATGTTCTTAGAAAACATTAGAAAATATTTAATGTACATTTTGTTTCTTTTTAATAAAACTTATTCCTAAAAATGTAAAAGTTATGGAGTAAATTTTTAATGATTAAAGCGTTATTGTTATTATTTTTAAAAAAGAAATTTTTATACCTATTTTATATCCAGTCATCTCATTAAACTAATTAGTTTTAGTAATATTTTGAGTTGTTTAGGTAGTAAGTTATTTAAAATACTGCTTGGCACATAATGAGTGATTAATAAACAATGTTATTATCATCCAGGACTCTGCTATATTCCAGTAAAATAGATTAATAACTCAGTGCCATTTTATAGCATTAAAATACATATAAGCAAGAAAATAATAAAAACATAAGTAATTATAGCCCAATATGATAAATACCATACTAGAGGTATATATTAATTTGGTGTTGATTGGGATGTTTTGATGTCTGTAATATAATTTTAAATATGCTAGTATAAAAGGGTCTGTCTAAATATGTGTGGTGGTTTTAAATTATGCTTTAGGAATGGTCATTTTCTTTCATCAGAAATTCATAATCCAGGCTGGGCACAGTGGCTCACAGCTGTAATCCCAGCACTTTGGGAGTCCAGGGAGGGCAGATCACCTGAGGTCAGGATCAGGTCAGCCTGATCAACATGGTGAATCTTCATCTCTACCAAAACTACAAAAATTTGCCGGACGTCATGGCAGGTGCCTATAATCCCAGCTACTTGGGAGGAGGCTGAGGCAGGAGAATCGCTTGAACCCGGGAGGTGGAGGTAGCAGTGAGCTGAGACGGCGCCATTGCACTCCAGCCTGGGCAACGAGAATAAAACTCAGTCCCCCCCAAAAAAATAAAAGAAAAGAAAAGAGAAAATCATAATCTAGGGTGTACAGCTAGTGTTTACTCAGAGCAAACTATAAAGATAATGTAACTGCTACAAATAATTCAACTAATAATACCTTAATCAATATGAGACTTTTTAAATGAAAGTAATGAGATTCAAAAATGCATTTTTGTGGAAATAAGGTAATGTAAAGCAGTCATTTTGGAAAGAGGCTCTCAGCATAGACATTAATGGTATTCAAAATTTTCTACAAAATTTAGAGGCAATCCCCACTCAACAGGTAACATTAACAGAGTAAGATCTGTTTTCGGAATATTTTCTCATCACAATATAATGGCTTTTTGGCCTGTACCTTAAAGCCCAATTAGTTACCAGCTAGGTTGCTAGTAAATGCCCAGTGACTCATTTGTGGCAGATAATATTTTAATGTATTTTCCTAATTGAAAAAAAAAGCATTTTTATTTTGTATTTTATTTGTATTTATATTCTGTATATTTCCCAGTTGACTAGCCTTAAAAAATAAAAAAGAAACATCCTTATCTTAAAGTCTTCTAGTATTAACAGAAGAAGCACCACATAACACAAAAACAAACACGCTTTTCTAAATACAAGGAAAACTGAATCCTGTTCAAGCTTTTCTCCAACTGTAAATATGCATGTCACTTAATTTTTCAGAACCATAGTTTTGTTAATTTGTTTTAAAGATGTAAAACTAAGAGTGAACAGTAAGACTTTGCTTGTCTTAGGACTCATCCATTGCAGGTTGACCTCCCAGAGATGGGACTGACTTCCTTCAAAGCTCCATGGCAACAAGCTATGGCCCAGTGATTGAGACAGTTTCTCAAAACTTGAACATCAGTCCCTCGGCATATCAAAGGAAGGGCTGGTATTTCCCCAGTTGTGAACACAGGTGTGCCTAATACTGTTGTTTATTTGTTACGCCATGTGACTTTAACCATCCGGCTTAGATCCCAGGCCTCTGCTGCATCAGGGGAGGGGTAACTGTCCCCCAAGCCTGCCCCAATCCAGAAAGCAGAGGTACCACAGTGGAACTGAAGCAAGGTTCATTTCACTTCTGATCCTCGCCCCTGAGTACATGAGAGGAGAAACCCACGTTGTGTGATCGTGAAACTTAAAGGCTCCAGGGCTCAAGGATGGAAATCTCTAACAGTCTCATGTCTGAACCTACTGTATCTCTTCACACTGACCCAAATGGTGATGAACAACAGATTAACCCTCTGACCCCTCCTCTATGAATTTTCCCCAGTAATCCCAACTCCAGCAGTTTTGGCATGGGTACTGTGTGGTCATTTGCCCTTGTTCGCATGACAAGAGTTTTGTGCGAGAACACTGAATTTCAAGATTCTAGGAATGAAAAGTTTCTGCATAGAAAATTTAGAAGCTCAATGTGATGCTTCCAGTGATGTCAAAGGACAGGAAGAGTTAGATAATATTACTCCTGGCAGAAAGTGATGTAAGAAAAAGAAATTTTTAGTAGCTTGAGAATGATTCATGCTTTATCAACGTTTATACTACATATGCTAGTTCATATTTATTTATTGAATATGCTAATACATTAATAAAACATTTCACTTAATATTTTATACATTGTATATTTGTTAAGTATAAGATTAAAATTAAAGTTTTAGGCTTATAGACAGTACTGATAATTGTATTTAAAAATTAAAGGCTTTTTTAGGCACATGTGCACAATGTGCAGGTTTGTTACATATGTATACATGTGACATGTTGGTGTGCTGCACCCATTACCTCATCATTTAGCATTAGGTATATCTCCTAACACTCTCCCTCCCCTCTCCCCCCATCCCACAACCATCCCTGGTGTGTGATGTTCCCCTCCTGTATCCATGTGTTCTCATTGTTCAATTCCCACCTATGAGTGAGAACATACGGTGTTTGGTTTTTTGTCCTTGAGATAGTTTGCTGAGAATGATGGTTTCCAGCTTCATCCATGTCCCTACAAAGGACATGAACTCATCATTTTTTATGGCTGCATAGTATTCCATGGTGTATATGTGCCACATTTTCTTAATCCAGTCTATCATTGTTGGACATTTGGATTGGTTCCAAGACTTTGCTATTGTGAATAATGCCGCAATAAGCATATGTGTGCATGTGTCTTTATAGTAGCATGATTTATAATCCTTTGGGTATATACCCAGTAATGGGATGGCTGGGTCAAATGGTATTTCTAGTTCTAGATCCCTGAGGAATCGCCACACCAACTTCTACAATGGTCGAACTAGTTTACAGTCCCACCAACAGTGTAAAAGTGTTCCTATTTCTCCACATCCACTCCAGCACCTGTTGTTTCCTGACTTTTTAATGATCGCCTTTCTAACTTGTGTGAGATGGTATCTCATTGTGGGTTTTTTATTGGTATTTTCATTTTGAAACCAGAGAGGGAAATTTGGCAATATCTAACAAAGTTGCATGTGCATTTATCCTTTACTCTACCAGTCCTTTAGAAATGATCATTAATTCGCTTCTAGCAATTTCATATTGTTGTTCCAAGAATATGAAAATACATATGTGCAAGATTATTTATTAAAATGTTATTTGTATTGGAAATAATCTATACATACACAAAAGGCAGGTTAAATAAACTACAATGCATCCACACAATTGATTATTATGCAGCTTTTAAAATGAATAATAAGGATATTTATGAGCTGATATGGACGTATCTTCAGTATATATTGCTAATTGAAAGACAGCGAAGAGCAAAACATTTTTATAGTATTCTACTTTTTGTATTAAAAAATGATAAATACAAAAAATATATGGCTTCACATTTTTGCAAAATGTTGATGCAACATAGAGTATACTAGAAAGTATTGACACTAGTATACCATGGGTGGCTGAGAATGGGGTGGGCTGGTTGGAGGATGACAATGGTGTAAGAAAAAATGGTTGGGAGGAGTGATATTTCTCTGGGTATTCCTCTTTGTATAGTTTCAGCTTGTGAATTATATTAATGTCTTACATACTCATTAAAATAAAGTATAATTAATATAATTAAGAAGTGGGGGAAAGCCCAAAAACAGGATAGAAACAAAAAACAAACTATATTTCAAATAAATAATCACAATAAAAAGTGGGGGAAAAAACAGCCGACCTAATGAGTATTATAATGCCATATTCCTTCTAGGTAAAGATAAAAACTGCAAACAAATGTTTGACTCCAGTCAATAAAGTTGTGTTTATTTTTACCATAGACACATGAGTTAGTAGTTCTGAAACTGACTATATATGTTACGACTGAACAAATGAATAAATACATTATGAATAATGAGAACCAGGTTTCTCACTATTAGAGAAGGGATTTAAACATATGAGAAAGGAGAATGTAGGAATAAACCCTGTGGTGTTCTATTGAAATTGGTGGTATCGGTATGAATTTATGGTTTTTAACATACAAAGATAAACAGAGCTGTCAGGGAAATACCAGTGAACAAAGTGAGTCCCTGCCTTCATCAGTTGATAATTTTAGAAGTAGGAAATAAGGACATAGACATCTCCAGTCACTGCAGAGACAACCTTTCCTTAGGATCATAAAAATGATTCATAAAATGATACAGTGTAACACCAAAGGGCGGAAATGCTGTCTTACGACTTTCTAAAGGAACACAGTGTGACTTTAAGTTAGAGGAAATTTCAGAAAACACCATTTCATGCTGCTCATATGAAGTGTCCATCTTTATCACTGCAGCATTGGTGGCCAGTGGCAAAGGCAGTGGGGGCTGATGAGGCAATGGCAGCCATGGGAGGCATCCGGGGAGCCCAAAACAGAAACTCATTTGTGAGACCTGGAACTATTGGCAGTGTGCTCACAGAGTTCCCAGGCATCAGAGTCCTTAGCATCCCAGAGCTGTGAAAGAGGCTGGAGTAGAGAGTAACAAAAGGGGATATGCTACAGAGGAGATGAAAGTTCTGTTAGTATGCATGCAAAAAGTCTCTATGAGCCAAAGGATACCCAGTACTAATTGACTGAAAGTTTAGACTTTCTGTCCCTTTCAATAGTAGGTAGAGGGGAAAACTATATAAGTGTGTGTATGTATGTGGCACACAAATCCAAACACATCCACATATAAAAACAATGAGAATGATCTTAAACCCCATGGTATTGAGAAATATGATTGTATAAGATACCCCTAATTTACATGTTAAAATTTTAATGCCATTGGATATTGATTTATTTCAAATTAAGTAGATTTCTTTTTTAAGTTAAGTATGTAAGATATTCAAGAGTAAGAGGTACTAATGATACTCAATACATTTTAATTTTCTTCTCTGCTTCCCCTTAGCACTGCAGAAGTTAATTAGAAAACATACTGTATCCCAGGGGCCATGCTGAATTCCTTATATAGTCGGTCCTCCATATCTGTGAGTTCTACGTCCATGGATTCAACTAACCACTGATCATCAAAAATAGTAGGAAAAAAGTACTATACAGATGGTTGCATATGTATTGAACATGCACAGACTTTTTCTTGTCATTATTCCCTAAAAAATACAATATAACAATTGTTTGTATAGGATTTAAATTGTATCTGGTATTATAAGCAATCTAGAGATGTTTTAAAGTATGTGGGAGGGTGTGTGTAGGTCATAACAAATGCTACACCATTTTATATAAAGGACTTGAGCTTCAGTGGATTTTCGTATCTTCAAAGGGTCTTAGAATAAATCCCCCATTGCTACTGAGGGACGATTATATTCATTTTTGCACTTTATCCTCCCAATATTCCTTTCTCTTTATTTTACGGATGAGGAAACAAGGATAGGAAGATTAAGTACTTTGCCCAGATACAATCAGCCAAGGAACATCAAAGCATGTACTCAGTACAGATATAGTAGGACTCAAAGTCTTATACTTTTAAGCACTACCACAATTCTGCTTCCTGATGAAAACTAAAATTAGCTCATAGCTTGAATGAAAAATATATTCAAACTGGACATTTAATTTGAAAATAAATATTTCCTTTATATAAAGCTCTTAGGTAGATTACTTGTTCTGTATTCATGAAAATGTGTTCACTTTTGACAATGTGACATTTAAAACCTTTAGTTCAATGGTAGTCAGGCTTAGAATATGTCTTTATAAATTACATAGTGACTTAGTCCTATCAACTTCTATATATATATATATATATATATATATATTTTTTTTTTTTTTTTTTTTTTTTTTTTTTTTGAAATGGAGTCTCACTCTGCTGCCCAGGCTGGAGTGCAGTGGCATGATCTCGGCTCACTGCAACCTCCATCCCGCCAGTTCAAGTGATTCTCCTGCCTCAGCCTCCCAAGTAGTTGGGATTACAGGCGCCTGCCACCGTGCCCGGCTAATTTTTGTATTTTTAGTAGAGGCGAGGTTTCACCATCTTGGTCTTGAACTGCTGACCTCGTGATCTGCCTGCCTCAGCCTCCCAAAGTGCTGGGATTACAGGCATGAGCCACTGCGCCCGGCTGTTTCTATTATATTAAAAACCCATAATTATAAAAATGGTGACAAGAAATGGATTAAACCTTGAAGGGTCCTGGTTGGGTGAACATGAAGGAGCCCTTTAGAGTGCTATTTACATAGGTATACACATGTTTAGAAATTAAATGAGCTATGCAATTAAGATTTTGTGTGCTGTATTGTATACACTGCATGTCTCTATTTATTTATTTATTTATTTATTTATTTATTTATTTATTTTGAGATGGAGTTTCACTCATGTCGCCCAGGCTGGAGTGCAATGGCGTGATCTCAGCTCTCTACAACCTCTGCCTTCCGGGTTCAAGCAATTCTCCTGCCTTAGCCTCCAGATTAGCTGGGATTACAGGCACATGCCACCATGCCCAGCTAATTTTTGTTTTTTAATAGAGATGGGGTTTCGCCATGTTGGCCAGGCTGGTTCTGAACTCTTGACCTCAGGTGATCCCCCCTTTTCGGCCTCACAAAGTGCTGAGATTACAGGTGTGAGCCACTGTGCCTGGTAACCTCAACTTGAAACAGGAAGAAAAGAAGGGAGGAAGGGAGGAAGGGATGGAGGGAAGGAGGGAAAGGAGGAAGAGAAGGAGAGAGGGCAGGAATGAGGGAAGGGAGGGAGGAAGGAAGGAAAAAGAAGGAAGAAAAAAGAAAGAAAAAGAAAGAGAAAAAGAAAGAGAAAAAAGAAAAAGAAAGAGAAAGAGACAGAAAGAGAGAGAAGAAAGAAAGAAAAGAAAGAAAGAAGAAAGAAAGAAAGAAAGAAAGAAAGAAAGAAAGAAAGAAAGAAAGAAAGAAAGAAAAAGAAAGAAAGAAAAAGAAAGAAAGAGAAAGATGGAGGGAAGGAGGGAGGTGGGAAGGAAGGAGAAGGAGGAAGAGGAGGAACAGGAGGAATAGGAGGAGGAGGAGGGAGGGAGGGAGGGATGGGGAAGAAGGAAGGAAGAAAGGGAAAGAGAGAAAGAAAATAAATAGATAACTAGAGTATGTTATATGGTTGCTAGAACTAAATCAGGTGTTCAGTTTGGACATGTTGAAAGTGTAGGCATAGAGAAGACAGTTGAATATATAAGGAGGGATTTAGTCTAAAATGGAGATAAAGATTTGAAAATCATCTTTGTATAGACGGCACCTAAAGCCACAATACCACCTGAGATTCCTGGGAAGTAAGTGAAACAATATGCTAAATCCCAGAATTTAAAAAAGTTTGTGAAAATAAGAGCAAAGGTCCACCAAAAGTGTCAAAAACAAGAAGATGAGGAAAGGATGAAATAGTATAGTATAGATGCCAGAGAGACAGATGATTATTTAACTTTTATTTTTTATTACTTTATTTCACGGAGATGGATCTTTAAACTCTACAGCCTGGCACAATTATCTGAAGGAGAAAAAGAATGATCTAACCTGTGAGGACATAGTAAATAATTATTTAAATGCTTGGGGGATATTAAAAAACATTTCAAGGTGATCATGAGATCACTGTCAGTTAACAAGGAATAATGACAAGGAGGAAAGCAACATATTGATTAACATATGACAAATGGAAAGGGCAAAAAAAAATCTTGAAGCTGGGCATGGTGGTGTGCACTTGGAATCCAAGCTACTTAGGAGGCTGAGATAGGAGGATTGCTTGAACTCAGTAGTTTGAGGCCAGCCTGGGAAAAAAATAAAAGAAAACTTTGGCATTAATCTATGAGAAATTCCTCCAATTTAAAGTGATTTCATCATTTTTAAACCATGATATTATATGTAAAACAGTAAAATATAATTTTTAAATTTGCTACACTAAATTTGTTTCTTTTTGATAGTTTATAAATATAAATCAAAATTGATTCTGTTTTATAAATCTATATGTTATTGCCCACATTTAATCTAAAGTTTCAGCAGAATTCATTAAGTACTTTGTTCAAATGTGGGTCTATATACTAATATTATTATGGATATCTTAATCTAGTTGAAAAAATGCTTAATCTAGTTGAAAAATTACTACAGGGCTTAGTAACCAAAACAGCATGATACTGGT
The DNA here is from genome assembly GCF_000001405.40 of Homo sapiens. Taxonomy (NCBI): domain Eukaryota; kingdom Metazoa; phylum Chordata; class Mammalia; order Primates; family Hominidae; genus Homo; species Homo sapiens. The sequence goes on along the minus strand of NC_000006.12, from coordinate 49,681,370 downwards.
AAGTACAAAAACAGATAAACAGACCAGTGGAACAGAATAGAGAACCCAGAATTAAGACAGCACACCTACAACTATCTGATCTCTGAGAAATCTGACAAAAACAAGCAATGGGGAAAGGACTCCCTATTCAATAAATGGTGCTGGGGTAACTGACTAACCACATGTAGAAGATTAAAACTGGACCCCTTCATTAGACCATATATAAAAATTAACTCAAGATGGATTAAACACTTAAATGTAAAACCCAAAACTATAAAAACTCTGGAAGACAACTTAGGAAATACCATTTAGGGCATAGGCATGGGCAAAGATTTCATAATGAAGATGCCAAAAGCAATTGCAACAAAAACATAAATTAACAAATGGGATCTGATTAAACTAAAGAGTTTCTGTACAGCATAAGAAATTATCAACAATTAAACAGACAACCTACATAATGGGTGACAATTTTTGCAAACTATGCATCTGACAAAGGTCTAATATCTAGCATCTACAGGAAACTTAAATTTACAAGAAAAAATAAAACCTCATTAAAAAGTGGGAAAAGGATATGAACAGACACTTTTCAAAAGAAGACATTCATGCAACCAACAATCATACCAAAAAAGTTCAACATCACGGATCATTAGAGAAATGCAAATCAAAACCACAATGAGAGACCGTCTCACACCAGTCAGAATAGCTGTTATTAAAAAGTCAAAAAATAACAGATGTTGGCAAGGTTGTGGAGAAAAGGAATGCTTATACACTGTTGGTGAGAGTGTAAATTAGTTCAGCCATTGTAGATGACAGTGTGGCAATTCCTCAAAGACCTAAAGTCATAAATACCATTCAACTCAGCAATCCCATTACTGGGTATATACCCAAAGGAATATGAGTTGTTCTATCATAAAGACACGTGCACATATATGTTAATTGCAGCACTATTCACAATAGCAAAGACATGGAATCAACCTAAATGCCCATCAATGATAGACTGGAAAAAAGAAAATGTGGTACATATACACCATAGAATATTATGCAGCCATAAAAAAGAATGAGATCATGTCCTATGCAGGAACATGGATAGAGCTGGAGGCCATTATCATTAGGAAACTAACACAGAAACAGAAAACCAAACACCACATATTCTCACTTATAAGTGGGAGCTAAATGATGAGAACTCATGGACACATACAGGGGAACAACACACACTGGAACTTATCAGAGGGTGGAGGATGCAGGAGGGAGAGGATCAGGAAAAATAACTGATGGATACTAGGCCTAATACCTGGGTGATGAAATAATCTGTACAACAAACTGCTATGATACAACTTTACCTATGTAACAAACCTGCACATATACCCTTAATTTAAAATAAAAGTCGGCTGGGTGCAGTGGCTCACACCTGTAATCCCAGCACTTTGGAAGGCCACAGCTGGTGGATCACCTGAGGTCAGGAGTTCGAGACCAACCTGACCAACATCGTGAAAACCTGTCTCTACTAAAAATACAAAAATGAGCTGGGCATGGTGGCACATGCCTGTAATTCCAGCTACTTGGGAGGCTGAGGCACAAGAATCCCTTGAACCCAGCAGGCAGAGGTTGCAGTGAGCCAAGATCGTGCCACTGCATTCCAGTCTAGGTGATAGAGTAATACTCCGTCTCAAAAATAAATAAATAAATAAATGTCAAAAAAAAACAACAACACTGAATCAGAAACTGGGGTAAGATTCAGCAATGTGTGTTCTAACTATGAAAATTTGTGATTGACTGACCTAAGGCATGGAATATGGAAGGCAGACACCAAATTTGACAGACTCCAGTGCAGTCATTAGGGGAGAATATTCCACCCAGGACAGGACTCTTCCATTAACCTTATTGTGAGCTGAATAAAATTCCTCTCAAAACCATTTCCCTTTGCTCTCATTTTAAGTTCAAAAAACAACATTTTTATCACATTGCTTAGCTTTCTAAATAACTTGTCATGATAAAAAGAGGAGTCCTTAAAGGTGAACAGAATCATCCTAATCTTGAACAGGTGGCTAATACTGTACCTTAACTGACAGACTCAAGGGTGGCAAACATCAAAAGCTAGAATGCAGTAGTAACTAAGATGGAATTTAGGTTAAAAATCAATTGTAAAAGAACAAGTTGAGCAATACTTGGTGCATAAGTATCTCATATGACAAAGACTTAGAGCTTTTTTAAGTGCAAAAATGACTTATGACAACAGTATGATAAGACTACCAATGTGTTCATGCAAATCTAAATTGCCTTTATAGGAAAATGTTCACTCAATAAAAGTCTCATTCTAAAGTGCATTGTGCAGAACATAAGCAGAACATTATATTTTATTCTGATATTAAATGTTAACAGAATACTTGAACTGGTGTCTGAAGTATAGTGATAGGGAGGCAAAGTGTATTAAAATTGTCCCATTCATTAGGACATCCCACAGAGCCAACTGGGACACCAATTCTGTGGCATACAACAGACATAAGTAGCTACGATCATTTTGAGGAGTCAGGGACATTCTTATGCTTGCTTTGTTTTTGGCACTGTGGAATATTAAGTGGCCACCTAACCTCTTTTTCAGGTGAAAGACCTTTGTAGGAGGAATTCAAATGAGACAGTATCAACTTGATGCTGCTCCTGCTTAGTGTACAGTGATCAGAAGCGTGTGGGCAAAGACTAGTTCTAATGGTAAAACACATGAGTGCATCAGGCTAGAGATGCTCTTTACCTCCTTCAATTTAAATCCCGATGCTATCACATTTACACTCTCTGCAATTACAAATATCCCAATCCCACCGGAGAAACAGAAAGCCAGGGAGTCGGGGGGAACTAGTTAAGAGATGAGACAGCAAGTTGCACTGGTTATAAATAACTTTCTTTTGTCTCCATTGTACAGATTCGTCTGGGAAAGTGTAATAAGATGGAAATTTTTTCTCCCAAGTTTTATAGAAAAACCATACACTGTAGAAAAGCAATTGGAGTTTATTTAAGCCTCTAGAGTTAGAATGGCATTTCTTGGAATGTGGACCCATGCTGAAATGGGGACACAACACTGCTCATGTGAACTGTGCATGCCTCATCAACCCAATCAGTTTATATAAGCTATTTGGAGTAATAGATGATTTTTCTCTAGTGCCCGCTAAAGCGCTTAGCACCCTGTAGATCCATACTGATGTTCAGGGTATACTTGTTGTGTTGAATTGTTTCTGAACACCTTTCTAGTATTCTATTTTAGATATTATTTTTGTTTTATAATTCTGAATGCAGTTCTTTGGATGTACTCACCCTGCAAGTATGTTATCTCAGAGCTCAGAAGTCCTTCTGAGGTTCCATGGCCCTTCACTCTGAGAGACAGAAACACTGGAACTCCAGCAGAGGAGGTTGCAGAGATCTTTAGTAGGAGTTGCAAGTCTAACATTGATCCTAAACCCAGTTTCTCTAACTCCAGTATCAGTGATCATATCAAGAATTTACAATTGAATACCATTATTTCTTATGTATCCACTATAATTATATTTGCCTTCATTACCTATTTCCTTATAAAGTTCCAGTCCTTTAAAAAATTGTCTTTCAGGCTTTCCCTAGACTTCCTTAAGTGTATGTTTATTCATTATTAAGCTTGCTGTGTGTTTAGCTAGTCCTCTGTTTAGTATCCTGCACCCAGTACTCCACTTGACGTTAGCTATTGAGTAATAATTTAATGAATAGATACATAAGGAAATAAGGAATGAAAACAATAATTCCCACAGGACTGTATTTTGTGAGATGGACATTATAAGAAGCTACTCATATTGCCAAAGAAATCCTTAATGTATTTCCTGCTGTAAGTGTATGTGAAAGAACACTACCTGCCCTTCAATCTACCAAAAACAAAGAAGAGAATAGTTGTCATCCGTGCTCCTTTGGTAAACAAGAAACATCAACTCTATGGGAGGAAGGAATAAGAGCCAACTTCCCTTTGAAACATAATAAATACAAGGAATCATAAAAGTTTAGTTGAATGCCATGTTCTCACTCTCTCGTTAATACAGTGTTTTTTATTTCAATATGGTAAGTTGATATCCTAAATGCTTGGGGCATGTAAATTTGAAAGACAAAGTAAAAATATCTAAAAACTTAATGGAAAGAACGTATCACAATACATTTGATCAACAAGAATGAAACCATCGCCAAGATAACTTTATAAAATTGATTAAGAGACTCTTGCATGATTACCACTACACCAGTGGTGCTGCCAAAGTTGATTAAGGAAAACAATAAAGCTCACCTAAGCTGGCAGCACAATCAGCACTAATCATTAAGCCAGCTTGCCCTTTCGTCCTCTTCCTTGTAACTGGTCACTGCTTACTACCCCAGTATAAGGTAGCCCTTGTCACAAGACTTTTTGTTCCTTTTCTGTTCCATAGATAAAATCTAAGGCATTGTGAGATGATAATCTTTGCTTTTGAATTTATTCTTTAGGTTCCACATACCAACAAAACTAGTGATGCCAGCTGCTCTGAACGACCTAGCAAGAAACTGACTCATGGAGGAATGCAGTTTCAACATCCTGATGATTACATCCCCCTTACCCTGACCAATCAACAATCCAAATTTTTCAGCTTCTCATCCTCCACAGTCTCCTTAAAGGACCCCTTCATGGAGCAAATTTGTGGCTTGAGATTTCCTCTCATTTCCTAGTTCAAAGGCCTTGTGATTATTAAACTCATTCTCGGCTGTAAACCCTGCTGCCTCAGTGTATTGGTCCATTGCTGCACAATGAGCATACAAACCTGGCAGTCCTGTAACACAAACACAGAAATTAAAAGGCAACTGTGGACATTGATATACAAAATTTATATTTATGATTGTACACAGACTGGATAACCAGCAGATTATGCCTAGCTCTGGCAAACACAATATAGTCTTTCATTTAAAAATATATTGAATATATATTGACACTAATATGTCTTGTAAATGCTGATTAGACTTTATAGAAGATACTAGTCTCAATATATTAAAACAATGTGGATAGATTTTATGTTATCTTCCAAAATGAAGATCTCCATTTACTGGAGGTGATCATTACTAATAAGGATGCAAATTCAGTTTATCATCTTTATTGGCAACTTGAAGTGATGAGTTAGGGTGCTGACTTGCCAAATTTTTTATTGAACTGCAGCTGTCAGGGATAACAAATAATCTTAAAGTCAAGGTTAACAGGGCAGAGCCAGCAGTTTGGAAGGCCAAAGTGGGAGGATCACTTGAGCCCATGATTTTGAGGCCAGTCCGGGTAACATAGTGAGACCTCATCTCTACTAAGAACAATAATAATAATAAAATTAGCCAGGCATGATGGTGGACAGCTGTAGCCCCAGCTACTCAGGAGGCTGAGATGGGATTATCACTTAAGCCTGGAAAGTCAAGGCTGCAGTGAGCCAAGATCATGCCACTACACACTAGCCTGGGTAATAGAGCAAGACCCTGTCTCAAAAAAAAAAAAAAAAAAAAAAAGTAGAGAAAAAGACTTTGGTTTTGTATACATTCAGGTCACTAAATCAAGGTGACAAAGTAGGTGAAAAACTAAATTAATTTTGTTTTGTTTGGTGGAAAAAAGTAGGCACTAGTCCAGTTCTGCCTCCTGTGACACCATATGAATAAACAAAAAGCTCTAGAGAATAACAATCTACATCTGCTTCCATTATGTGAATTCACACATCATATAATATAATCACTTAACTCTCTGAGTCGTAGTTTTCTAAGTGAGAAAATAAAAATTCCTGCCCCATTACTTCAGAATCTTGTAATGTCACAACATTATATTTCTGAATATTTTGTGATGGTAAACATGCAAACATTAGACATCATTATTATTTTGCTTAGACTACATGAAGATATTATTTTCTAAAGTATGATTATATATGGGAGTTTTTAATAAAATATGACTTAAGAGAAAATACTTGAAAACCATGACCTATTACAAATTCTTGAAACAAGGGAAAAGATTGGATTTGTAAGAATCTGAGAGCCATCTGCAAATCTCATTAAACTGTATTCCCTGTCTACTAATTATGAATGTCTTATCTCCACCAATTCAATTCATCATGTACACTGCTACCAAACTATTCTTCCTGGGTCATAACTTATTAAGTGTTTCTTTTCTGCTTAAAAATCCTCCAAAACATTATCTTTCCTATAGAATACAGCATTTAACTGGAAATATTATGATCTTTCATAAATTGGTTATAAACTCTATTCCCAACCTTTTCCCCTTCCCAATAGTTCCCAATGCAACAATTTGGGAGTCTGTATTAATCCTTTCTCACACTTTTATAAAGAAGTAACCAAGACTGGATAGTTTATAAAGAAAAGAGATTTAATTGACTCAAAGTTCCTCATGACTGGAAAGGGCTCAGAAAACTTACAATCATTGCAGAATGGGAGGCAGGCACCTTCTTCACAAAGTGCCAGTAGAGAGTGTGAGCATGCAGGAAAAACTACCATTTATTAAATCATCAGATCTTGTGATAATTCACCCACTATCATGTAAACAGCAAGGGGGAAACTGCGTCATAATCCAATCACTTCCCTTCCTCGACACATGGGAATTACAGGTTCCTCCCTCAACACAATGGGATTACAATTCTAGATGAGATTTGGGTGGGAGCACAGAACAAAACCATATCAGAGTCCCTATCAGATGGCATAGTAAGAATAAGTAGTTTCTTCTTGCTGTAGTACTCCAGGCTTTTCTGCTTTATCTCTCAAAGGAGTGATATGATGTTTTATTTTCCTCTTGATGTCACCAACACCTAGAACATAACTTGCTTTTAATACATGCATGCCAAATCCAAGATCTGTAATAGATAGTCTATAAATGTGAATTTTAATCTTACTCATCAGAGTGTACAATTTCAAAATATCATCTTTTATGTAAGCTCCCAATTAACTACATAGATATATTAATGCTCTCTTGTTATAAAAATCAGAAAACTTAATTCCAAATGACTTAAACAAACCAGGAGCTTTTTCTGACTTCGTACGACTAAAAAGTCCCAAAGTGGGCACACTGTTGGAGCCAAAACTTTTCAATATCATCAAGTCACCAGATTATCTTCTCTGTGGTCCTGTTGATTCTGTCTTCCTCCATATATTAGATTTACCTGAACATTATGTTATAATCTTATTTAAAAACCTGTAATTTTAAACATGAAACAAAGAGCAAGATATTTATCTTTTCAGTGAGTGGATTTTTACACAGCAGCATGGAATGAATAAAACAGATTTAATGTCATCTCCCAGCCTCCCTAGGCCAGACTTCAAAAAAAATAAGATCTTTAACTCAAGGGTGAAGCAATATAGCCTTTCAACACTTTAGACAGGGCACAAGACTGATGGCAGAGAACCAGATGGGTTAGTGAGTATGTTCAACATTCTACTGATTCTGAGAAACTGAGGTGTCCCTGTCTAGTTAAAGGACAAAAAGAAAGGTCACCGATCCATGTTAACTGATCTAACAGGACAGGCATGGGGTTCAGTATCCTGCTGCCTCAGACTTCCTAGAAAACACAACCATGGCGCCATGGGAGCCAAGAAGCAATGGGCTTCTTTCTTCTATGAGACTAATTATTACATGTAGTCACAGCTCTTACAAATAATGGTCTAGCATTAATAAACTAGGCCATCCATGAACATGTGACCCTTCCATTTTTTAAAATTATATTTTTAGTAATTGCATTACATTTTAAACATATTCACTCTTACATTATTATTATGTTCTAAGATGTCGGCCTATATTTAATATAACACCTAATGATTTCAAGTCGTTAAGGGGACACTTTGGTGATCCAAGGTAGGGTGTTTTCAACAGAAGTTGTATATGCAAGCAAAGCCAACACACACAAAAAGTTTTTTTTTTCTTTTATTATACTTTAAGTTCTAGAGTACATGTGCACAACATGCAGGTTTGTTACATAGGTATACGTGTGTCATGTTGATTTGCTGCACCCATCAACTCATCATTTACATTAGGTATTTCTCCTAATGCTATCCCTCCACCAGACCCGCACCCTCTGACTGGCCCTGGTGTGGGATGTTCCCCTCCCTGTATCCATGTGTTCCCATTGTTCAACTCCCACCTATGAGTGAGAACATGCGGTGTTTGGTTTTCTGTCCTTGTGAGAGTTTTCTGAGAATGATGATTTCAAGCTTCATCCATGTCCCTGCAAAGGACATGAACTCATCCTTTTATATGGCTGCATAGTATTCCATGGTGTATATGTGCCACATTTTATTAATCCAGTCTATCAGTGATGGACATTTGGGTTGGTTCCAAGTCTTTGCTACTGTGAACAGTGCCACAATAAACATACATGTGCATGTGTTTTTATCGTAGAACGATTTATAATCCTTTGGGTATATACCCAGTAATGGGATTGCTGGGTCTAATGACATTTCTAGTTCTAGATCCTTGAGGAATCGCCACACCATCTTCCACAACGGTTGAACTAGTTTACAGTCCCACCAACAGTGTAAAAGTGTTCCTATTTCTCCACATCCTCTCCAGCATCTGTTGTTTCCTGACTTTTTAATGATCACCATTCTAACTCGTGTGAGATGGTATCTCATTGTGGTTTTGATTTACATTTCTCTGATGACCAGTATTGATGAGCATTTTTGCATATGTCTGTTGGCTGCATAAATATCTTCTTTTGAAAAGTGTCTGTTCATATACTTTTCCCACTTTTTGATGGGGTTGTTTGTTTCTTGTAAATTTGTTTGAATTCTTTGTAGATTCTGGATATTAGCCCTTTGTCAGATGGGTAGATTGCAAAAATTTTCTCCCATTCTGTAGGTAGCCTGTTCATTCTGATGATAGTTTCTTTTGCTGTGCAGAAGCTCTTTAGTTTAATTAGATCCCATTTGTCTATTTTGGCTTTTGTTGCCATTGCTTTTGGTGTTTTAGTTATGACGTCTTTGCCCATGCCTATGTCCTGAATGGTATTGTTTAAGTTTTCTTCTTGGGTTTTTATGGTGTTAGGTCTTACATTTAAGTCTTTAATCCATCTTGAGTTAATTTTTGTATAAGGTGTAAGAAAGGGATCCAGTTTTAGCTTCCTACATATAGCTAGCCAGTTTTCCCAACACCATTTATTAAATAGAGAATCCTTTCCCCAGTGCTTGTTTTTCTCAGGTTTCTCAAAGCCCAGATGGTTGTAGGTGTGTGGTGTTATTTCTGAGGGCTCTGTTCTGTTCCATGGTTCTATATATTTGTTTTGGTACCAGTACCATGCTGTTTTGGTTACTGTAGCCTTGTAGTATAGTTTAAAGTCACATAGCATGATGCCTTCAGCTTTGTTCTTTTGGCTTAGGACTGTCTTGTCTATGTGGGCTCTTTTTTGGTTCCGTATGAACTTTAAAGTAGTTTTTTCCAATTCTGTAAAGAAAGTCAGTGGTAGCTTGATAGGGATAGCCTTGAATCTATAAATTACTTTGGGCAGTATGGCTATTTTCACAATATTGAGTCTTCCTATCCATGAGCATGGAATGTTCTTCCATTTGTTTGTGTCCTCTTTTATTTCATCAAACAGTGGTTTGTAGTTCTTGAAGAGGTCCTTCACGTCCCTTGTAAGTTGGATTCCTAGGTATTTTATTCTCTTTGTAGTAACTGTGAAAGAGATTTCACTCATGATTTGGCTCTCTGTTTGTCTGTTATTGATGTATAGGAATGTTTTTGATTTTTGCACATTGATTTTGTGTCCTGAGACTTTGCTGAAGTTGCTTATCAGCTTAAGGAGATTTTAGGCTGAGACAATGGGGTTTTCTAAATATACAATCATGCCATCTGCAAACAGGGACAATTCGACTTCCTCTTTTACTAATTGGATACCCTTTATTTCATTATCTTGCCTGATTGCCGTAGCCAGAACTTCCAACACTATGTTGAATACAGGTGGTGAGAGAGGGCATACTTGTGTTGTGCTGGTTTTCAAAGGGAATGCTTCCAGTTTTTGCCCATTCAGTATGATATTGGCTGTGGGTTTGTCACAAATAGCTCTTATTATTTTGAGATATGTCCCATCAATATCTAGTTTATTGAGAGTTTTTAGCATGAAAAGCTGTTGAATTTTGTCGAAGGCCTTTTCTGCATCTATTGAGATAATCATGTGGTTTTTGTCTTTGGTTCTGTTTACATGCTGGATTACGTTTATTGATTTGAGTATGTTGAACCTGCCTTGCATCCCAGGGATGAAGCCAATTTGATCTTGGTGGATAAGCTTTTTAATGTGCTGCTGGATTCGGTTTGCCAGTATTTTTTTTAGGATTTTGGTATCGATGTTCATCAGGGATATTGGCCTAAAATTCTCTTTTTTGGTGTATCTCTACCAGGCTTTGGTATCAGGATGATGCTAGCCTCATAAAATGAGTTAGGGAGGATTCTCTCTTTTTCTATTGATTGAAATAGTTTCAAAAGGAATGGTACCAGCTCCTCTTTGTACCTCTGGTAGAATTTGGCCTTGAATCCATCTGGTCCTGGACTTTTCTTGGTTGGTAGTCTATTAATTATTGCCTCAATTTCAGAGCCTGTTATTGGTCTATTCAGAGATTCAACTTCTTCCTTGTTTAGTCTTGGGAGGGTGTATGTGTCCAGGAATTTATCCATTTCTTCTATATTTTCTAGTTTATTTGCATAGAAGTGTTTATAGTATTCTCTGATGGTAGTTTGTATTTCTGTGGGATCGGTGGTGATATCCCCTTTATGATTTTTTACCGCATCTATTTGATTCTTCTCTCTTTTCTTTATTAGTCCTGCTAGAGGCCTATTTTGTTGATCTTTTCAAAAGACCAACTCCTGGATTCATTGATTTTTTGAAAGGTTTTGACACACAAAAAGTTTTTGTTGCAGTTTTTTATGTATTTTGCTTTGAACCCTTCATTATTTCCCTCAGCCACTTTTTTAGTATTTGCTACGTGTTAAACACTGTTACCAATGTTAAGAATTTATAAGTGAACAAAACATACATAAATCCTTGTCCTTGTGGTTCTCATCTTTGGAGTTTGAGGGAGATAGACAATTAAGAGGATAAATTAGGAAAATATGTGATTCATGGTAATAAGCCCCAAGGAGAAAAATTGAACAGGTAAGGGAGATAGGGGATACCTGTGGTCTGAGAGGAAGTTACAGTATCAGGATATCCTGGGAAGTCCTCACTGCAAAGATAACATTTGAAGAAAAGTCTGAAGGGGGATAAAGCAATGAACCATGTGGAATTCCTTGGAGGAATGCTCCAGGGAAAGAACAGCAAGGGCTAAAATACTCAGATAGACGAGTGCCCACAATTCAAAGAAGCAAGGAGGCTGGTGTGGCCAGAATACAGTAAGTAAGGTGGAAAATAGTGGGAGATTAGAGAACTAGAGGGAGGAAGGCAAATCATGTAAAACATTGAGGGCCATCCGTAAGGACTTTGGCTTGGTTTCACAGTGAAATGGAAGCCATTGGAGGGTTTAAACAGAGAAATGACATAATACAATTGATGTTTTCATAGGATTATTCTAGTACTATAAGATTGGGCTATGTTCAGGCAAGAGCCGAAGTAAGGAGACAAGAAAATATGGTAAATATTATAGACAAGAGATGAAAGTACCTAGGAGAAAGTAGTTGCTGTGCAGTAACTAGAAAGTGTGAGATTCTGAATATGTCTTGAATGGATGCTTATCAGGATTTGCAGATGGATCTGACGTAGAATGTAAGACAAAAAAGAAAAATCAAGGTTACATTTAAGAGTTTTGAACCAAACAACTAGAACTAAGGAATTGTTATTTCATGATGGAGAGGACTAGAGGAAAATTAAAGAATAGGACACATGGAGCATTCAAAAAAAATTAAAGAATAGGACACATGGAGCATTCATAAAAAAATTAAAGAATAGGACACATGGAGCATTCATAAAAGATTGCAGATCTTGATTTAGTTCAAGTTAGTTGTACAACTTAGTATCCCAATTGAGGGAAATTTAACCCATGAAACCAATTGTGTTAAATTTATTGGTGTATGTCCTATGTTAGGGGTTTAAGAATTTACAATCTTCTCTAAAAGGAGCTATAAAAGATGATGGGGGTTGGAAGTCTCTAGGCTTTGCACAGAATCAAATTATATCCATAATAATAAAAGCAGACATGCCTCACAACTCCTCTGTGTCTCAGTTTCTTCACACTTAAACAGAGGGGTTTGGGTTTCAGAATTAACGTAATAATCACAGGCTGTTCTGATCATGTGCTAAGGTGAACACAACTGATTTCAAGCAATATTATCCAGACCAACCTTTGAAGTAATAATCATCACTGGGCAATATGATGAAGAAGGAGCTGTTTACATACAACTTTTCAAACCAATATTCTCTGTGCCCTTTTTTCAACTGTGTATAAAAACCTTTCTCTCTGGTATTTGACTACTAGGGCTTTTGTGTTGTAAGAGACCAAACACAACATTTCTTTACTATGTAACCTAATATTCTCAATAAAGGATCCAAAAATACTCACAGTAACATTTTAGACACTGTGTTCTCTCCCGGGTTTATTTGCATTTTTCTTCTTCTTTTCCTCCTCCTTTTTTAATGTCACTAAACATTAATTGAACCCATACTATAAGACAGACACTGTGGTGTGTTCTGTAGACATGAAGATAAATGAGATAGACATATTAATAGCTCCTGCTCTTAGACTGTTCCTGTATTATAAAAGAGATGGACATATTTTCAGCTAATAATAACAAAATGTGAGATAGGGAAAGGGACAGAGAAGAGAGAATTCTTAGAAATATAGAAAGGGGCAACCATGAGAACAGCAAGAACTCACAAAGAAAACCACATTTAATATTGAACGGTGTGAGGCAGCTTATTTACCAGGAAATGAAAGATCTATGTGTGTCTTAGAGAGTGAAGGTAACATTACCATAGGAGGGAAAAGCCTGAGCAAATATTTGAAGAATGACAAGTATTTTGTTGCAGCCAGACCCTAGATTATGAGGCCAGATATCAAACTTAAAAGACTGTAAATAGACTTGCATGGCATGCTGAGTAATTTTTGAATATCTTATAGACCATTGGGAACAAGTGAAAGTCATTTACATACTGTATTTTTATAAGCACACCATTAAGAAGAATGGGAGATGAACAGATTTGAAGAAACTAACAGGAGGCTATTGCACAAGTTTAGGTAAGAGGCAGTAGTAAATGGGAAAGGAGACAAGGTGCTATTTGGGAAATAACCTTACAGTAGAACAATGTACTGTGACCTGAGGATGAGGGAGAAAGAAAAAAGAGCAAAGATGATTCAGAATTCTAACTTGGGAGAACAGGTGGAATGGGATGCCATCAGCTATGACTGGGAATATGGAGCAGAAGCAGGTCTGGGACAGAAAATTGGTGACTGATTTTAGATACCCTGGGTTTTAACTGTCTGCAGAATATTCAGTAGTTAATTAGACAAAAGACTCTGGGCCTCAAAAGAAATGGCAGAACAGGAAATTTAGGTTTTTACATTAAAATCACAGAAGTAGATAAAGTGAGCCTATAGAGAGGAGAAGGAAAAATGTTGAAATGATAAGGAACTACAAGTTTCTCTTTTTCTAAATGGAAAAGAATTCAGGTTTTTTGTAAAAATTCAAACTACACAAAAGTCATAATCTAAACATCTACCCTTCCATCTCACCCAGATATAATTCCATTCTTCATAAACAACGATGACTCAATACCCACATTTAATTAATTTTTTCTCTGATTGTGGAAGAAAAGACCCCATACTAACAAGAAATTTGAGGTTCTAGAAACCGGAACCAAAAGTAAATTAAAGATAAACTCCGGTTTCAAGTGCCCCAGAAGTCTGAGTTTTATAAAATAGGAAGCTATTTCCCCTGCCCACTACTAATACAGAATTATTAATAAAAAGTTCTGAGGGGCAGTCAAAAACAGGAAGAGATCATTTCTCTAACTGCACGTGAAAAAAAGAATAACACTTAGTTTCCTAGATATAAATGTGAATTCAGAAGTTAGAAAGCTGTATTAATTTTTGCAAACTTGTGGGAAAAGATTAGGCAGGAAAAATCTTATTTTTCAAGAGTTGTCATAACTGCTTTTACCTCTGAGGCAAACTTGTCTGATAGCAGTCATGCCCTGCAAGGCCCTCGATGATGAAACCCCACCTAAATCTCTGACCTCACTTCCTATCACCCTTCCTTGGTTACCCTCCTGTAGCCTAGTTTGTCCTCTTTATGTTGCTCTAACATGACAATTTCTTTACTGTTTTAGGACATGTTATTTCCACTGCCAGAAATACCTTTCCCCAAATATGTAAATGTTAGCCTCCTCAAATGTTAATTATCTCCTCAGACTTTCCTTGTTACATTCTCTCTCTCACAGGCACATACATAAACACACATACACACACACACACTCACACACCCCTCTCACTCTCTTGCCCCTTACCCTTCTGTCACTATTTTTGCAAAATTATATTATAAAATGTTTGTTTGTTGTGTTTCTTGCCCACAAAACTGTAAGTGGCAATAGCATGAGGATAGCATCTTTGTCTTAATTCACTGTTGTATCCCCACCCCCTTGGCTCATAACACAGGCTCACTGGAGAAGTTTTTGAAGGAATTAATGAAGAAACGAATGATAATTTATTGCATTCTAAATCTCAAATCTCCCTCCATGACTTTGTATGCACTATGGAAAAAAATAGGTTTACATTTGTACAAAAAATAACAAAAACAGTTCTCACCCCATTTTGCCTCTAAATTGTAGAATTTAGATATGTTCAACAATGAGCCCCAGTTTCACTGAAGGCAGACTTGGATATACAACTTGTGCATATACTCCTATGACAGAATAATTAAAATGCAAACTCACTGAAAACTGAAATTGAACCCTCATTTGTTTTTTGTTACTCTGTATTTTCTCAATCAATAAATCCTAAAACTACCATATTGTATATAGGTCGGTGAATATTTTTAACATTAAGGAGGTATCTTTACACTCAAAATGGTGGTGATCAGCTAATGATTAGTATTTTTAGAATCTATACAATGAAGCCATACTAATATGCACTCAGTTACTGAGCTAATTCACCTTTTCACATGATTTGGTTTTCTTGTTTGTATTGTTTCAACATTAATACAGCTAAAAATGTTATGCTGACCAATTTTGGGTTTAGTTGTTTGTTTTCAGTAGGAGTAGTCATGACATCATATATAAATGAATTAATTTAAATACTTCTCAGTTTTCATTTTTGATACATCAGTCCAATATTAATTCTGGTTCTCCAAGTAGATTAATATATATTATAGTCTCATGTGTTTTCTTGAGACCACTAAAAATGCATACTAGGAAAAATAATGAAAATTACCATCCACTGACAACTTATTTTGTGACAATCACAACAGTGGAACATCTCCCACATTTTTCTATTTTTATTAATGTAAGTATTCTCAGCTTAAAAAATTATAAAACTCTGAAAAGTTTTCTAACTTGTCCAAGTTTTTCAAAACCAGTAAATTCCCAAATTGATATCTTAAGAGTTTTAACTTAAGAAGGCTTACCTCCTTATATAATTATCATGATTTGTCAGGAGAGAAAACTGAGGCACAAATTAGAGAAATTACTTACATGAAATGACAAGAAGGGTTAGTAACAAAACGAACCGACATTTGCTTTTCTCCGGTGGATTTCGACTGTGTATTCATATGTGTTCAAAAATGTCACACTCACCTTCCTCATATGGGACATAAATTTTGAATAATTTTTCTGATAATCTTCCTGTGTAAATGCTATAACACACATATATAAGATGACTGTGTTGAATATGTATCCTGTGTCACAGGAAGAGTCAAAGGTAACAAGAACTCATAGAATTTAGCTTCATCTGAGTATCATTCTAAAACTCACAGCTAACCAGCCCCATCAGAAAGCATTCTCACACCATCCTCAGAGATTTCAGAAAAGAAAAGAGGAAAGTTAACACTTGTAGGGCAGGAGATTTTTTACTTGGACATTTTTTTTTCTTCAGGATGGTCCAGCAAGGGGCAGAATGGTTGTCTATTACTTGAGTGTTCTTAAAATAAAGTGTCTCCCAGACAATTCTGTATGTTACCACATTAGTCTGCCCCATGTTTATACTCTAAGAAAAAAATTTCCAATAGCAACCTGAGATAGAAGAGGTTAGGAAAAGATAAAACTCTTTCTAGTCCCAGGATGTGCATAGCCATACCTTTTTACCTCACATGGTCGCAGGAGAGGTTTCAGAACCATCAACTATTTCTCCCTATTCCCTAGCCAAATAGGTGATGACAACAGAAACAGGCACGATGTACCTGCAATCTTTGCTCCTATGGCATTACTATTGTAAACAGCGGGAGAACAGAAAGTTCTTGTACACTGGAATAAAAAAAGATGCAATTACAATTGAGCCAATGTAATCAACTGTGGTTTTAAAAAATCCTAGTAAGTATTTTGGAAAGAATTCAATGTTAATTTTAATTTTATTTTTATTTTAAAAGCAGTTTCAAATAAAGAATCCCATATGCTATATATACACAGTTGCAGAAACAGAAAACAGCCAACTCATGCTAACTTTCCAGAGGAGCTCAAGGAATTTTTGCTTCATTCATAAAGGTAACATGAATAGCATTCTTATAAATGATGGACACTAATACCAGAATCAAACAAAGGATGATATTAGTTGAAAACTTCCTAAATTTATTATTTAAATAATCCTGGTCGTAACACATGGAGGTTTGGAGATTAATATAAAATCTATTTTCTTCAAATTGTATATTTAATTTTAAGCACTATTTCATTTTCTCTCCTAGGAAGGTAATTTATTAAAAGGCACATTTATTTTCAATGGGTAAAATTTAAGTCATTAACTGACTATTCAAATGTATAAATAGTAAAATACTCCTTTGGAGTACACATTAAAATTAAAATTTTATAGCCAATCTTATGGCCAAACACAAGTCTCTCAACTAAACAAAGAACCTTGGAGAAAAAGAGAAAATAATGTTTTTAAGGCCAAAAAAGCCAAAAATATTTTGCTGAGAATGATAGTTTCCAGCTTCATCCATGTCCCTGCAAAGGACATAAACTCATCATTTTTTATGGCTGAATAGTATTCCATGGTGTCTATGTGCCACATTTTCTTTATTCAGTCTATCATTGATGGGCATTTGGGTTGGTTCCAAGTCTTCGCTATTGTGAACAGTGCCACCATAAACTTACTTGTGTATGTGTCTTTAGAGTAGAATGATTAATACTCCTTTGGGTATTACCTAGTAATGGGATTGCTGGGTCAAATGGTATTTCTGGTTCTAGATCCTTGAGAAATTGCCACACTGTCTTCCACAATGGTTGAACTAATTTACACTCCCACCAAGAGTGTAAAAGAATTCCTATTTGTCAACATCAGAAAACCAAACACTGCATGTTCTCGCTCATAAGTGGGAGTTGAACAATAAGAACACATGGACACAGGGAGGGGAACATCACACACCAGGGCCTGTCGGGTGCTGGGGAGCTAGGGGAGGGATAGCATTAGGAGAAATACCCAATGTAGATGACAGGTTGATGGGTGCAGCAAACCACCATGGCATGTGTATACCTATGTAACAAAATGGCACATTCTGCACATGTATCCCAGAACTTAAAGTACAATTTTAAAAAAACCAAAAATATTTACAGAGAGGCTGATACATTTTAAAGAGTTCATTATAATTTCTATTACTTTTTTAAATAACAAATACACTTGTATGGGTCATGTACCATCTTTAAAACAAAATTAAATGTCATTTTAAAAGAAGCTACATTTCATATTTTCAGAGCTTAGCAAGATAATTTCTCTCTTAACAGTTCATTGAATGTTTTGATATAGTATTTGTAGAGTAAAATGCATAGTACAGTAATTATATAGAAAAAATGTGACTTTTAAAAATGATAATCCACTCCACTTTAAAAACTCTAATATCATAATGTCCCAAAACACTTTATTTAGTTAAATGTAATCTTTTGCTGTGCAAACTATGCCTATCTTATTTTTTAAAGGAAGACAATTGCAGGCAGGCAGTAAAAACAGATGGAGGGAGCGAAGGAAGCTTTCTTTTTCCTTGTGGTTCTTTGTCTTTGGTTCTGTTTACATGCTGGATTCCTCCCAAAAGGGAGGAAATAACTTAAAGAAAGATAAAAACTTAAACACAGTGAGAAAATAGCCAATACTAGGCAGTTCTTTTTATTGGAATGGAAACATGTTCTTAAATGAGTTGTCATAATGATATGACACACATGAGTGATGAATGATAAAAAACCATTCCAACAGGATTCTTAAAACTATCAAATTTAGAATGCCACAGGAATTTTTTTTAATTATGAAAGCCATCTTGATGCAGAATTCAGATTGCAAAACTTTTTTTTTTTTTTTTAAGTTTCACAATCCCTTGCTCCACTGCTGGTGACAGTTTTTCCTAATGTGAGACAGTGGTTTGTTGAAAATTTTTATTTTCTTCAGAAAAAAATTCTAAACTGAAGGAATGGAGTGACACCAGCAGCCTGCTTCCATGGGATTATCTGGGCTTTTGAAATAAAGGAGCCATTAATGGAAGCTCTGACAGGTGATAGAAACAGAGCTGTCATTAACAAAGACTATGTCCAGAAGGTGATAGGGGGTGATTTATTTTGCAGCCTGAGACAGTAATATTATGAGAAAAATGTGCTAAATTAATTATTGACAAAATGCTGAGTTATGTGAGTATTTTAACCTCTGCTTGTGATCAGAAGATACCTCCAGCTATTTTGAAGGTATATGGAGCAAATTGCTGTCAGGGGAGGGGAGTTTAAAGTTGTGGTAAATTATATAGAACATGAAATTTGCCATTTTAATCATTGGTAGATGTATAGTTCAGTAGCATCAAGTACATTTGCATTGTCATGCAGCCACCACCATCAACCATTTCCAGAACTTTTTCGACTCCCCAAACTGAAACACTATAGTCATTAAACAATAACTCCTCATTCCTCCTTCCCTCCAACTCCTGGCCACCACCCATTTTCTGTCTGTATGATTTGACTACTCCAGATACCACATCTAAATGCAATAATATACATACAAAATTGTCCTTTTGCGCTGGCTTATTTCATTCAGCATAATGTCCTCCAAGTTCATCCACGTTGTAGTGTGTCAGGATGTCATTCATTCTTAAAGTTACATAATATTCCATTGTATGTAATACCACATCTGCTTATCCACTCAGGCATCAATAGATATTTGGGTTGTTTCCACTTTTTGACTTTGTAAATAGTGCGGCTAGGAACATTTGTTTGCGAATATATGTTCTAATTCCTGCTTTTATTTCTTTTGAATATATACCCACAGTGAGATTGCTGGATCGTGTTACAATTTCATGTTTAATTTTTGAAGAACTATCATATTAAACATACCAACATTCCATTTTTAATTTTTTATTTTCCAAAGTGGCGACACCATTTTACATTCCCTCCAGTAATGTGTAAGTGTTCTAATTTTCCCACTTCCTTACCCACACTTGGTATTTTCTGGGTTTTTGTTTGTTTCATTTTGCTTTGATAATAGCTACCTTAAATGGTATGAGGTGGTATCTCATTGTTGTTGTGATTTGCATTTACTTAATCATTAGTGTTGTTGAGCATCTTTCATGTGCTTATGGGCCATCTGTATGTCTTCTCTGGAGAAATGTCTAAAATCCCGTGTATTTTTCAACTGGGTTGTTTGGGATTTTGTTGTAGATTTGTAAGAGTTCTTTATGTATTCTAGATATTAATTCTTTATCAGAGATGAGTTGTAAATATTTTTTCTCATTCCATGGGAAAAAAATCTGTTGATAGTGTTCTTTGATGGACAAAAATTTTTATGAAATACAATTTATCTATTTTTTGTCGTTGCTGCCTGTGCTTTTGGTGTAATCCAAAAATGTATATATATTATAGCCAAATCTAATGTCATGAAACTTTTCCCGTGTTTTCTTTGAAGTTTTATAGCATTCTAGCTCTTATATTTAGTTTGTTTTATATGGTGTTACATTTTAATTTTATGCAGGGGTAAGGGTTCAACTTCATTATTTCATATATGAGTATCCAGTTTTCCCAATATCATTTGTTGAAAGATTGTCCTTATCCCATTAAATGGTCTTGGCACCCTTGTTGGAAATCATTTGCTCATCTGTGTGAGAGCTTATTCCTGAACTCTATTCTTTTCCTTTGGTCTATATGTCCGTCATGATGCCAGTACCACGTTGTTTTGATTATTGTAGCTTTGTAAGTTTTGAAATCAGGAAATGAGATGCCTTCAACTTTGTTCTTTTTGAAGGCTGTTTTGACTATTCAGAGTCCCTTGAGATTTTACATGAATTTTAGGATGAATTTTTCTATTTCTGCCACAAACATCATTGAGATTTTGATAGGGATTGCGCTGAATCTATAGATCACTTTGAGTATTACTGACATCTCAGAAATATTGTTGGCCAATCCATAAATACTGATATTGTGAAGCAAATTCACTATGCACTTGTTACCAACTTGTCTGAGTCCAGTGAGACAGAACACCCATACACATAACAAGTTACACGAGGCAGGCTTATTATTACTTACAAATAGGCAGGAAGGGACAACGGAAACCTGGGAGTCATTACAACCCAGGCTCCAAGGCTCAGGAAAGCTGCCTGGGGGAAGATGGAATCTTGTCAGAACATAATCCATTTGTACCGCAGCTGAGAGGCCCAGGAGAGTAGTTCATCTTTGGTTTTACACTCTAAGGGTAATAGAATTTGTGAGGCTAAAACATTGAAGGACATCCTGTGTCTAGAGGAGACTGGAACAGAGCCTTCCAGTCACTTCCTCCTATATTCGTGTGTTGCATTCCCAGTACATTCTACAGTTATTCTTGAGAACTACAAGTGAGAATAGTGGAAGAACTGGGTTGGTTCAAGGCTGCCTGGAGAAGTTTCCTGTGGATATCTTTCCACTTATGTGCATCTTCTTTAATTTTTTTCAGAATCTTTTTGTAGTTTTCAGTGTACAGTCTTTTGTCTTCTTGGCTAAGTTTATTCCTGAGTATTCTTTTTGATACCATTTAAATGGAATTGTTTTCTTAATTTCCTTTTGGTATTGTTCATTTTTGGTGTATATAAATTTAATTGTTTTTTTGCATGTTCATTTCGTGTTTTGAAAGTTTACTGAATTTATTTGTTAGTTCTATCAGATTTTATTATGTGTGTGTTCTATTTTTAGGGTGCTCCACATGTAAGACCATGTCATCTTATGAGATAATTTTATTCTTCCTTTCCAATTTAGATGCTTTTTATTTATTTTTCTTGCCTAACTTCTCTGATTAGGTCTTCCAATACTATGTTGAATAGAAGTGGCAAGTGTGGGCATCTTTGCTTTGTTCCTGATGTTAGCAAAAAAGCTTTCAGTCTCTCATCACTCAGTATGATGTTAACTATAAGCTTTTCATGTATAGCCTTTGTTATGCTGAAGTAGTTTCCTTCTATTCCTAGATTTTTAAATTTTTTAATAAAAGGGAATTAAATTTTGTCAAATGCTTTTTAAATGAATAACAATACTTACTTTTGTCTTCATTTTATTTATGTTTCATATTATACTGATTAGTTTTAGTATGTTGAACTATTGTTGCCGTCCAGGAATGAATCCCACTTGATCATGTTGTGTAATCCTTTGGCTGTACTGCTGAATTTAGTTTGTCAGTATTTTGTGCACATTTTTGCATCAATATTTATAGATCTATTGCTCTGTAGTTTTGTTTTCCTGATGTGTCTTGTTTTGCTTTAGTATCAGGATAATTCTTTTTAGATAACTATTTTAATAGCAGCTCTTTCTTAAATGTTTGTAGTAAATGTTTGAATGTATATTATTGTGTATCAAGTAATTATATAAGTAGTTTTCTTCTTCTTCTTTTTTTTTTTTTTTCCAGGCAGGGTCTCACTGTGTCACCCAGGCTGGAGTCCAGTAGCACTATCTCGGCTCACTGCAAACTCCACCTCCCAGGCTGAAGTCATCCTCCCACCTCAGCCTCCCAAGTACCTGGGACTACAGGTATGCACCACCACGCCTGGCTAATTTTTGTATTTTTTCTAGAGATGTGGTCTTGCCATGGTGCCCAGGCTGGTCTTGAACTCCTGAGCTCAAGCAATACAACCACCTCAGCCTTCCAAACTGTAGGGATTACAGGCATGAGCCATTGCACCCAGCAGTGATATTATTTTCTAAATTTAATAGCTAACGGAAACTAACCATGGAAATTGTATGAGAACTGACAGTATGATTTAATGCCCAAAGATGCGGGACCCTTGGTGCTGACTTAATTCTCTAGAAACGTCCAAATTTCCAAATGCCTAATCAGATATAGTTGTAGGTAAAACAATTAAATTAATAAAGTTTACTTTATATCCTCTCTCTCTCTCATCTCTTAAAAAAAATCCTTCTCCTTTTCAGAGGCTCTCTCATCTGCCTTGTCTCAACCAGTTACCTGGGAGCTTCAGGGTTCCAGTCCCACATCTGCTAGGTCCCTAAGAAATTGTTGGGAAATTGTTGGCTGTATCACCCTTCCCAGAGATATTTTTTTACAGTCTTTGTATTGACAAAGAACATGAACAGGCACTTCTCAAAAAAAGACATACAAGCAGCCAACAAGTATATGAAAAAATGCTCAACATTACTAATCATTCTAGAAATGCAAATCAAAACTACGATGAGAAACCATCTCACACCAGTCAAAATGATCTTTATTTAAAAAGTCTAAAAATAACAGATGTTGGTGAGGTTGCAGAGAAAAGGAAAAGTGTATACATTGTTGGTGGGAATGCAAATTAGTTCAGCCACTATGGAAAGCAGATTAAGATTTCTCAAAGAACTAAAAATAGAATTACCATTCCAGCCAGCAATCCCATTACTGGGTATATATTCTGTATATGTGGGATTACTGGGTATATACCTAAAGGAAAATAAACTGTTCTACCAAAAAGACACCTGCACTCATATGTTTAGTGCAGCACTCATCATAATAGCAAAGACATGGAATCAACCCAGGTGTCTATCAATGGTGTTACATACGTGCTATAAAATTCTATGCAGACATAAAAAAAGAATGAAATAATGTCCCTTGCAGCAACATGGGTGCAGCTAGAGGCCATTATCTAAGGCAAATTAATACAGAAACAAAACCAAATACTGCATGTTTTCACTTATAAGTGGCAGCTAAACATTGGGTACATGTGAACATAAAGACAGAAACAATAGACAATGTGGGACAATAGACATTCTGGGAAATATTGTGAATAATTCATGTGGTGACAGAAACAAAGAAACAGAAATAGAATCTGTATAAATCTCAAATGCACAGAAAGTTATTTCCACCTAAAAGTACTTTTTGGCAATTCATGAAGATAAGAAAAATATTAAAGTTTTGTTGTTAATTTCTATCATTAGCTTTATTAAATTTTATAGACTTTCTTTTTAACTCTAACATATTTTGGATAGTGACTTTTTGTTTTCTAATCTCTCATTAATTTCATTTTTTCTACTATCATTACCACATAGATATTTATTGAACACATACTACGTCATAATAATGTTGAAGAGTTGTATAGATTATCTAGCGACAAATAGGTTTGGCCTCTTTGGTAAAAAATCTTACAGTCAAGTTATGGTATACATTAACTCAAGAAGATATGAAGGTTGGGGTGTGCAAGTGACAATTATAATAATCCTTTTCTGAACAGTTACCTGTGATTTTTATGCATTTAAAATTAGAAAACATTATATTTTCGTGTAAATTATTTTACTATGTAAATTGTCTGTCAATGGGTTAATACCATGTGAAAAATAACATATTGGTAAGTAAAAATAAAACTATCTTTGCAAAGTTTTATTTCTAAAGAACATGGGCAGAATTTTTGTCCTTTGAGAACTGAGATACTGGAAAGAACTTTCCCAAATGCCCACACTATCAAATTTAGTTAAGAATGAACATGTTTAAAATACAATCTGGACAATATTTGCCTTTTCTCCTGATCTAGAGGGTAAAAACTGTTCAACAAAGAGAAATGTTTATAAATTTCCTGCTGTTGCCTCCAAAAATTGTGCATGTAAAAATATTTTGCTATACAGCTAAAAGTAAAGGGCTTATCATTTTAACCCAATAAAAGTTCTAACTGTATTCAGGGAAATAGTATCATAGGAATGTGAGGAGAGTATTTAGGGTGTCCTCTTGAGACTTTTTGATAATTCCTAAAATTAAAATAACCTGCTAGAGATAGTCTCCAGTTTTTGACATTTTACCACAACCTTGTTTCAGAATTATAATAATTCAACCTCTTAATTGGAAAGATAAAAATTTAAAGTTCAGGGTTGCTGACTCTAAAATATCACACAGCCAGATAGTATTGGTGCTGAAACTCAAATCTAAATGTTCCAGTTCAGAACTTTTCTAATTATACCCATCTATCTGCTGCACATTTAGAACTGATATTCATCTTCATTGGCATACGGGCTTAAGGAGGATAAAATTGCACGTTGATAGCAAATTGATAGTTGAAAGTTACACATTGATAGTATACTTGTCATTAATTTTTCAAAAATGTCAAAGATCATAAAGGAAGATTCTGCTTTATACATAATCTATCTCTTTGCTGTTGAGCATTTGAAGACTCTTTAGAGCAAGTCTTCAGTGCTGTCAACAGAAGATAATGTATTAGCCTGTGATCTGAATGATGTTTAAAATCTTCTCTCCAATAGTATGCCACTAGATGTATTTTTTTAAATTTAAGCAGGAAGTGTAGGCAACTACAATTTTTAGAGGAAGTAATTTCTTTTTCAACCAGTTTACTGTTATTTCAGCTGTTTCAATTCAGCTTAGCAAATATTCATTGAGTGCATATTTTATAAGAATTGCAAAGATGAACATGACACAATTTTTAGATCACAAATTTATCAGCAGCTAAGAAACAATTATATATATAAATATATATAATATATATGTGCACACATATGACATCGGTCTTTCTGATCTGTTCTGAGAATAACATAAATTTTAATGAGTTTTACAATATGGAAATAGGTAATAGAATTATTTTAAGCTCTAATAGGGTAAATATTGATGGCTGTAAGCCATGTAAGCTAAAGCTCTTTGAATCCTCACTAATTTTTAAAAGTATAAAAAGGTTCTGAAACCAAAAAGTTTGAAAACCGCTGCCTTAAGGCATTCATCATACATAATAAAGTAACCTCACTTTTATGCATCTAAGATAAGAGAATAGAGAAAATAGTCCCTCAAATAATTTTCTGTCTTCTTCCAGAAACACAGAAATACAGTGCCATTGTTTGCCAGAATGGAGAATACAATTTATTTCAAAAAACTTTCTAGCACATGGCTAAAGTTCAAGAAATTTAGTTAGGAAAAATATATTGACTTGGAAAACAAATTAAATTAAGAAAACAAAACCTAGATGAGAAAGAGTGTGCTTCAGAACTTCTAACAATCCAAAACATACCCAGGTGTATTGTGGATTTATCGCTGCAAATTACATATAATAAATTTATTCTCATGGTTGAGGGAGAAGCCATGGGAGGATGTAAGCACATTGAGATCTGAATGTACTGTTCTAGTAGCTATCAATCGTGAGTATGAATAAAGATTATGTGAGGAATTTGTTTAAAATTCATGTTTGTCATCTTCAGAAATGTTAATTATGTAAGATCTAGGAATCTGTACTTTAACGAGCATCCCAAATGTTGCTGATGTAGGTTCTCTATAGATCATACTTTGGGAAACACCGTACTTAGCAAAACTGAGATAATAGTTTAATAAGATCGTGAGACTCAAATGCTGAAAAAAAAGTTATAAGTTGTGAAGGATTATTACTTTTAGTGTTTGTATCTAAGAAGAGGTAAGTACTAGACTGACATCAAAATGATGATGATGATCATCATCATCAGTGTACTTCTCATTAGAGAAGAATAATGAGATGAGTTGTTTGTGAGGTCATTTGTGGGGTTAAACTGAGTGACAGAGGCTCTGCAAGGAGGAAGGCTATTGTCGCTGCTTGTTCCTGGGAGATGACAAACCAGTCACTCTGGGAGAGGTGCAAAATAATTGCAATTGTTAAAAACCGGGTTTTTCCCCCTCTTTTAAGGATGTCTCTACTCCATCTGCTGCTATGTGTGTTCTCTGTTCTTCATTACTCCATGCAACAGGCAGGATCTATGAATATAACACAGAAAAACAGATTGAAACTGTCTCTTCACAAAGCCCCCTGAATGTGTGGGAAGCCCCTATAAATGTCTTGTCATCTCCTAATTTTTACAGCATACTTTATTAATCTGTGAAGAGAAAGAAGAAGAAAGCTGTCAAGAAAGAAAGGATGAAAATGTACAAATTGATATTTTAAAATAGCAAGCAAAATACATATGGCCTATATATACACAAAATATATGCAACACACACACATATGTATACAGAGTACTATGAAACTAGTTAAATCTAGTAGTAAAGTATAGATTTAAATCTAGTACTATACTTTAGTACTAGATTTTAAACCAAGTATTCAGAAATTCTACCTGAAAGGAGTAATTTTACATCCCTGGCTTTCTGCCTCCTTTCTAGCAATGATGTTCTTATTTACTTACTTGATAATTTAAAATTGTCAGTTTTATAAAATGTGGAATATAAACCCAATGGAATATCATTCGGTTTAAGGTAATCCTGCCATTTGTGACAACATGGATCAATGTGGAGGACATTATGTTAAATGAAAAAAGCCAGACACAGAAAGAGAAATACTGGATAATTTCACTTACATGTGGAATCTACAATAGTCAATGCCATAAAAGCAGAGAGTAGAATGGTAGTTGCCAAGGGAGAGAAGGAGGAAAAATCTGGGAGATGTTGTTTTAAGGTACAAAGTATCAGTTAAGCAAAATGAGTAAGTTCTGGAGATCTAATATATAGCATGGTAACTATAATCAACCATGCTGTGTTGTATGCTTGAATTTTGCTAATAGGGTAGACCTTAAGTATTCTCACTACAAAAGAAAAAGAAGAAGAAGAAAGGAATTGAATGTGGTGAAAATAGACAGAGAGAGAGAAAGAAGAAAGAAAGATAGAAAAGAAAAAAGAAAGGAAAGGAAAGGAAAAGAAAAGAGAAAAAAGAAGGGAAGAGAGGAGAAGAGAAGGGAAGGGAAGGGGAGCGGAGGGGAGGGGAGGGGAGGGGAGAAGGGAAGGGAAGGGAAGGGAGGGAGGGAGGGAAGAAGGAAGAAGGAAGAAGGAAGGAAGGAAGGGAGGAAAGAAGAAAAGAAGGAAGATTACTTTTAGAGAATAGGTTATCTAAAAATGTATTGAATCATGATGACCTAAACTTATTTTTTTTGAAGACTTAATGGCTGTTAATTTTAAAACCAAAGCTGGGCACGGAAATAACTCACTGAATATCTCAAAATCTTATAATATATTTAAAGACAGCTATTTACCTACTGCTTTACTCTATCAAGAGCTTGGGACTATCTCATAACTTTCAAAGCCTGCAAGAATGGTAATACTGAATAAAATACAGAGAATGCTAAATTTAGAGCCAGAAGTCTTTGCCCTTTCAATTACCCATTACCTTTTTCCTTTTTGAAATAAGAGTCAGTAAAATTCCCTGCACAGAATTGCACAAGAGAAAAGGAAAACTACAAAGCGCTTTTAAAATGAAAGGTATACTTGGTACTAAAGGGCACTGACAAACTTTCAAGAGTCCTGAGATAAGTTGCTGGTCTTCTTCCTTCTTTCACAATGGCAAAAAACTGTTTGAGTATAGGAATAACAGTGCTATTCTATAAATATTGATTAAGTTGAGGGCTGTAAACGATTGTAGCTAGAGCTGGATTAAGGAAAAAATGTCTTCTGCCTAAACAAATAGAATTGCATTTCATGGTACTCAAGATACAATGGTTATGCCAAAATTTCCTGTATATTTGGTTCCAGAATAAAAGATGGTCAAAAGGAAAGGGGTGCGTAAAGGAAAGTGCACTTTCTGTCCAAAGACATGTTCTCTGAGTGTGGAGTCATTCAAAATCAGAGTGGTAATATAGCATCATGATTATGGGAAGAGGCTCCAGAGACTATTCAATGAGCTCAAATTCTAATTCCAGCGTTTACTAGCACTGTGACTTAGGTCAAGTTCCTTAGTTTCTTGGGCCTTGAGTTTCTTTATTTAAGAAAAGAGTAAAATAATGCCTATTATATCAAGTGTTTGGGAGGATTCAGTGAAAGAATACAGGAAAAGTGCTTATCAGCTAACAGAGTTATAAATGCTCAATAAATTATCATATTATTCTTAAACTTTAATCTCACATGGCACTGGTTGTCACTTCACCTTGAAAAACAGTTTCCTCAGGCAACCTTTTATGAATGGGCAATGTCCCAAGGCATCTACAGTCTGTAGCGTTCCTACAAGGAGAAGTGTTTTTCATAATCAATGTTATTAAATAATTATTCATGAGTGGTATTTAAAAGTCTCTGAAAACTAGATCTGAGACAATCTTGCATCAAAGCAAGTTCTATGATTCATATCTGAATAGATAAAATATAGAGAAAATTGTCATATCTGAATAGACAAAATATAGATAAAATTGTGAAGATTATTAAGTCAAGAACTTATGCTCTGTTTCAGAGGTTTTTATGCTGAAGTTCATGGGAAGGTTACTCTGAAAGATTCATGAATCCTTTGACAGTGCATGCAAAATACTGCAGATATGAATGTTTGACAATTTCTCATGAAAAGCAATTAAACTTTTCATTAGATTCTCAAAAGGCTTTATGACACAAAAAAGGTTAAAAAATCTCTGGCCTAGCCTAATTTTACAAATTTTCCCACCTGTGTCTGGATTGGTGTAAGCAATAGTGCTGAGAAATGCAAAAATGTTTTAGCATTCCTTGGAATGCTATACTTATTATCTAGTTCAACGTGAGCAAGATAAATGCTTAGCACATATTCTGCCTCTCAAAGGCTTTAAACTGAGTTGGAACACTATATATATACACAAAATAATTAACTATATCAAGTGATTATGATTATTATGATTAAATGTTAAAATTGAAGGAAAATATAAAAGGGGTAAGGGTGTAGTAAGTCATTGAAGGGGATGGGGAATGAAGCACAGCCATCCCTTGGTGGCTATGGGGATTTGTTCCAGGACCCATGCAGGCACCAAAATTTGCAGATGCTCAAGTTCTTATGTAAAATAACCTAGTATTTGTAATTAACGTATGCACATCCTCCCATAAACTTTAAATGATTGCTAGAGTGCTTGTAATATCTAATACAATGCCTACACTTCATTTCATTTGCATAGATTCAACATGGAATTTTTTCTTAATATTTTCAAATCCACAAATGCCAAGCCCACAGATACAGAGAACAGACTGTAATTAGGAAAGCTGTTGCAGAGGAGAAAAATTGAGTGGGGACAATGATAAATAGATGGAAGATAGTTTTTTGAGAGGACAGTGATGGCCCTCTTAGACAGTACAAGTAAAGATTTAAATCCAAAACAAAAGTCACCGGAAAAAAGAAGTGACTCTGGCCTAGCTTAATTGTGAAGAGCATACTTAAGGTATGTATAATGATTTGACTAGGTAGAGAAGATCTAGATTTTGAGGAGCTCATTATAATACTTAATAATTTTTGGCTTAAAGTGTTAAGGAGCAGAAGTTGCTGAACACAAGACTTGTAAAGGGGAAAAACAGTATTTAAGAGAATAGAACATGGTTGGAATGTGAAGAATAAACAATTATTCCTGAGAGAGGGAAGTCTGGAGTAAGTTAAGAGAGTGGCATTTTTCAGGAGTGTTCATAATTTATCCAGTATATAATGTATTATGCAATACATTTATGTGTTTCTGTAAGGTTTGGAGTTCTCAAGCTGCTATATCAGTTCAGAGTACAGCAGATACATGTAAGATGGCAAACAGTTCATCAGTTGAAAGACAACTTGACCGTAAGTGATGGCAGTCTCCAACGGACTGTATGCTGCAGATCACTAACAAAGCCTTGAAAAAAGGCCTTTTTGGAGGAGGATGTGTAACTCTTCATTGATTTCACACACATCCAGGAGTCAAGCAATACCAAAAAAAGCCTTGTCCCAACATTTGATATCATCCAGAATAGTAAAAGAACACTACTGTTTTGTCTGTGAATATTATGTGGCATTATCCAAAAGTCACCTTGCCTTTCCTCTCAAGTCCCCCACCTTGACAGAATATCAGCTTTCAGAAGATTAAATTATCATGTGTTCAAAAGTTTAAAAACAACCATGAAACTAAGGTTTTAAACCGTCTCTTTTTTTTCTGCAGCTTCAAATGTTTTAATAACTTAATTCATCTCTTTCTCCTGCCTTGCTTACTTTGAGTAATAGACCACTGTCTTGCACCTTTTCAAAGATTATTCTCTACCTTTATCTCTTGATCACATTAGGACTATAAGCCATCAATAAGCACCCCAGCAGCTCCTACTCTCAGTATCTTCCTTTTGGAAAATTTTCCTCTCCTCCTACAAATATGCTAAGATTCTAATATTCCATTATTCTCTTTATTTTCATTGCCATTTAAAAGAGTGTGCACTTAGTGTCTCTACCTTCTTATTGATCATGTCTATCTTCTTCCTGGTTTCTTACCCCATCATTATCATCGTATTGATGTTTCCAAATTTTTTGATAAAAGGAACATACAACAGTTCTCTTCTTGTAGGATGATGGCATATAAATCCCACAGGAAGGAAATATGAAAAGGAGGAAAGATTTCTCATACAATCCATGCCAAACATTGTGTATTTTTGCATAACCTTTCTATACTTGAACATTTCCTAAGTTATTTACTTTTCCCAAAAGACTGAATATCTTTTCTGGAAAATGCATACGTATCACCCAAATTTCCTTAATTTTAAGTTAAACTTTCTCAACTTTAAAATAACCTACCTTAAGGGGTGGATACAGAGGCACAATTTAACCCACAACAGCTGGTTTTCCTTCCTCTTTTCTCCCTCTCTTTCTTTTTTTTTTCCTCTCTTTTTATCTTTCTTTTCTTTCTTTCTTTCTTACATGTTACTGAAAGCAATTTCTTCTCCCGTAATCCCTGCCTCCCAATGCTGCTATCTCTCTGTTAGCTGGGCTTGTGGGTAAAAACAGTGAGTCACAGATTATAATTATGTTGATCTTTTCAACTGGTTTAGTAAATTGAGTTCAGCAGATTAAATTCTGAGTAAATTACTGGTTTGTTTAAATTAATCAGCCAATTTGGGCAAAAAGGTCAATATGGTTGTAGATATAAACCAATATAATTTTAAAATAATAATGTATTTACCTTTTTGATAGTTCTCTTAAATAATGAATTTGATTTTCTTTAACTTTTAAGTTTTCTGGTAGCTTGAATAAATTAAACTTGGTAGGAACCTGACGCAGTCAAAGGATGAAGAATTCTGATGTTTCCATTCTGATTCTCTGTTGTTGTTTTTGTTGTTGTTGTTGTTGCTGTTGTTGTTGTTAGGAAACAAAACAATATATTTAGCCTCTCGTTTTCAACTTAAATTGAGGATAACTGTAGACCTTGATGGGGAAAAGATAAACTCATAAATAACTATTTGCTAGTTATAGATCTGACAAATGGACTTTTAAAATATTAATCAATGGTACATATAAGCAAGAGCAGTTTTTGTTTAGTAAATCTGTGCTCCCTGATTCTTATTCAACTTACAAATTGTCCAGAAACATTTCACTATTTCACGTGGCCCTTGTATTTCTTTTCCAAGTAGTTGACTCTCTCTTTCATACTAGCTAAAAGCCAGATATAGAGATTTATTTGCTTAAAATAAAAAAAAAATGTCATCTATTTTGCTGATATTCCATTCGTCTAAATAACAGCCATTATCATCCATTGTTGTATTAATGATGATTCAGTCACATGGTGACTTACATCTAAAGGGGTCTGCCATAAATGTACTCATTAACTTAAAACAATCTGTTTTCTCCCAGTTCAAGAAACACAATATGTTATGTATTCACAAGCCTAAATATTAAAGAGTAACTTCCTGTGTTTGTCTACAGGTATAATAGGTACACTGTTAAATAGATGATGAATTAAGGTGTACTGCAAGCCATGGAGCTGTTTCAAAGTTAGGCACATCCCTGGGCTAAAGAAGGCACATAAAGATCTTTAAGTATTTTTATGTGACTTCATGATTTTAGTTCCAAGGCCTTTCATTTTTATCACCAATGAGAAATAAAACGTCCTTTTGAGTTAGAGTTTGCAAAAATTTTAGCTTCTTTTTATATCCCTACTGGTTCCTCTAATATATCAATGTTTTTAAATGTTTATGTCTTCATTAATATAAAAATAATGCATCTAAGTTTAAGAAAATTTGAAAATATAAAAATATAAGAATCACATTTATTATTATCCATAATCCTACCACCAAAAAATTATAATCAAATTGATCACTGGTATAATTTTCACCCTGTGATTAGAGCCAGTTCTACAGACTGTGGGAACCAGAGCAAGTCAACCATTGTGTTGACTTCTTTCATTCAAATATTTGAACATGGATAAAATCTACTTTATAATAACTGTACAGGGAAGCATTAAATGGACCACAAAAACTCTAAAGGAAGTGATCTTTATGAGCAAAAAGTAGAGGATGCATAATGGATAAATTAATATCACTTTTTCACATAAAACCTGAGGTTTCCTTTCAGTAGTTGAGAAGTTGGGTTTGAGTCAGATAAAAGGGAAAGAGTCTTAAGCTGATGCATTGTGTCAGCAGAAGCCACTGTAAATTGACAGACTCTTCTAGCCATAAGAATAATCCAATGCCAATTTGACAGGGAGTCTCCACAGAAATTCAATCAAAACCAGAAATTGCAGTTATTACACCTGGATAATACCTGCTAATTTGCTTTTCCTACATGCAAAATGATTGTGAAACAAAATTACTGAATTCAAAAAACTTAAAAAACATCAACAGACAAAATTTTTTGTTTAGCTTAACATGACTTTATTTTCTCCAGAAGTGTGTGTTTATAGATAAACAATCTCTTGATTCTGACTTGCAAAAACACCCAAATTCAACCTCTCTGAATTTGTTAAGGAGGAGCAACATCATATACTGCAGCTTTTTTTCCAATACAGAGGAAGTCCTCAATAAATGTTTTGAGTGAATAATGAGATTACAGGGGGTACAGAGATGATACTGAATCACCAAGCTTCTTAGTTACAAACTGCAGAAATGAAATATCTATGGAGAAAATGGCATTTTTGGGGAGGGTACCAGGAAGCTCACAAAATCGACTTCAGCCTTGAAACCCAAAGTCAAGAAACAAATCCTACCAAAGCAAGCTGATGTCACAAGCAAATAATACCATAAGAATATTCTAGTTTATAAAAATGCCACTACTGCTGTCACAAACATGCCCCAAGTTTTCAATTCCCATGCATTCTGCATAACTGCCTTCGAAATTCTCTAAGTTCTAGATATGAGAATCCAACTGATCAAGCCGAAGTCATAGACTTTAACCTGGCAAATGGCTGAGGACAAGGATTGGAAATATCTGCCCCAATGTGAGACTCAACAGTAGGAAACAAGGCTCTTATTTTAAAATTCCTTCAAAATAGAGTCTTGGATGTGGGTAGCCAAAAATGACAAAATAAAAGTAATATTGCACTTACTGTGTCCCTACTGTGTCTCAGGCTTTGTTTGTAATTTTTTACTCAGTAACATTATGATCCTTACTGTGACTTCATTATGACTTTGCAAAGTCATTATTATTTGTATGTTTTAGAGAATAAAACCAATTACAGAATTTGTTACTTGCCCAGATTCACACATCAAGTCAACACTGTAGTTAGGATAGGAAACTAGGCAGTCTGGATTCAAGGTCTGAGGCTCTAAGCATTGATCTATACTGAAGGCTCCAAAATACTCCTAAACATCTCCCTTCCCTGCTTGTTATAATCCCTGAAGATTCAGCATGCATGGTTGTAATCCTCTAATAAAAACCTTTATTGATCTATCAAAATATCCATACAAGTGACCCATCTATACCATGAAATATGTTTACCACCTTTAAAACTAAAAAGGTAAAACTGATATTCCAAGACACGTGGTGAAGCTTTTGAAGTATTATAACATTGATATTATAAAATCAGAAATACGTATATGAGAACATATTTATGTATAAATGTTTAGAGGGAGACCAGAAAGATGAATATCAAACTATCGCCAGGAGCATAAGAGTGAATGGATGGACATTCACACTTACTTTACGTAGTTCTGTACAGTATGAATAAGTTAAAAAAACTTTAGATTTTATCATCTAAAAACTATGAATATATGTAATTATTTATATTTCTATTAGGAGAAGCAGTTTTTCTAGGATGTAAGTAATACCTGAAAGACAGTAGAAAAGCACTAAAACCAATTTAGCTGAAGAAAAAGAATGACAGTTTTAGAGTCAGACTGACTGACTTTCATTTTAATGTGGATACTGGAATTTTCTAAATGGCATTAGACTTCAACAGCCATTTCATGTCTTAGTTTTCCCATTTGTATAATGACAATAAGAGAAAAAAATAAAAAGCCCTATCTTGCTGCACTGTTTTAAGGATTATAGTTAGCATGGGTAAAGAGTCTGGCAGGTATCAGATGCCAGTAGGTTAAAAATGCCACCAAATGCTTACTCTGAAGACACATCTGTGCCTAAGGCTCAGCAAGCTGAGGCATGCTGATAAACTATAGTGGGGAATGAGACCAAGTTCTGAAAAAAAAAAAAGAAATAAAGATCTGTCATATTTTCTGGGAAGCTCTTCAATTCCAACCTTATCTTTGAAAAGCAGCTTGCTCAAGACCATGTCTGACTTATGTGACTTCCCCTTCACTTAAGCTGTGTACTCCCATGGGCCCAACTGCCAGGACACTAATCAGGCGGGGTCTCTCTGGAACCCACACACAGGTTTCTGTCCCCCGCTCTCCTCCTCCACCACCTACCCCTTCTCTAGCTCCTTCTTCTCTTTTGTTCTTTATTTTATTTTGCGTAGTGGTTACCACAGTCATTTATTATTAGTAAAATTAGGAATATATATTTGGGACAAAATCCTCTCTTGGCAAGGCTGTGTAGAGAGAATATTTCAAAATTAAAACTCTTGTCTACCTTGACCAAGTAACGAAGATTGATGTCACCAATAGTAATGCATATTTATATTAAGTACCCCCGATAGGATGTGATGAGAAGGGCATTCCACCTCTGTAATCATCAACCCAAAAATGTATAACCCCAGTCCAATTATGAGAAAATATCAGCAAACCCCAACTAAAGAATATTCTACAATATATCTGACTAGTACTCTTCAAAAGAGTCAAGATTCTGAAAGACAAGGAAAGACTGAGGAACTGTCATAAAATATAGGAGACTAAGAAATTGTGGTGACTAAATGCAGTGTAGGACCCAGGATTGCACTCTGGAACAGAAAAAGGATTCTAGTGAAAAGTCTGGTGTTTAGTTAATAGTATTATAACAATGTTAATCTCCTGATTTTTATCATTATACTATGATTATGTTAGATGTTAGCATTACAGGAAAGTGAACATAGGGCAATAAGAGACTCTCTGTTATCTTTGCAATTCATTTGTAAATCTAAAATTATTCAAAATAAAACATTTAAAAATGTTGTCTGATTGCTAATGTTTTGGTTTTTTGTGGGTTTTGCAGTTGTTCGTGTTGTTTATTTGATTGGTTTTTGAGACAGAGTCTCATTCTGTTGCCCAGGTTGGAGTGCAGTGGCATAATCACAGCCGACTGCAGCCTCCACCTCCCAGGCCCAATTGGTCCTCACCTCAGCCTCCTAAGTAACACAAGTGTGTGCCACCACTTTTTTGTTTTTCTTTGTATTTTTTTAGAGATAGGGTCTCACTATGTTGCCCAGTCTGGTCTTGAATTCCTGGGCTCAAGCAATCCTCTCACCTCAACCTCTCAAAGTGTTAGGATTATGGAGTGAGCCACCGTGCCTGGCTTGATTCCTAAAGTTGATGAGCTATAACCAATTTTGATGACTTTATTGCCTAAATAGTATTTCTTCATTTTCACAATTCATCGTACTTATACAAAGGCTTTAATTTTAATCCAAAACACTGCCCCATCTATTATCACCGTATTTCTCTTTAATAACTTAGTTTTTTTTATCTCTTTAAAATGTATAAAGTGCCTTTATATACACTCTCTCACCTAATCTTACAACAACTGTTTCAGGTGGACAAAGCAAGAATCCTCACTGCCACATTAACGATGAGAAAAATAGTGAAAAAGACAGTTTAAGAGATTTACTTTATGGTATATGAGTTAGTGACAATCTTAAGGAGAACATGGTTTGGTGCAATTCAATAATCCTTTTTTAAAAAAGAGCAAAGAATCTGAATAGACAGTTCGTCAAGAAAGATATACTATACAAATGGACAAAAGCACACAAAAGATGCTTGTCTTCATTAGTTGTCAGGGAAATTAAGATCAAAACCACAAGAACACATCACTTTACACCCACCAGGATAGCTAGAATTAAAATTAAAAAAAATATTGGTGAAGAGGTGAAGAAATCAGAACCATCATACACTTTGGGTGAGAAGATAAAGAGAAAAGTCACTTTTGAAAATTGTCGGCAGTTCTTCAAATGATTAATTTTCAAGTTACCATAGGATCCAGCAATTCTACTTACTATATGTTCGAGAAAAATGAAAACATATGTCTACAACAAAAACTTATACATGAATGTTTCTATCAGCATTATTTATAATAGCCAAAAGTTGAAAATAATCCTAATGTCTGCCAAGAAAAGGATGAATAGACAAATGTGTTATAGCCATATAACGAAATATTATTTGGCCATGAAAAGTAAAGAAGTACTGATAGGTGCTACAAATGGATAGATCTTGAAAACATTATGCTAAGTAAAAGAAACCTACCACAAAAGACCTCATACTATTTGATTTCACTCATACGATAGTCCAGAATAGGGGACTCGATAGAGAAAGGGTAGATTTGTGGTTGCTTAGGGCTAGGAAAAGGGTGTAGGAATTGCTAAAGAATATGGGAGTTTTTTGAGGTGATGAAAATGTCTAAAATTGACTGTGGTAATAGCAAAGACATGGAATCAACCTAGATGCCCATAAATGGTGGACTGCATAAAGAAAATGTGGTACATATACATCATGAAATACCACATAGCTGTAAAAAGGAATAAAATCATGTCCTTTGCAGCAACGTGGATGCAGCTGGAGGCCATTATCCTAAATGAATTAATACAGGAACCAAAAACCAAATACCACATGTTCTCACTTGTAAGTGGGAGCTAAATATTGAGTACACCTGGATACAAAGAAGGGAACAATAGACACCAAGATCTGTTTGAGGGTGGAGGGTGGGAGGAGGGTGAGGACTGAAAAACTACCTATCAAGTACTATGCTGATTACCTGGGTGACAAAATTATCTGTACACCAAACCCCCATGACATGCAATTTATCCTTAGTAAAAACCCTGAACATGTACCCCTTGAACCTAAAATAAATGTTGGGAAAAAAAAATAAGATGACAAACGGGCAAAATCTACAAACACATAATTCATAAAAGAAACACGGATGCCTAATAAATACATGAGAATTTTGTAAATGTACTGTGGTGATGCTTAAACATATCTGTGGATGTACTAAAAACCATTGAATTGTATGCTTCAAATGGGTGAATTGTATGGTGTGTGAATTATATCTCAATAAAGTTGTTTTGAAAAATTAAAATTAAAACATTATTTTCCACAATGAGTCAAGTCAGAAATAAGTGAATAACTCAAGATGCTCAAATCTAATAGATGAAGTAATTAATAATTGTGTAAAAACTGTGGTCTAGATATTCTAATTCTTAAACCACGAATTTTTTTTACATGTAATATAAATCATCAGCTGAGTAGTCAGGCAATTATCCCCATTTTCAAAGCAGGAAAGCAACACATATGGTCTATAGAAGATCCATTTCTGTTTTTTGTTTTTTGTTTTGTTTTGTTTTGTTTTGTTTTTGAGACGGGGTCTCACTCTGTCGCCAGGCTGGAGTGCAGTGGCACAATCTCGGCTCACTGCAACCTCCACCTCCTGGGTTCAAGCGATTCTCCTGCCTCAGCCTCCTGAGTAGCTGGGACTACAGGCATGCACCACCACACCCAGCTAATTTGTGTGTTTTTAGTAGAGACGGGGCTTCACCGTGTTGGCCAGAATGGTCTTGATCTCGTCTCCCTCTCCTGACCACGTGATCCGCCCACCTCGGCCTCCCAAAGTGCTGGGATTACAGCCTTGAGCCACCACGCCTGGCCCATTTCTTCAGTTCAACAATACCAGACCAAGACGAAAGAAAAGAGAGAAGGAAATATTAGCCATGTACTTAATGAAACACTACCTTCAGCACAATCCTGACACTTTCAAGGCTCTGTTCATCCTTGCTACAGGTAAGCTGTCTCATTCTGAAAATTCTGGAAGTGTAAATAGTGAAGAGTAACCCACAAAAAAGGGGATGCCTTTACAGAATGTAAACTCTAGCTCAACACTTACACGTTGTGATGATCACATTTGAAAACACTTTGTGCCTGATCTTTGGTTGATGGCATTTGTTCATTTAATATGCATGTGGAGGTAAAGAGTGAATCTCTTTCCAGCAGATAAACTACATATATATGTGCATACAATTATATATAATCATATATAATTACATTTAAATATGTAACATGTTATATATAATATACTTATACACATATAACAGTCCCCAACAGAAAAAAGATGTAGTTTCAATATTCTCAATTTTAAAAGTACATACATATATTTTTTCTCGGTCTACAAAGTTTGAAATTCATATCAATTTTAGGGTTCTGTAATTAAGACTAAGTTTGGGACTATCTATTGACTATCTAAATGGAGACACACAAAGGTTCTCTATGATGTAGATCTCTCCTAGTTGAGAAAAAGAGTGATCCAAGTAGAAAAGTTGATATCATCATTTGATAGTACTTTCCAAGTTAAAGTAAAATAAAAAACTGTAAACAGAAAATAGTTTTAATTTTTCTTTTTTTTTTTTTTTAGAGACGGAGTCTCACTCTTTCTCCCAGGCCGGACTGCAGTGGCGCTATCTCAGCTCACTGCAAGCTCTGCCTCCCGGGTTCACGTCATTCCTGCCTCAGCCTCCCGAGTAGCTGGGATTACAGGCGCCCGCCACCGCGCCCGGCTAATTTTTTGTATTTTTAGTAGAGACAGGGTTTCACCGTGTTAGCCAAGATGGTCTCAATCTCCTGACCTCGTGATCCACGCGCCTCGGCCTCCCAAAGTGCTGGGATTACAGGAGTGAGCCACCACGCCCGGCCAGTTCTAAAAGTTTTAATTCCCTTTTTATGTTTCAGAAGTTTCTTTGATATTGTCAGTACCTTGAGATCAGTGTGAGCATAAGTTATCTCACATAGAAAAACAGTATGGGGTATATGAGATATCTTGCTACAAGCAATTATGTAGCCATATAAATAAATAAATAATAAATGGTTATAAAAAGAAAAACAATATGGTATAGCTGAAAGAAGTTAAATTTAGGAAATTGGGCAAACCTGTATTCATTATGGCTCTGCCATCTACCCGATGTGCAACTTTGAACGAGTTGCTGAAACTCTCTGAGCCTCAAGCTTATCATCTCTCTATAGAGTTCTCTTTTAACTTGGACGAGTTAGTTTTGTTGTCTTTGCTAAAGATTACTTCAGAGGCGCTCTAGCTCTTCTTCTGCAAAGTTAATCACATGAAAAGTGAAAAATCAACTTGTCTAAAGAATACAGGGGCCTCCTGGGAAGATTTTAACTGATATTCTTCAACATCTCCCTGGAATTCAGAGTTAACACAATTCATAGACATAAACTAATATGTCCGTGAGAATTACCAGGGGCAAGAAATGATAGGAAGCCTCCTGAGACTGAATAAAAAGAGAAATAAAGCTGTTGGCCATAGTTAAAACAGGCATTTTTAACCTGGAGTTCTAT
The DNA here is from genome assembly GCF_000001405.40 of Homo sapiens. Lineage (NCBI taxonomy): Eukaryota > Metazoa > Chordata > Mammalia > Primates > Hominidae > Homo > Homo sapiens. The sequence goes on along the minus strand of NC_000006.12, from coordinate 49,641,230 downwards.
AAATATAATTCAGATGGTCCATATATTTAAATAGGGAAACAACAGTGCATTTAACTGAAATGTAACATTTTTTCTATTGTGAATGTAGAAAATAAACAACAGCATCATTAATAGTATTGATAACTGCCACTAATATAAATCACAAATAATTTTCTCTCTTTTACTTTTTTCAGATATCTCAAAATATTATTTACACTCATTACTTCAACTTGGAAATTATGCTCATTATTAGACATGCCACAAGATTTATTTCATCCATTATAGAGAAGCACCTATATCAGACAGTTGGGTATAGGTGCTTCTTTTATATTACAGTATTTTGATCGGTGTATTTCAATAGAACTGGTTTCCTTGGTAATCCAATGTATTTTATTTTGTGCATTTAAAATCTATTTTGATATGGGATTCAGAGGCTTGTGCCAAAAGTGTCCATAGCACAAAAATGTTAAGGGTCCCTAGCTTAAGGTAAGTTCCAAAGCCTTGGGCAGCTGCTTTGGAAATGCTAGTGCTGATTTCTCTGGTCCCGTAACCCTGCTCAATTCCAGTGTTCTGTGAAATAATGCTGAGTGCCACCAGGTAGCTGAAAAGAAAGCCCTAGGGGAGGGCACAGGGCCATCCACCATAGATCCGAGAAGTTGCAAAGAACCTTTATGGGAAGAAAGACCTTTTCTTTCACCAGATCCCCTATGGCAGCAAGAAATGTTTGTGTCTGCTCCTCACTTGGGAAGAGAAGTTGGACTGGCCATCCTATTAGACTAAATAAAACCCATGGTCTCTTTTTGGAAGGAAAACATTAAAGAAGCACAAAAAGAGAGTCACTGGACCTCATACCAGTATGGCAGTTGGGTGCTTAAGTAGCTACACATATAAACCAACGGAACAAGTTATGTTTGCAAAGTATAAAAATATATCAAATTGCAGGCCAGGCACAGTGGCTCACACCTGTAATCCCAGCACTTTGGGAGGCCAAGGTGGGTGGATTACCTGAGATCAGGAGTTTGAGACCAGCCTGCCCAACATGGTGAAACCCCGCCTCTACTGAAAATACAAATATTAGCTGGATGTGGTGGTGCACGCCTGTAATCCCAGCTACTCAGGTGGCTGAGGCAGGATAATCACTTGAACCTGGGAGGTGGAGGTTGCAGTGAGCCAAGATCGCGCCATTGCACTCCAGCCTGGGCAACAGAGCAAGACTCCGTCTCAAAAAAATAATAATAATATATGTGTGTGTGTATAAAATTGCAGTGGGACTAAACAAGGTGGGTAAATAGCCACCTAACACAGTGTCCAGAACAGAAAATGCTTAAGGTATTTTAGTACCTTCATCTTCCTAAATACCTCCCACCCTCCCACCACCATTACAAATACACAAAGGTAGAGAGAAAGAGACAGTTTAAAACAGTGGTGGTCCTGTTTCAATTATTCTTTGCTATTAAAAATAAGCAAACTCAAATTAAAATTCCAAATAATAACAATTAGCTACGTTTTACATATATTCAGAAAATAAGGCAAAGAAACTGTTTCTTTCCTAAAGTCACACAGCAAGTTGAGGATCAAAGATCCCTTGTAGCCCACTGGCTCCTGCATTAACCCAGGAATACTTCGTTTGTATCTGTGTATTTAGCTGGGAAGTTGAAGGTTCATTTGCTTGGTGTGTGTTTTATTTTGTTTGGTTTGGTTTGCACAAGAACGTGGCTTACCCATTCATGATTCTTTCCGATTTTACCTCTTTTACTGAAGGCACTAGAAGAAAGCCATCCTGTAGTTTCATAGGCAGACAAGGCAACAGATAAATCATTTCCACTTTAGGACACCCACACCCTCAGCCTATTGTCTTTGTGATTCAGAACTGTCAGGAAAGAGATTTCTAAAAAGCTGTTGAAATCTTCAGGTTCACACTACCATATGTTGGTCTGCCAGGAATTTGGCCCTCCCAAGCTTCATGGCTTGAGCTTGATCCTCCCTTTTGTTCTAGGCGCAGAGAACCTGATGATAAGCCCTCACTGATTGAAATAATGAGAGAGTAGACAGCAGTATGAAAGCTACTGTCAGGATTCTAAATATTTATAATTTAAAATGAAATTTATTAGAGTAAAGCTGTTCCTCTCTCCCTTCCTCACACCGCTGACCTGCCTGCTGAGTGTTTCTCCCTTCAAGTCTGCCCTTAATTCAATTCACTCAAATGATGTTTATCAATTATATATTGTGCTAGACATGGTATTATTCATTCTAGATAACAAATGAGGTGCAAAAGAGACACAGCCCCTGTCCTGGAGCTAACAGGCCAGTAAGGGAAACGGCCATTCTTAAAAATTACATATAAATACAAACACTACATAAATACAGCACACACAGCCAACTGTACTAATTGCAAAGAAAAGACCACAATTCAATGAGAGATAATAGTGGAAACCTGGTTCAAGATGGGAGATCAATGAAGGCTTTTCTGAGGAAGTATCATTTTATCTGAAAACTGAAGAATGATGGATGATGTATATAGGACAGGGAGCAGAGAATATGTGGGAAGATTTCCAGTTACAAAGAGAAGCTTATGTGAAGAACTGAACAAGAGAAATAATTTCCCAGATGGTAGACAATGCAGCTTATTTCAATACAAATGTCTACATTCAGAATAAGGCAAAAAATCTGAATTCCTCGAAGTTGAACAGGCTGAAGTCAAGTGCTGGCATAGTCCCATCACCTATATGAGTAAAATCCTCTACTCCCCATGTGTTGAGTGGTTGCTGAGCTGCTGGAAATGTCCCAGAGAAAGAGAGATGCCATCGGTCTTGGATTGTTTAATATACTGTGTCACTTTTTATTAAAGAGTTTAAAACCGCATTGGTTTATGATATTGTTTAGATGTTCTTGCAATTTATTATTTGATACTTGGTTTTCACAAGTTTATGCATAGTTTATTAACATATACACTTTTCATTTAGGATTTGTTGGAGTTCTCATGAACACTCTTTAGGCTGCTGCAAAACCAAAAATTAAAGTGTGAGATGTACACATGTATTTTCATAGCTAAGCATGTGAACCCACTCCTCTTGTACTATGCTGTAACGAATAATGGAAATAGTCATTTTTCAAAGTGTCTGTATATTTATAAAATTTCAAATATCACTTAGTCCTAACATATCATGTTCTACTGTGGAAAATCATACCAGAAAGACCAAAAAATCCTGCTGCTTTGTTTTATAAATATTTATTACAATGTATGTATCCTGGCAGTCAGTTGCACTCTCTCTCCAAATTCTGCATAGAATCTTTTGGAAATTGGGCTTCATGAAAGAAATTGTATTTAACTGGTAGCTCTTAGTTCTCAAAAACAGGTTTATTCTGCCATGAGAACAATTCCAAAGAGGAGACAAGAATTCCTCCACCTATATGGTAGTTTTGAATTGCTTAGCATCTTATTTACACTTGACTATCTATAAGGATGATAGATTAGTTATGTTCCTGTTTAAGTTTACTCTCTTCCTATTTAAGACTAAAAGATATATCACAACTCATTTGTGTATTTCCATATTTTCACTTGCGTAAATCAGAGTAAGGAGTCAAAAACTTCATAAGTACATAAAACTGCTTACAGTCCTATATATTCCCCATTGCTCATGGGATAATATTTAGCATCTAGCATCCTCGGTACTGAATGTGAGGGTCTTTACAACACAGCCACCTCCATGACAACATTATCTCTGCCACTTCCTCCTTTTCTCTTCATCTCTTTTACATTCCAGCTTTGCTTGACTGATTGCCGTTTCCAAAACATGCCATGTTCTTCCAAGATTTATATCATTCCCTCTTATCTGTTTTACTTGAAAAACCCTATTTATGTTCTAGTTCTCACATCCATATTGTTTTATATGCTAATGTTCTTGGCCTAAGGCAAAAAGTTTCACTGCCTTATTTATGTTTTATAATACTTTTATAACCACTATTATATCACATATTTGTTTTTATATAATCATTCACTTATATTTATGTTTTCCCAACTAGATTCTTAATTTTCTCAAGAAGTTAACAGACCAATTATATATATTGCTTTAGATTCATGCCTTCTACAAAGCCTACCACAATATTTGGTATACAATAAGCCCTCAAGAAATGTCTACTGAATTAAGTTAAACATGATTCTAGAGGCCTGTGCAATAGATTGTTGGCATCATCCAGGTTCTCACAATTTCATTGCATATTCTTCAGATCAACATTTAGAACGACAATTAGATTACAGAGCATAATTTTCCCCAATGGGTGGGGCATTTTAATCAGTCTTGCCCATTTTTTTTTTCTTGTGATGTCATTGGGGTGCCTTGAACATGCAGTCAAATTCCACACACAGAGCAGTCCTTTGTTCTTATCAACATCTCACAGCCTGTGAAGCTCTCAGTGTGCCTCTGTCCTTTGCCACAAACATGAGGTTCACATTCCCTCTCATGGCTATAGTCCTGGAAATTGCCATGATTGTTTTATTTGGATTATTTGTTGAGTATGAAACGGACCAGACTGTTCTCGAGCAGCTCAACATCACCAAGCCAACAGACATGGGCATATTCTTTGAGTTATATCCTCGTGAGTAGGCAATTTACTACTTACTATACATTTTTCGGTTCTTCGGTTTCTCAGAATGTAAAACAATTGAATACTATAAACCCTTGAGCTCTTTGTAGAATTATATGATGGTTATGAGTGCTAAGGATATTACATGTTTGTGATGTGACATCTGGTCTTCTTCTCTGTGATTAAGGTGCTTGGTTGGAACTTTTTCCTATTAAAATATCAGAACAAGAAGCTGAAAATTAAAATAATTGATGCCTTTTGTATTGCTTATCTACTGCTAAATGACCTTTTTCCTTCAGTTGGTCACTAGTTCTGCAAAGAAAAGTATCACGCTTCCTTTGCATTCCCCACTGAAAGGGCCAAAGGTAACTTTGGAGGAGAGAGAGTTCTAAGAATGGAGTTATAAGAAGGGAACCCTAGATTTCATGTGAGGACCCTAAGGAATAAGAAGGGGTATTTAGTATGATGTAGGAAGTTAATGGAGTTTTAATCAAAAAAGTGTACTCAGAGTTTTACAATATTCTGAAAGGAAGTCGGTTTGTTACTTTGAGATGAAAAGAAATGTGTGAATACTTAACATATTTTAAAAACAAAATCCTTCCTTGGGAATGATGATTGAGCAAAGAGAGAAATTTAATTCAAGTTTGGAAGGGTAGGCTGTAAAATAGTTAATATAACAATAACTACCATTTACTGCGTCCTTATTATAAACCAACACATCCATTACCTCATTAGCCAGGAAGGAAGACAGTAGTATGTCACTATTATATAGACTATTTGCTTTTCTTAAGTAAGGTTCAAATAATCTAAAAAATTTAAAAATTATTTAAAATGGTATAATGTTTATTATACTTCATAGCATATGTCTAAGCTTTTTAAAAAACAATTTGACACCCTTTTTTTTATTCCAACATTTTTTGAGGGAATTAATATGATGGGGGTATTCCCATGTAGAAATAATGGCCTAGAGTTGCTAAGTGACATAGGAAAAATATAAAATTGAAAGCTAAGGACAGAGTTAGGGTAATAAGACAGAGAAAACTAGACTCCAAGTCTAGCTGTCTTTACACTGCATAGATGTCTGAGAGGGTTCTTGATTAAATAAGTTTTATAGTTTGCAAGTTAGAGAATAAAACAGAAAAAATTCTGTTCATCTATGTATGCTTTTGTACATTTCATTCATTCATCCATTTATTCATTTAGTACATATTTTATTAAGCACTAAGCATGTGCTACAGCAAATTTATTAAAAAATAAAACAAATATGATTCTTTTATTCTAAGACTCCACTATCTGATACACTTGTAAACAAAGAGATGCAATACAATGTTAAAAATGCCAAAAATATGATCTAAGATTAATATGATTTAAATAAAGTTATCTTAAGACTTTAAGAGCTTAATAATTGTATCATTCAAGCTGAACTTTCTAAGTCCCAGCATCAAAGCTTCTAGGTAAAATTTCAATTCACAATTTGAGATCAACACCAGGTTGAAGGAAAGTCACTAAACATGGTCATTTTTCAGTAGCCTAGCTATAGATGTATAATTTTTGGACATCTAGTGTGCAACATAATGATGATAGTTAACAATACCGTATGGATATTTGTAATTTGCTGAGTGGATATTGCTTCAATTTAATCTGATCACCCCTCGCCCCACCCCCCCGACACACACAGGTATACACAAACACACACACACACACACACACAGGTGTACACACACAATAATAACAATGTAGAGGTAATGAATGTGTTAACTAGCTTGATTGTAGTGATCATTTCACAAAGTATATGCATATCAAAATGTCAAGTTGTATACCTCAAATGTATATAATTGTATACGTCAATTATATCTCAATAAATCTGTTTAAAAATATAGTTTAGTAGTCACATCGCTCTTCTACACTACTTGTAAAAACATGAAAATTTATTGATTTTATGATTCATGAAGAAAATATTTATTAAGCTACCAATTCTCGTAAGCAATCTTCAACTCTCTCAAGCTTGTAGGCACTAGATAGTGAATAAAACAAACAAAATGGGATTCCATTGTGTATATATGCCACATTTTTTTTTATCTATTCATCCACTGATGGATACTTAGGTTGATTACGTATCTTGGCTATTGTGAATCGTGCTGCAATAAACATAAGAGTGCAGATATCTCTTTCTCTTCAATATACTGATTTCATTTTCTTTGGAAATATCCCTAGTAGTGAGACTGCTGGTTCATGTGATAGTTATATTTTTAGTTTTTTGAGAAACTTCCATATTGTTTACATTATAATTTATATTCCCACCAACAGTGTGTAAGAATTTCCTTTTCTCTGCATGGAGGTAGAGAGTAGAATGATAATTACTAGATATTGGGAAGGGTGTTGGAACAGGGAAAGTGATGAAGAAAGTGTGGTTAATGGCTACAAATATACAGTTAGATAAAAGGAAAAAGTTCTAGTGTTTGTCGTACAGTAAGGTGACTGTAGTTAGCAACAACATATTGTATATTTTGAGATAACTAGAAGAGAAGATTTGAAATGTTTCTTATACAAAGAAATGATAAATGTTCAAGGTGATGGATATCCTGAATAACATGATTTGCTTATTACAATTCATATGCATTTATCGAAATACCATCCACATGTATCCCATAAATGTGTATACATATTACGTATCAATTTTAAACAGAAAAGAAAATGAAAAAAAGACAAAATGGGCAAAGTCCATGTCCTCAGGAAGTTTACATTCCACAGGGAAAGGCAGACAAGGAGATATGTGACCAGACACATCTGAATGTCTAAATGTATACCATATATTTAGATGGTTAAAAAAAATGCCATGGCTGTAAACGAAGCAAGATTAGAGACATAAATGCATTTGGACAAGAGATGTTTTTTCAGCCTCTCTCCACCAGAGAGAGAACAAAATCCTAATGACTCAAGGCATCCATTGCGTGCAATTAATTAACTTGTCTCCTATGCACCTAGAATGCCACAAAGTGAAATTTTACATGAAAGGTAGCCATCATTCACTCAAAATGCTGTCCATAACCCAGTCTATTCACAATTAAAAGTTCTCTCTTCAGGAAAGGTGGGTCTCAAGACTCAAAATTCTGGAAAATTCTCATCTTCCAGTTCAGTTATATTATTCCTGCTTAAAATTGTTTGTAGAATAGACTGAGAAAGTACATGACTGAGGTGTTATATACATATATATGCTATATGGATTTCCCTACATTTCAAATAATTGACTTACACAAAGTTTATGTAATGGTATAAGTTAATGGAGAACAGATAGTTAATATTCATTAATAGAAAACAATGTTCAAGTCAAATGAGTAAACATTTTGGGTGCCTACCTAGTTCCATGCCCAGTGCCAGTGCAGGGATTCAAGCAAAGAAAAGGCTCGGTTCCTCCCCAAGAAGTTCACAGTACATTATGATAGTTCTCAATTGTAGTGTGGTAAAAGATTTGAGTATTTCAAAAATAAATGAAATTGTATATTAATCTACATTTTAAGTAAACTACAGAAAATACAAATTTATTCTCATCACTTGTATTCTGTCGTGCTTTTTTAAACAGTAGAGAAGGGAATTAGGTTACAGAACCCTTGGGTTTGCACACAACCGTAAGCACAATCATGAAACTATGTTATGTACCTGAATATCATGTTTCATGCCATGAATATCCCCTGAGATACTCACTTGATAAACTAGCTATACTCCATGGTTTTTGGCTTCCATAGCACCTATCAAAGTGCTGGTCACCCTGTTGAGTCAAATAATTTAACAAGCACTGAAGTTTGACTGTGTCTGTCAGCTAATCCTTGCTAACATGTAGACGGACTAGAGAAAATTAAGGTTAAAGAGAAGGCTCTCTGGGGACTGCTTACATTTTATTAGAGATTCCACAGATGCCAGGTATTTAATATCTAGGGGACATTAAAATCATATTAATGATTTTTTTATACTCTGTGGCATTAAAAATCCGTTAGTTTATCCTGTACTTTGATTGGCTCATTTACTCATGTGTCACACTGTAATACTGTTACATTGTCCATTTGAAAAATATTGATTCACTGACTTATACAGGTCTTCCAAATGTTGACATATTTCCATATATAACATAAAAAAGAATATTCGTTAATATCATCAACAGTCTCTCTAGAAAAGCCTTGCCAAGTATCAGGAAGTTGATAAGCTTGTGATAGCAGACACAAATTTTCTGAAATTCTAATTGTTTAAAAACTGAGAATATATCATAGCTATAAATACTGTCAGTTCTTTAAATTGAGATGATAGCCTCATTTCATGCATTTTTCAGAAAATATCTGCCAGACACTCAAGTCTGAGAAGCAACAATGTATGTGTCAGTCTTTCTTTCAAGCAACAATGGAATCTTATTAAAATGGTTCTTGTTCAATTAGCAACTCAATCAATCACAGAAGTGCTTTTTTTCTGAGATACCATCACATTTCAGTAGTGCTTTACATATATTTGTATTTCACCAGGCTGATTCATACGTATTAAAAAGACATGTCATACACAAAAGGCAAATACGATCCTAGAATTGTCATGAAAATAGTTTTAACTTCTCAGACTCCCTGAAAGTCAGTCTGCAGGACACCCAGATATCTGTGGATCACAGTTTGGGAACCACTGAAGATAGAGGTGAACTGGCAAAGGATCTACACATCACTCGAAATCATTTCATGACTTTCACCAAAAGATTCAGCAAATCTTCATGTTACAAACAAAGGTAGCTGATTTCTACTGTGTAAACAATTCCTAGGAAATGGTTTGCTGCTGCATTGTTACCTGGAATTGTCATGATAACTGAATTAATATACTGTCTGTAATATATGACCTAACAATAAGATACTAGTCTCTAGCAGAACCGATGTGATGCCTTTGAATTGGACAGTTTTGCCTACTTAAAAGGCCTGCAAGCCATGGGCACAAATAGAACTAAGACCTTGGATTTGAAATATCATTCCCCACTCAGGGACTCATTGGAGAAATTGCTGGTTCCAGGTTGGGGCAAAGAAAGCACAAGGTAACCCAAGTGCTTAAAGACTAACAGGGCCATGTGAAAAGGACACAGGATCCTGCTTGAATGGGGCATCAACAGGCCAAATTAGGAATACATGGAGTGTTAAAATAATAATGACATAATGGTAATAGAAATTCAAATAAGGAAAAAGGGATTCAATAAGCCCATAGAAATATTGCATAAAAGAGAAAAAGAGGAGAAGGAGGAAGCTCTTCTTTATAGAAGAATACTAATTAATATAAAGGAGAATAGACATAGAAAATTACAATTTTGAAATTACCAATGTAATAATTCATTTCAGCAATGTTCATCATGGAAGCTAAAATCATTGGGTGAAAAGTTATTGGATAACATGGCATTCACATGTTCTGAAAGAGTCACCCAGAGATTACTTGATACTTACAGGGTCAAAGTTACACTTATAGTGGAGAGGTCTGGCAACACCAGTTTTAACCAAGTGGTCAAACCTACCATTATCAGTAATAGGAAAAACAAATTATGTGCTTCCTCATGTGATCTAGTGGGAAGTACACAATACTATCTGTATAATATTCTTGCCAACAATATTTAGTCTGATTCTAATCATGGTGAAACAATCAAACAAATCCAAATTGTAGGGCATTCTACATAAAAAATGAAATAATACCAGCAATGAAAAGCATGTAAGAGAACTGCTCTAAATCAAAGGCGTCTAAAGACACATGACAAAGAAAATGTATGAAACTTGAGTGAATAATTAATCCAGAAATTTTATAAAAAGACAGTCTGGGAATAGTTGGAGTAATCTGAATATAATTCTATGTTAGGTCATATTATTATACCGATGTTGGCATTTCTTGGATGTGATGCTGATATTATGGTATTTAGAATTGTATGGTATTTTACTTAGGAGATGTACACACACACACAAACACAGAAAGCAAGTGTGAAAATATTAATAACTGATAAATCTGAGTGAATAGTATGTAAGTGTTTATTGTATTCTCTTTTCTAAATATTTGAAATATGTAACAATAATATATTTAGAGGGAGGAAGGAAGATACTGCCCTAAGGATACTATTCTCTCAAAAAAGATGAGTTTAGAATACAACCCCATTGGTTCAAAAGATTGCCAAAAAGTTATATGTATAGCAAACTACCTTGCCAGCCTTGAGCCACTAAAAAGCTGGCCCTCACCAGTAATCTATTTATTTATGAATAAATCAGGCAGTTCCTAAAAAGCTACAGGTGGCAGACTTTCTGTTGAGTTCTCTGAGACAAGCCACCTAATGACTCCTATCTTCAGACTTGCATTCACTTTCTCCTGCAAAAGTGTCTAACTGGCAGTGTTCCATCAAGTCTATTTGAATAACTGACAAATGAGCACACAGAGCAACAAAACAGACAAACAAACGAAATAAAACAAGAGGGATATGCACAACATGGGTAACACTCAGAGAATGATTCTTAAAAGGTATCTAGAAGATTTTCAGGTAAAGGAGTATTGGGGCTGGGCTCATACCTGTGAGAGGTGACAGCGTGCTGGCAGTCCTCACAGCCCTCGCTCGCTCTCGGCGCCTCCTCTGCCTAGGCTCCCACTTTGGCGGCACTTGAGGAGCCCTTCAGCCCACCAGGGCACTGTGGGAACCTCTTTCTGGGCTGGCGAAGGCCTGAGCCCACTCCCTCAGCTTGCAGGGAGGTGTGGAGGGAGAGGCGCGAGCGGGAACCGGGGCTGCGTGCGGCTCTTGCGGGCCAGCTGGAGTTCTGGGTGGGCATGGGCTTGGCGGGCCCCGCACTCGGAGCAGCCGGCTGGCCCTGCCGGCCCCGGGCAATGAGGGACTTAGCACCAGGGCCAGCGGCTGCGGAGGGTGTACTGGGTCCCCCAGCAGTGCCAGCCCACCTGCGCTGCGCTCGATTTCTCACGGGGCCTTAGCTGCCTTCCCGTGGGGCAGGGCTCGGGACCTGCAGCCCGCCATGCCTGAGCCCCCCACCCCCTCCATGGGCTCCTGTGTGCCCGAGCCTCCCCGATGAACGCCACCCCCTGCTCCACGGCGCCCAGTCCCATCGACCACCCAAGGGCTGAGGAGTGTGGGTGCACAACACCGGGACTGGCAGGCAGCTCCACCTGCATGCCTGGTGCGGGATCCACTGGGTGAAGCCGGCTGAGCTCCTGAGTCTGGTGGGGCCTTGGAGAAGCTTTATGTCTAGCTCAGGGATTGTAAATACACCAACCGGCACTCTGTATCTAGCTCAAGGTTTGTAAACACACCAATCAGCACCTGTGTCTAGCTCAGGGTTTGTGAGTGCACCAATGGACACTCTGTATCTAGCTGCTCTGGTGGGGCCTTTGGAGAACCTTTATGTCTAGCTCAGGGATTGTAAATACACCAATCGGCACTCTGTATCTAGCTCAAGGTTTGTAAACACACCAATGAGCACCCTGTGTTTAGCTCAGGGTTTGTGAGTGCAGCCATCCACACTGTGTATCTAGCTGCTCTGGTGGGGCCTTGGAGAACCTTTGTGTGGATACTCTGTATCTAACTAATCTGATGGGGATGTGGAGAACCTTTGTATCTAGCTCAGGGATTGTAAATGCACCAATCAGCACCCTGTCAAAACGCACCACTTGGCTCTACCAATCATTAGGATGTGGGTGGGGCCAGATAAGAGAATAAAAGCAGGCTACCTGAGCCAGCAGTGGCAACCCACTCTGGTCCCCTTCCACAATGTGGAAGCTTTGTTCTTTTGCTTTTTGCAATAAATCTTGCTACTGCTCACTCTTTGGGTCCACACTGCTTTTATGAGCTGTAATACTCACCGTGAAGGTCTGCAGCTTCACTCCTGAAGCCAGCGAGACCACGAGCCCACCGGGAGGAACGAACAACTCGAGACGCGCCACCTTAAGAGCTGTAACACTCACCGCGAAGGTCTGCAGCTTCACTCCTGAAGCCAGCGAGACCATGAGCCCACCAGGAGGAACGAACAACTCCAGACGCGCCACCTTAAGAGCTGTAATACTCACCGCGAAGGTCTGCAGCTTCACTCCTGAGCCAGGGAGACCACGAACCCACCAGAAGGAAGAAACTCCGAACGCATCGGAACATCAGAAGAAACAAACTCCAGACCCAGACACGCCACCTTAAGAGCTGTAACACTCACCTCGAGGGTCCGCGGCTTCATTCTTGAAGTCAGTGAGACCAAGAACCCACCAATTCCGGACACACCTGCACTTTGGGAGGCTGAAGCAAGAAGATCACTTGGGCCCAGGAGTTTGAGATCAGCATGGAAAACATAGTGAGACCCTGTCGCTACAAAACAGAAAATAAAAAATTAGCTGAGTGTGGTAGTGTGCACCTGTAATCCCAGCTACTCAGGAGGCGGAGGCAGGAGGAGGTCAAGGCTGTAGTGAGTTATGTTCATGCCACTGCACTCCAGCCTGGGCAACAGAGCAAGACCCTGTCTCTCTCTCTCTCTCTGTGTGTGTGTGTGTGTGTGTGTGTGTCTCACACACACAAAGTGTTGGGTGTGAGATGGAGCGGACATCATTCCAAGCAGCTGGCATATATACATATCTATATAGGAAATAGAGGAAAAGGAGAGTTTTGTTTCATTTTGTTTCTTTTGGGTGGTAGAGAGTGTTAGAATAATCAGTTACATTTTAACATGTTGAGTTATTAAGTGATATGGTTTGGCTGTGTGTCCCCAACCAAATCTCATCTTGAATTGTAGTTCCCATAATTTCCACATGTCGTGGGAGGGACCCAGTGGAAGGTAATTGAATCATGAGGGCAAGTCTTTCCTGTGCTGTTCTTGTGATAGGAAGTCTCACAAGATCTGATGGTTTTATAAAGGGGAGTTCTCCTGCACCAGCTCTCTCACCTGCCACTATGTAAGACATGAGTTTGCTCCTCATTCGCCTTCCACCACGATTGTGAGGCCTCCCCAGCCATGTGGAACTGTGAGTCAATTAAACCTTTCCTTTATGAATTACGCAGTCTCAGGTATGTTTTCATTAGCAGTGTGAGAACAGATTAATGCAGTAAATTGGTACAGGTAGAGTTGGATGCTGCTGTAAAGATACCCGAAAATGTGAAAGCAACTTTGGAAATGGGTAACAAGCAGAGGTTGAAACAGTTTGGAGGGCTCAGAGGAAGACACGAAGGTGTGGGAAAGTTTGGAAGTTCCTTGAGACTTGTTAAATGGCTTAGACCAAAATGGTGATAGTGAGATGGGGAACTTGTTGGAAACTGGAGTAAAGGTCACTCTTGCTATACAAAGAGGCTGGCATAGTTTTGCCCCTCCCCTGAAGATCTGCAGAACTTTGAACTTGAGAGAGATGATTTAGGGTATCTAGTGGAAGAAATTTCTTAGCAGCAAAGCATTCGAGAGGTGACAGAGCATAAAAGTTTAGAAAATTTTCGGCCTGATGATGCAGTAGAAAACAAAAACCCATTTCTTGGGGAGAAATTTAAGACAGCTGCAGAAATTTACATAAGTAACCAGGAGCCAAATGTTCCCTCATCACCAAGACAATGTGGAAAATGTCACCAGGGCATGTCAGAGACCCTCATGGCCATCCCTCCCATTACAGGCCAGGAGGCCTAAGAGGGAAAAATGGCTTCATGGGCCAGGCCCAGGGCTTCCCTGCTCTATGCAACCTCACGACATGGTGCTCTGTATCCCAGCTGCTTCAGCTCCAGTCATGGCTAAAAGGGGTCAATGTACAGCTCCGGCTGTTTCTTCAGCGGGTGCAAGCCCCAAGTCCTGGCAGTTTACATGTGGTATTGGGACTGTGGGAGCACAGAAGTCAAGAATTGAAGTTTGGGAACTTCTGCCTACATTTCACAGGATGTATGGAAGTGCCTGGATATCCAGATAGAAACTTGCTGCAGGGGAAGAGCTGTCATGGAGAACCTCTGCTAGGGCAGTGCAGAAGGGAAATGTGGGGTGCAAGCCCAAACACAGAGTCACTACTAAAGCACTGTGTAGTGGAGCTGAGAAGAGGGCCACCATCCTCCAGACCCCAGAATGGTAGATCCACTGACAGCTTGCACCGTGCCCCTGGAAAAGCCACAGACACTCAACTCTAGCTGTGAAAGTAGCCTGGAAAGGGGGCTGTACCCTGAAAAGCCACAGAGGCAGAGCTGCCCAAGGCCATGGGAGCCCACCTCTTGCATCAGTGTGACCTGGATGTGAGACATGGAAGCAAAGGAGTTCATTTTGGAAATTTAAGATTTAAGGACTGCCCATTGGATTTCAGGCTTGCATGGGGCCTGTAGCCACTTTGTTTTTGCCAATTTCTCCCATTTGGAATGGGAGTATTTACCCAATGCCTATAACCCCACTGTGTCTAGGAAGTAACTAATTTGTATTTCATTTTACAGACTCACAGGTGGAAGGGACTTGCCTTGTCTCAGATGAAACTGTGGACTTTTGAGTTAATTCTGTAATGAGTTAAGACTTTGGGGGACGGTTGGGAAGGCATGATTGGTTTTGAAATGCAAGAACATGAGATTTTGGAGGGGCTGGAGCGAAATGAGATGGTTTGTCTGTGTTCCCACTCAAATCTCATCTTGAATTGTAGTTCTCATAATTCCCATGTGTTGTGGGAGGGAACCAGTGGGAGGTAATTGAAACACGGGGGCCACTCTTTCCTGCGCTGTTCCCATGATAGTGAATACGTCTCTTGAGAGCTGATGGTTTTATAAAGGGGAGTTGTCCTACACAAGCTCTCTTGCCTGCCGCCATGTAAGACATGACTTTGCTCCTCCTTTGCCTTTCACCATGATTGTGAGGCCTCCCCAGCCTTGTGGAACTGTGAGTCAATTAAACCTTTTTCCTCTACAGACTACCCAGTCCTGGGTATGTCTTTATTAGAACTGGGAGAACAGAGTAACACATTAGGGCTTGCAAGATATCCTATTGCAAGATATAAAGGTAGAATAGAACAAAATTAACAACATAAATTAAACTCTACTAATGAATGAGATGACGTTGAGGATGCTGCTGCTGCTGATGGTGGTGGTGATGGTGATGATGATGGTGAAATTGTATCCTGTCAGGTTCTGGTTACCAACCTCAAATCCAAATTTATTTTTAGCAGAAAAGTAGAACAAATTTTAAATTATAATAAAACCACTGATTATAATGATGCTTAATTTGTCATAGGCACTGTGTGAACTTATCGTGTATTTATTTTCTAATCCTCAAAACTACCCTTGGAATACACATGTTAAGAAGAAATACCTATGGTAAAGTTGAGGTTTAAAAAGATTAAGCAATTTGCCCAAGGTCAAATGTTTGGTAAATGAAAGAGCTTAGTCAGATTCCAACCCAGATTGTCTGCCTCCAAAACCTGTGTTTTAACCACTACATTCTATAGGCAGCATTGTTTATCAGGTAGGAATTTAGGCCACATTTGTCTACATGGATTGATTGTCTCCAACAGATTTGCCAAAATATTTCTTGGTCTTCACTAACATCAGTCAACTTTTAAAGGGTGAGAATGTATTCTTTGTGGGAAAATGAGTTCACTCAGTGAAAACATCAGGTGAGTGATCTTATATCCCTGTATTCTAAACAAAAATTGTAGAATTCAAAGCAATTGCTGATGTTTTCCAAGATAAGGCACTGTGAGCTTAAAATATATAAAGATATATACAGACAAACACATATTTACACATAGAGATAAAATTGATTTTTACACAGCTGATAATATGGGGGGTTTTATGCATGTCATCAACTAATAGCAAAGAAACAGGTTTGGCTATTTGAAAACGGCTAAATATTGTGGTCTCCCTGAAGATTGATCCTACATGTGATAGTCCTTAATATACACGAATATCAAAACATAAAAGTGTGTTAGATGTTAGATGTACACCACAGTTTACATGTTTATTCTGGATATATTTCACATGCACTCTGTACCAGATACTGGAGACATGAGGAGGTAAATAAAACACATGCCCTCATGGAGCCTTATGAAGTATTAGTCCCATTTTACAGATGAGGAAATCACTGGTTATCCAAAGACACACAGCTAGTAAACAATTAGAATGGAATATAAACTACTAGCTAGCATAGAGCTAATACAGTGTCTTTGATCAGTGTGATGCCTCTCTAAATGTGAAAGATGCCAGGCACAGTGGCTCATGCCTGTAATCCCAGCACTTTGGGAGGCCGAGGCTGGTGGATCACCTGAGGTCAGGAGTTCGAGACCAACCTGGCCAACATGGTGAAACCCTGTCTGTACTGAAAATACAAAATTAACCAGGTGTGGTGGCACACGCCTGTAGTCCCAGCTACTCGGGAGGCTGAGACAGGAGAATCACTTGAACCCAGGAGGCAGAGGCTGCAGTGAGCCGAGATTGCGCCACTGCACTCCAGCCTAGGCAAGACAGAGTGAGACTCCATCTCAAAATAAATTAATTAATTAATAAAAATAATAAGTAATAAATAAATGTGAAAGACACAACTTATCACAGCCAGGAGGATGGGAACGCTAAGAACAGTGTAGGATTCTAATGCCTTGAGATTTCTTCGCTTTTATACTTTTCACTATTCTCTTTTATTTTCTGTTAACAACTTTCAGGAAAATGCTTGAAATAAAAACACTGAGTTGCTATGATCTCAGGGGGCAGCAAGGAATGGGAGAAGGGAGCAAGGAAAATGTAGGCACCTGGTTCCCTCCCCGCTGCTATCTTGGCCCAAAACAGAGTGCAAAATTTGCTGTGCTGCTGGGCAGAAATTTTTAAGTAAATCAAGCCAGCATTTTCTGTTTTGGTCTAAAATGTTTAAAGAAAATTAAAGTTTTACACCGCTTACTATGAATCCTTAAAAGCATAGTTGATTTAGATGAGGGTTTCTCCACAGCAGCACCCTTAACACTTTGAGCCCAATACTTCCTTGTGGGAAGCTGTCCTATTCACCACAGCAAGTTTGGCAGCATCCCTAGTCTGTACCCTCAGGACATCAGCGGCACCACTCTACTTCCTCAAGTTGCAACAACCACAAATGTCTCCAGACATTGTCAAATGTAGTCTGGGGGTTAATATTACCTCTTGTTGAGAATCACTGATTTAGACAAGACTTGACAATCCTTAAAACCTGTTGGAAGATTTCTCCAAAGTGCGAACCCCTAAAGAAATTCCTTTTCTTCTATAAAATGGACACTGTATTCCTTTAGTGGCAGAGCCTTGCACCACACAACTATAGTTGTGGCCCTCTCCCTGGTCCCCACCCACAAACTCTTAAAGCAGGATAAATGATAATGCAATAATCCTAGTTGTTTATAAACCTTTTTATTCGTATATTTCACACGGAATCATTATCTGTCAAGAGCCTCCACAACTTTTAAGCTCTCATTAATTTAAATAATAAATGAGGTTCTTAAGCCCCCTTGTGGCGAAAAGCAGTAACAAGAATTACATCAGAAGAGGGAAAAACAGTGAAGCACAGTTAATATATGAAATTTCTTTACCCCAATATAAAATGTCTCAATGGCCGGGCGCGGTGGCTCACGCCTGTAGTCCCAGCACTTTGGGAGGCCGAGGCGGGCGGATCACGAGGTCAGGAGATCGAGACCATCCTGGCTAACACGGTGAAAACCCCGTCTCTACTAAAAATACAAAAAAAATTAGCCAGGCGTAGTGGCGGACGCCTGTAGTCCCAGCTACTCGGGAGGCTGAGGCAGGAGAATGGCGTGAACCCGGGAGGCGGAGCTTGCAGTGAGCCGAGATAGCGCCACTGCAGTCCGGCCTGGGCGACAGAGCGAGACTCCGTCTCAAAACAAAACAAAAAAAAAAAAAGTCTGGTTTTCCATCAAAGGGGAAGGGGGGTGAAATCTGCAGAATAATTGTTCCACTAACAGAAATTATGAAATTAGATAAAACAATTTCTTGAATTAGTTGGTGTATTAGTTCGTTTTCACACTGCTGGTAAAAACATACCCGAGACTGGCAATTTACGAACGAAAGAAGTTTATTTGACTTACAGTTCCACATGGCTGGGGAGGCCTCACAGTCATGGTGGAAGGCAAGGAGGAGCAAGTCACCTCTTGGGTGTCATGGTGTGTCAGGAGGCAAAGAGAGAGCTTGTGCAGAGAAACTCCTGTTTTTAAAACCATCAGATTGCCAGGCGCGGTGGCTTACGCCTGTAATCCAGCACTTTAGGAAGCCAAGGAGGGTGGATCACAAGGTCAGGAGTTCGAGACCAGCCTGACCAACATGGTGAAACCCTGTCCCCACTAAAAGTACCAAGTCCGGCATGGTGGCCCATACCTGTAACCCCAGCTACTTGGGAGGCTGAGACAGGAGAATCACTTGAGCCCGGGAGGTGGAGCTTGCAGTGAGCCAAGATCGCACCACTGCACTCCAGCCTGAGGGACAAGAATGAGACTCTGTCTAAAAAAAAAAAAAAAAAACCATCAGATCTTGTGACACCCACTCACTGTCAGAGAACAGCACGGGAAGGACCTGCCTCCATTATTCAGTCATCTCCTACCAGGTCCCTCCCACAACACATGGGAATTATGGGAGCTACAAGATGAGATTTGGGTGGAGACGCAGAGCCAAACCATATCATTTGGTAACTGCACAGTTTAAAACCAATAAATTACAGGCAGAACCAGAGTGCTCTAAGAAAAAAAAAAAAAGAATGTTAGGAAAAACTTTGTGTAATTAAAAAAAATGAACAAAATGAAAAAAACTGAGTCCTTATTTTTATTCTAGTTTGTGACTATAAACAAGTAACCTAACTTCTCTGTGTCTCAGTGTCCTGACCTAAATGCAAAATAAAATAAATTGTAGAGCTAAGACACTTTAGACATCATGTAATCCAAGTATTCCTTAAAAGATAACTGAGTCCCATAAAGGTTTACTAAAACCATACTAAGAATCATGCATATCCCCTAAGTTCCTGTCCAATTTATTCTATGATCTAGATCAAATTTTTACATACAAAAATTAAATGGTGGGTGACAAATCAATGTGTAAAGAAAAATGAATATATGTGATTATCTCTACTTCAAAAAGCAAAAAGGGAAACAGGTTGATATTAATTGACAAATGCCCATCAGCGAGTCAGGTAAAATCTCAGTTCTAGGGTACCCTGGGTAGGTATGGGATGGGAATCAACACCTTAAGGATCAACACCTGAGGGAAAGAATTTGGGCAGAGAAGGAGAAGGCCTCAGCTGACCCTTCAGGAGGCTCTGAAGCTAGGATTATCCAGTTTTAGGTGGTCCTTTTCTGAGACAAGCGGTTGCTCATGTGAATCAGTTATTGTGTCCAGACTACCCGAAGGAAGAGCTATGATCTTGAGCAAAAGAAGAGCATTTTCCAGAGAGAATTGAGAGCTTAGGGTTTCATCTGGCGGCACTCCTGACCGCCAGGGAAAATGAGAGGAATAAGTCTTTTGATCTGAAGGGGGCATCTGGGCAGCGCATCTCAGCATCCACTGCAGTAGACAAGCCTGAGTAGTGTACCACAGTCTCTTACCCTCAACACACTAGCCCCTGAGCCTGATGGCAGAACAGAAGTAGAGAGGAGCCAAGAAGCAGTAACGTCTCTGTGTGCCTCGGAAGCCAGAGCTCTGCTTCGGTTATTTTATACCCCTACAGTGCTCAATGAATGGAGAAATCAGGAAAGTCAGGTTGGAGTTCAAATCCTGACTTCATCCTTTGGGCAAATTAATGGACTTTTAATGTTGGTTTCTTCTGGGACATATTTTCCAGGCACATCCTCCCTCATACCTATTTCCACTTAAACCTCTGGCCACAATGGTGATGTTTAATTTAAAAGAGACTATGGGGCCGGGCATGGTGGGTCACACCTGTAATCCCAGCAATTTGGGAGGCCGAGGTGGGCAGATCACCTGAGGTCAGGAGTTTGAGACCAGCCTGGCCAACATGGTGAAATCTCATCTCTACAAAAATACAAAGATTATCTGGGCATGGTGGCATGCGCCCGTAATCCCAGCTACTTGGGAGGCTGAGGCAGGAGAATTGCTTGAACTTGGGAGGCGGAGGTTGCAGTGAGCCGAGTTCATGCCACTGCACTCCATCCTGGGAGACAGAGTCTCGCTCTGTCTCCCCCCCCAAAAAAAGAGAGAGAGAGAAACTATGGTGCCCCATTCAGGTTTGTCCACTGTAGTGGATGCTGTTATGTGTACTGCCCAGATCCTTCCTTCAGATCGAAGGACTATTTCCAATGCAAAAATGTCAATCTCATATATGGTTTATCCATATATATGTCTTACCAACTTAACTGTCAGTTTCTTGAAGGAAGAGCTCATGTTTTCACTATCTTGCATTTGATCATATGTTTTATTGGCATAATACTTTACCGTATGCAAATCCTCCTACACAGGTGATCCCACTTGGATTATTCTGTGAAATAGGGCCTTTACAATGTTGCAGATGAAAACACTGAAGCTCATAGAGAGTAAGTGACTTGCCCAGGGTCACACAGTCATGTGATTGAACTCAGGTACCTGAGCCCATATCCCCAGACACCAAGTTGAATATTTGTTACTCAAGAGGATACAGCCTTTATGTTTATTAATGCTTCATGGTTCATAAAGTGCTAACAAAGAAATTATCCCATTTGACCCAAATAATGATCTGGTAAGATTTTCGTGGCTGGTGCTATTATACATATTTGATAAATGGAGACTCATCCATCAAAGAAACGTACTACTTCTTCTCTGATATGCAAGCTATTATGCCAAGTTAAAGAGAGCCAGGTATGAATGGTTCCAAACCCCTTCAATCAAGAAGTTCACAATCTAGTGCAGGAGATGGACACCTTATTGACTATTACAGTGTGACAAATGCTAAATAAATGCTATTATAGCATGACAATGATAAAGCTAAAGTATATACACAAAGCTATGTAAATGAAAACAGAAAATAATTCTGTTTCCTGAGAGTATTGGGAAAGTCTTCAAGAAGGGGTGATGCTTGCTCTGTGCTTTGTAAGTCTGTCCTCAGGTGGAAAACAATGTAGAATTTCTCAGGGACAGGATGAAAGACACACTGTTGTAATAGTGCATAGTCTTCCCAATAAAAAGCTCCAACACTGAATAACTTGCCAAAGTCTCTTGGTTAGTAAGTAGTCAAGCTGGCATTGGAACAAGACTTTTGCTTCCCAGTTAAATGCTCTCTTTTCCTAGTGTGTTATACAAAGGTGGTAGCACTTAATAAGTGGGGTATACTATGATGCAGTACTTTCTTCATGCTCTCATAATGCAGATATTTTTTCCTTTCCTCTTTTCCAGTGTTCCAAGATGTACATGTTATGATATTTGTTGGGTTTGGCTTCCTCATGACCTTCCTGAAGAAATATGGCTTCAGCAGTGTGGGTATCAACCTACTCGTTGCTGCTTTGGGCCTCCAGTGGGGCACTATTGTACAGGGAATCCTGCAAAGCCAGGGACAGAAATTTAACATTGGAATCAAAAAGTGAGCATCCTTACTGTGGGCTGAATGTTTGCATCCTCCAGAATTCATATATTACACTCTTAACCTCCAACATGATGATATTAAGAGGTGGGGGACTGGGGAGGTGACCAGGTCATGAAGGCAGAGTGTTTATGAATGGGATCAGTGTCCTTGTGAAAGAGGTCCACAGGAGACTCCTGACCCCTTCCACTGTGTGAGAACACAGCTGGAAGGCACCATCTACCAACCAGAAAGGGAGCCCTCATCAGACACCAAGTCTGTCAGCATCTTGATCTTGGGCTTCCCAGCCTCCAGAACCATAAGAAATAGATTTCTGTTATTTATAAACAACCCAGTTTATGGTATTTTGTTATAGCAGTCCAAGCAGACTAAGACAATTCTTTATTTATCAGCCATTTCATTTTCAAATCAATCGTTTCTCTGGTAGTCCCCTGTCATTTACTGTACTGGCTGGCAAATTGCCTCCCTTATGCAACAGAAAATTGTTTAAATTCAAAAATCTGAATCAATGCCTTCCTCTACTGAGCTGGATAATACATTCATGTCTGTAACCTCTCTGGTTTGACTTTGAGGATATGAGAAACCCTCTTCCATAAAAGTATTATTCCTTCCATCTCAGCTACAGGGAGCAAAAATTTCCCATTAGTTATTTTTCAGATTGTTTCTAAAATGTAAACATGTATTCTTGTTGTGCAATAGTAAACACACACCCCAGGAAATAATTCACTTATTAGATCAAAGAATATAAAGGAAAACCCTAAATGAGATAAAAGGTGAGTTAAAATATATACATTAGAGCAATTAAAGAGTGTCTGGTCAAAAAGAGGAGGAATAAGGAAGTGGGAGATGATGAGTAAGCCTGGGAAGCACTGGATGTGCCTGGTGGGAGATGGGATTGCACTTTGGTCAGTTTTATGTTGGGTGTGCATTACTCTTCAATTTATTCTTGTTTCCCTTCAGCATGATAAATGCAGACTTCAGTGCAGCCACAGTTCTGATATCTTTTGGAGCTGTCCTGGGAAAAACGAGCCCCACCCAAATGCTGATCATGACAATTTTAGAAATTGTTTTCTTTGCCCACAATGAATACCTGGTTAGTGAAATATTTAAGGTAAGAGTTAGAAAATTTATACTTTCCTAGCTTTGGGCATCAGTTCTGGCTACAAAAAAACAATGGGTGTCTACGGTATATGGGAGCAAATCTTGGTGAGAGTGATACCGTAGCAAATAGTAACAATAACCATCATTTACTGAGTGCCTACTGTAAACTAGGAGTTTTGTAAACATTATCTTATTTCATCTTCACAACAACACTGCATTGTACGTATTATTTTTATTATCATGTATACACCATAAAAACTGATTATCACAGATGCTGAATGGCTTGCGAGAGTCTGAATTCACCTCCAGATTTTTCTAATTCCTCAACTCTTCTTTTGCCTATCAATGATGAATTCCTTTTTTATATTTTTACTACTAGGTGAATAGCCCCATATAAAACATTGTAGTGGTTTTTGTTAAGGCCTCAGTCAAACTTTTTTCTCCACAAATATTTCATTGATTCCCCCCAGGAATAATAAATAAATAAAGAACATTTAGGGGCATTCTAGTACTTTGTTACTTTGTTTGTATTTCTATTAACATTAATTCAACTGCAAATATTTTTGATAACTTTCTAGATGTTGGGGACTCAATGACAAACAAAATATGAAAGTTCCTGTTTTTATAGAGCTTACACTCTAGTGGGAGAGACAGAAACCAAATAAAGAATTACACATTCATCCACCCACCCAAAGACACAAACACACAAATGTTATTATAAATTGCAATACATGCTATGAAAAATATGTAGGGTAGGTCTATGAGAAAGTGTAACTGGAAGATTAGATTGTAGAATCAAGGAGGGGTTCCCTGAGTAAGTGACAGTTACGCTGGACCTAAAAGATACCTAGAAGTTTTCCAGTAACTAATGGGGAGAAAAGTTCTTTAAGCCAAGGTAACAACAACCAGTCTTGAATTGGTGATGAGGAACTAAAAGAAAACTTCTAGAGTAAGGTGAAAAGACTTGAGCGATACCAGATGAAACCACCAAAGTAAGTGGGTCAGATTAATAAAGACTCTGTAAACTCTGTGTGCTAGCTGAATGAAGACTTATTTGATGGTCCCAAAGGGAAAAACAGAGAAGGTTATTTTGCCTGCAAATATGTGAGCGTTTCAAGATAGGCACAGACTCACATGGTATTTGGAAAGTCCAAGCATGATTAATAGCCACCTCCCATCTTCCTGAAGCCACCTGGTGAAGCAAGGCAAGGTTTCCCAGCTGGGAAGGGACTAAGTGTTGCTGGGAGGCTAAAGGTTGCTAGATAGATCATATATGCTGGGAAGATATTTGACTCATTACAACCAAGTGTGGATCTTCAAGGGGACTGGGTCTGTCTATGTCTAGTAAACAAAGGAACAACAACTAGGAGACCCTTTTTACTTAAATTTGAAAATCTTTCATAAATAGATGTGTGTCATCTTACTGTCTATAAGTACAATTTGACCCTTTGAGTATTCCCTCTAGAGGAAAGAAATGTAGAAAACTGGGTCAAAACCACATCATATCCTAAAGAGGAATCTAAATCTCTTGAAGTGAATCTGGGACCTCAGCTGGTTTTCATGTCATCATAGAGCAGAATTAAAAAAATATGGGTAAAAACTCTGGTTTTTTGAAGTTTCAAGTCTTGAGTTACAATTAAGTGAGCTTTAACTGCAATTTCAAGTGAACATATCATCTTCATTTTGTATCGCAAGCAGTATCTTTTTTTTTTTTTTTTTTTTTGGTTTGAGATTAGTTCTTGCTTTGTCACCTAGGCTGGAATGCAATGTGACAATCATAGCTCACTGTAACCTCAAACTCCTAGGCTCAAGTCATTCTCCTGCCTCAGCCTCCCCAGTAGCTGGGACTACAAGGCGTGCACCACCAGGCCAGGCTGAGCAATACATATTTCACTCAAAATCTCCATCACCTAGAGAAGCAACCTTGCATGTCTTGTGTGCCCACCAGGGAACTAGCACTTTAGAAATATGTTCTTATCTAAGTCTCACCACAAACTCTGTTGAGAGTGGGTAATATTTCCCCATTTTACAGAATCCTTAGATCAGAGATGTTTAATAATTTGTCTAAAGTCACATTGCAAGGAAGTAACTGACCTAGGATTGAAAGTCAGTTCTGTATGGCTCCAAATTCTGTACTATTTCTGTTTTACTCCCTGTTTTACCCCCCTTTCTCTGACACAATCTTTCTGTCCCTCTTTAATTTTTTTAAGTTGTTTAACCAACAATGCAATTCTTTCATTGACTTTCCTCCCATAAATGAGTCTCAGGTTCACCTCTATTTATGTGAATGCTATTTTGTCCCTCAGGCCTCTGACATTGGAGCATCAATGACGATCCATGCCTTTGGGGCCTACTTTGGCTTGGCTGTAGCAGGCATCTTGTATCGATCTGGACTGAGAAAGGGGCATGAAAATGAAGAGTCCGCATACTACTCAGACTTGTTTGCAATGATTGGTGAGTGTGGATAAACTTGCTTGAATCTTATCTATTTGAAAAGGCACCAGAGAAGGTTAACTTCAACAAGGGTGTGAGATGCTCAAAAAGAACATCCAAGCCAGGCATGGTAGTGAACGACTGTATCCTCAGCTACTCAGGAGGCTGAGGTGGGATTACTTGAGCCCAGGAGTTTGAGTCCAGCCTGGGTAACATAATGAGACTCCATCTCTAAAAAATAATAATAATAATAATAAATTCAATTAAACTTTGAAAAAATGAGCATCTTTTGCATACTACTTTATGCTGGCTCAATTCTCCTCTTTTCTCTTAACTGTAGATAATCAAGACTAAACAGAGACATTGTCAGTGGCCAAAGGAAACTACATCCTCCAGGCTGGGCGTGGTGGCTCACGCCTGTAATCCCAGCACTTTGGGAGGCCGAGGCGGGTGGATCACGAGGTCAGGAGTTCGAGACCAGCCTGACCAACATGCTGAAACCCCGTCTCTACTAAAAATACAAAAAAAAGTTAGGTGGACATGGTAGCCCGCACCTGTAATCCCAGCTACTCAGGAGGCTGAAGCAGAAGAATTGCTTGAACCTGAGAGGTGGAAGTTGCAGTTAGCAGAGATCAAGCCACTGCACTCCAGCCTGGGTGACAGAGGGACACTCCATCTCAAAAATAAATAAATAAACAAATAAATAAGTAAATAAATAAATAAAGCAAACTGCATCCTCTGGACTGTCTTCCATATTCAGAACTAATATCCCCTCTTTTGGTTCACTACAGGGACTCTCTTTCTGTGGATGTTTTGGCCCAGCTTTAACTCGGCCATTGCTGAACCTGGAGACAAACAGTGCAGGGCCATTGTAAACACGTACTTCTCTCTCGCTGCCTGTGTGCTCACAGCCTTTGCCTTCTCCAGCCTAGTGGAGCACCGAGGCAAGCTCAACATGGTAAGTGCCGCCTTAGCCCTCATGGAAATTTTGCTTCACAACACTGACAGTTGCTCAGATAAGTAGTAGGTAATTTCTGCATCACTGCTGAACTCTCAAGACAAATCAGAAGCAGACCTTGTAGAATGTTCTAAAAACAACAACATTTATTCATTAATTCACTTATTCATCAAATCTGTACCCTGGGCTGGGCGCAGTGGCTAATGCCTGTAATCCCAGCACTTTGGGAGGCCTAGACAGGGGGATTACCTGAGGTCAAGAGTTCAAGACAAGCCTGGCCAACATGGAGAAACCCTGTGACTACTAAAAATACAAAAAAAAAAAAAATTAGCCAGGCGTGGAGGCAGACACCTGTCATCCCAGCTACTCGGGAGGCTGAGGCAGGAGAATCACTTGAACCTGGGAGGTGGAGGTTGCAGTGAGCCGAGATTATGCCATTGCACTCCAGACTAGGCAACAAGAGCGAAACTCCATCTCACAAAGAAAAAAAAAAAGAAAAAAAAAATTTTTGTCCTGGAAGATTAAAAAATGTTCTCAAGGGATTTACAGTCTAGTAGAGAATGAAGGTAGTCTTGTAAAAATCTTTGATTTGAGGTATATTTCTTTAATAATAGAGTTAACTGCTCCCAAGTTCTGAGAAAAGATTTCTTAGAAACAAGATTTATCAAACAGCAGAAAAAGAGAGTGGGATGATGCACACTGATTCTATTCTCCCAACTGCAAACATTCCTCTCAAAGAAATAACAACTAAATGCAATGTGGGATCTTCAATAGGATACTAGAAAAAATTTCAGTAGGAATAATGGTGAAATTCAAATGTCTTTAATAGTATTTTATCAATGCTAATTTCGATTCCATGGTTATGTAAGATTAACATCTTATTTGAGAAACTGGATGAGGGACATATGGAAACATTCTGTAGCATTTTTACAACTTTTATGTGTCTGCAATTAGTTCAAAATAAAATATTTTTTAAATTCCCCCAAATTGGTCTCTTGAGTTTCTTGCCTATGAGCTAGAGAAACACCAGTAAAGGAGTAACCCTCAGATCAGCCAGTCTACCCTTCTAGCTGGGTGGGGCAGGTGGGGTGGAGTGGGGAGGAAAATGCTATTGTAATTTATTTTTTAAGCATTGCTGAGGACATATATCTTATTTCTCCACAAATTGTCTCATGAGAGGTCATTAAAAACAATGAAAAGGAAAAATCGCACAGTTCAGTGTTTCTCTTTTAAAAGTACTGATGACCTCTGCTTCTCAGACAGAATAGCCAGACTGCAACTTTTCTGAGAAATTCTGCTAAACAAAAATTGATTCCTGTCCGGGCACAGTGGTTCATGCCTGTAATCCCAGTGCTTTGGGAGGCCAAGGTGGGTGGATCACCTGAGGTCAGGCATTCCAGAACAGCCTGGCCAACATGGCGAAACCCCATCTCTACTAAAAATACAAAAATTAGCTGGACATGGTGGCGTGCACCTGTAATCCCAGCTACTAGAGAGGCTGAGGCAGGAGAATCACTTGAACCCAGGAGGTGGAGGTTGCAGTGAGCCAAGATCGCGCTGCTGCACTCCAGCCTGGGAGACAGAGCAAGACTCCATCTCGAAAAAAAAAAAAAAAAATCAGTTCCTCTTTCCTTCATCCTCAAATGTCCTCAATCCAGTGACATTTGCAAAAACTATTGTCTTTCATATGTAATGTGTACATTTCAATGTCTCTACATTTCCTCTTTGAATATTAGAATATCATAGACTACAAAACACACGGTGGCCATAGTCATCTTTTGGTTCATGATAACCACAAATGTGTTCCGAAAACTGCATAAATAGAAAAAACATTGCGAGAATATTTGCTCTAAACACTCCTACCCTCCCACTACAACATCTTTTGATTTTCTCAAATGTCTTCCACCACTGGCCTTAAAGAGTTAAGCTGATTACTCATTCACTACCAAGGGACCGGCAAGAAAGATACCAAATGTCAACTTCTTGAAAGAAAGGCCTTCTATAAATCCAAACAAACCTCTTTTTAAAAAAGAACCAATAGCCCTTTCAACTGAAGAATGTGATGTGGGTCTCTTGAACTCTAGAATCCTCTGATCCTTCTGAATTCTCCATCATCCAGCTCACCTCATTTATGTTTCTGCCGCTCACACAGGTTCACATTCAGAATGCCACCCTTGCTGGAGGAGTTGCTGTGGGCACTTGTGCGGATATGGCAATTCACCCATTTGGTTCTATGATTATTGGGAGCATTGCAGGAATGGTCTCTGTGCTTGGATACAAGTTCCTGACTGTAAGTACAGCAGATGTTCTGAGTCAAACTCTGAATCTGCACCTTTTTTCTCACATGTCCCACCAGCAGAAAAAAAGCTACTAAGTTTTATTTTATAAACATTTTTATTTGGAGACCATTTGCCTTCTTTTTGGAAATACCACTCCCATTTCAGTGGTTCAGTGGTTCTACTCTGCCCTGACTTCTGTGTAACAGGAAAGAATCCAGTATCAATTATTTATAATTTAGTTTGAATTAAATGTTAAGTACATGGCCATTACTTTCCTTTGGGACTGCTCCATTGAAGTTGTTGTTGTTATTTGTCTTATGTAATTAAGGACTCTGCTCTTTTAAGAGATTTAGGATGTCGGCCAAGCATGGTGGCTCACAGCTATAATCCCAGCACTTTGGGAGGCTGAGGCAGGCAGATCACCTGAGGTCAGGAGTTCAAGACCAGCCTGGACAACATGGTGAAACCCCCGTCTCTACTAAAAAAAAAAATACAAAAATTAGCCGGGCATGGTGGCGGGTACCTGTAATCCTAGCTACTGGGGAGGCTAAGGCAGGAGAATCACTTGAACCCGGGAGGTGGAGGTTGCAGTGAGCCGAGATGGCACCATTACCCTCCAGCCTGGGCAATGGAGTGAGACTCTGTCTCAAAAGAAAAAAAAAAAAAAGAGAGATTTAGGATGTCATCAGTAGGTGAGAAGGAGTAGAATGTGAAATGATTCCTTTCAAACCCATCCACTAAAGACTGAAATGGGCAGTTTTGCCACAACTATATATTCAAATCCTTTAACTTTAAGTGGACTTCAGATATGGATGGAGAACTGTGCTCTACGTAAAATTTCTTCTGGGTGGAGAAGGAAATGGGGAGATGTAGTTCAGAGAATGCAAAGTAGCAGGAATACAGGAGGAATATGCCTAGAGCGCTAATGCACAGCATGAGGATTATAGGTAGTAAAATTGTACTATATATCTGTACATAGAATTTATTCTAAATGAGGAGATTTTTAGCTACTCTTAACACAAAAAAACAACAATAAAAGTAACTATGTAAGATGTTGGAGACGTTAATATTCTTCACTATATGACCTTTTTCTCTCTATATGTATCTCATAACATCATGTTGTATACCTTAAATATACATAAAAATTATTTATAAAATACTTTTTCTCCATGGAAGAATAGAGCCCAGCTATAGCTCTGTTTCAGTTCTAGAGTTCTATATGTTTAACTAAATAATAAACCTTCTTCCTTTTATAATTTTAGCCACTTTTTACTACTAAACTGAGGATCCATGATACATGTGGGGTCCATAACCTCCACGGCTTACCTGGTGTAGTGGGAGGCCTTGCAGGCATTGTGGCAGTAGCAATGGGCGCCTCCAACACGTGAGTAAAAGAATGGGTTTTTCAGCCCCTGTGGTCCCATGATGTTTTCTCTCACTCTGAGAAATGGGAGAGTTTTCATTTTAGCTGTTCTGGCCATGGTTTGTATTGTCTTTACTGGAGCCAAAGAGACGCGCCTGAGAGAAGATCATTAGAATAAAATTATATTGGAAGAGGCATTTTAACTGAAATTGTTAATTTAAAAAAATTAACAGTGTTATTTTAAATGTCTTTACCAGAAACAACTGTCTCCTAGCAGACAGGGAAATTTGATAATCACAGTCAGATTATAGAAGGATTAGTCTTTTTCTTGATCTCTCCAAAATGGAGGAGGAGGCACATATGATGAGCTGAACAGTCAGTTCCATCCAATCCACACAAAGAAGGATGAGTTGGAATAATACAGAAAGCAGTTGGTTCTGCAGAATCAACAACACTGGTATATGGCCCCAACTCTGCTACTAACTAGTTATGTGACCTCTGAGGTATCACTCAGCATTTCTGGTTTTCAGTCTTCTCCTCTGTAAAATAAGAAGATTGGAGTATTTATTCTCCAAAATCCCTTCTAGCTCTATCAGATGTAGATTCTTCCCTAAGTTGGGTATAAATGTTTACTTAAATGACCAGAGGAAAAACAACTATCAAGCAAACCCCAGAGAATGGAAGGGATGCCACAATATTGGAACAATTTGGTATGAATGTCATCCATGTGAAAAAGCTGAGAAGATCATAGAGTCCAGATCACACAGAGTAAATTAAGAAAAATCAGAATGCTCAATTTTTTTAAATTGTGTGTACTTTAAGTTCTGGATACATGTGCAGAATGTGCAGGTTTATTACATAGGTATACATGTATCTTGGTGGTTTGCTGCACCCATCAGCCAGTCATCTAGGTTTTAAGCCCCGTGTGCATTAGGTATTTGTCCTAATGCTCTCCCTCCCCTTGTACCCCACCCCCCATCAGGTCCGGCTGTGTGATGTTCTCCTCCCTGTGTCCATGTGTTCTCACTGTTCAACTCCCACTTATAAGTGAGAACATGCGGTGTTTGGTTTTCTGTTCCCGTGTTAGTGTGCTGAGAATGATGGTTTCCAGCTTCATCCATGTCCCTGCAAAGGACATTAACTCATTTTTTTTTATGGCTGCATAGCAGAATGCTCAATTTTTAAATCCAATTGAAAGCATGAAGAAGAGGGAAATGTGTGTCTAGAAATGTCTGAATGATCACTAACTAGAGGTGCATAATTTAAAAAGAAAAATCTTATCTTCAGTTTTAGCAGATTAAAATTTAACCCTGTTGAGATCAATAATAATAAATACTTGAAAAACGCATTTAATCATATTTCCTACTAAGTAGTTTGCTTCCTTCTTCATGTGTACAGTTGACACATTTCTTCTGTATTTTTTAACCCTTTTTGCAAATTTAGAAGACAGCTCCAGAATATGCACATCTTTTTCAGTTCCTGAGACTGTAGAGATCAAACACTAAAATATTTTAATGCAAATTAAGCATGATAAAAGCCTGTGTGAATGAGCTCAACTCCTCAGTGTTGGAGTGTGCATACACTGTGCAAACACCCTAAGAGGTGCCTATGATTAAGAATTCTTGAGCATCATGCCTAGAACAGTTTCACAGATGCAATAAAACACGTCTATCTGGCTCTCAAAAGGGAGGCCTCACTGGGAGGTCAGACATTGGTTAAGTCTCATGGTTGAGGGTCTGGTCCTTGGGAATGCAGGTTTAGAAACATCTCAATTTATTCGTTGGTGGGGGTAGGAGGCAGAGGAATATCAGAAGAGGGGAAGGGGGGCAAGCCTTGAAGGTGCATTCACTTCGGTAAAATTTACATATCTCACACCAAATAAAATACTGCCTGAGAACCAAACTACTTACATGTGTCTATTCAGAATATTAAAATGCAAATTAGGTTTTTGGTAAGCATAGAACAAGGGAAAGTTAATATTCTTAAGGGATGTTTTTGCAAATTATAGCAGCATAACTCTAGTAATGCTGTTAATTTTGTATAAATCAGTGTTTTCCAAGTTTATTTGATCACAGAACACTTGTTATCAAAAATATCTTTTAAGACCTTGTAAAAGATCTTGGCAAATTCCTATAAAATTAACAGGAAATTTACAAAAGAAGAAAATCAAATAAGTATATATAAAATACTCAACTTCACTCATAATCAAAGAAATGCAAATTAAAACAAGCTACCAGTTTTTCACTTATCAAAGCGATAAAGCATGAATGAATTAATAATAATAATAATACTGAATAATGGCTAAAGTAAAAAATTGGAATATAAATTGTACAATTTTCTATTTGGAAAAGTTCTTAAGAAGTATATAGACCGGACACGGTGGCTCAAGCCTGTAATCCTAGCACTTTGGGAGGCCGAGGCAGGTGGATCATCTGAGGTCAGGAGTTTGAGACCAGCCTGGCCAATATGGTGAAACCCCATCTCTACTAAAAACACAAAAAGTACCCGGCATGGTGGTGGGTGCCTATAATCCCAGCTACTTGCGAGGCTGAGTCAGGAGAATTGCTTGAACGCGGGGAGGAGACAGCAGTGAGCTGAGATCACCTCACTTCACTCTAGCCTGGCAACAGAGCGAGACTCCGTCTCAAAAAAAAGAGGTATATGTAGCCTTTTACTAATATTCTCATTTCTAGATAGGTTTTATATTAGGAAAATAATCAGACAAGTTCATAAGCATGTTCAGAGGAGATGTTCTCACAGCATTTTTAAAAATATGAAACACTGGAAGCAACCAATACTTTGCACAATTCAAACTATGGTCCAGATCTACACTGACTCACATAAACGGATCCCTAAAACATATTTAATGTGAAAATAAGTAATATAGTAAGATTGCATTTTAATAAAAATACATGTTTTTATTTTACATTTTTATTCTGATACAATCTGAGGGATATTAAACTTTTCTGCTTCTTTTTGTTATCTGCAGTTTCTAATGTTTTCACAATGATATGTTACTTGTGCAGTTTTTTTATATATTAAAATATGTAAACCCTTCAGATAAGGAGAAAAAAAAAGGAATCTGAGTTTAGTGCATCCTTTCCCTTGGATGATGAGACTGGAAGACCAAAAAAACTCTTATTTTCCAATTGTTTTATTCATTGGAGTCACTCATTCAGTCTTTCAACAACTCTTTATTGTCTGCTATGAGTAAGCTGCTGTGCTAAGAAGATCCCCACATTCCCAGGTCATTTGTCATTCATATAACACCTTTATGCACTTCAATGGCCTTTTATCACATTCTTTCATTCTCAAAATTACAAAGTATTTTTTACTAATTTCAGTTTAAGGCAATGACTTCTAAGATGACATATAGAGATATACTTGAATATCTTCAATGAGCTATCTCTACAATATATGCTGAAATTAGCTTTAGTAGCTCATGTTGTTTTATGTATTACTCTATCCTCTGTTCCTAGAAAAGAAACTGACAGAGAGTGGATACTCAATATTTATTAAATGAATCAGATCAGGTATCAATTTTTTGAGAGTGCTAAACCCTCCCTAAGGAAAGTCTTATTTCCAAAGTTTACATGAAAAGATGATTCTCTTCTTTAAGGTGTATCTCAGAATTTTCTAACACTGCTCAAGAGTTTCAAAGAAAATAAGAATATGAAAGAAAAATTGTAACAAATGCTTAATTTGCTGCTGTGTAATGTTACACTCTGGCCTGAAGATGGCAGTCATCCACACCCTCAGTGAGTGAGACTTTCTTTGGCTGAGATCCAGGAAAGACACTGATTCTTTTTTGTTTGCTTCCTTAGGTCTATGGCCATGCAGGCAGCTGCACTGGGTTCCTCTATCGGAACAGCAGTTGTTGGAGGTCTGATGACAGGTCAGCATAAAAAGTGAACACTTCCCTGTATCTTATGCTCTCAGATTATTTACAATAGATAATTAATGAGCAAGTCAATTGCTAAATTCAAAAATGTTCTAAACTTCTGGCAGTAAAGTAATTATGTCATTTAAAGGGGATGATTTTATAATAGTATATAAGCTACTATGCAAGTAGATTTTCCTCTTCAGCGTCACAACATGACTCATTTTCCCTCTACCGTCACAGGTTTAATTCTAAAGTTGCCTCTCTGGGGACAGCCATCTGACCAGAACTGCTATGATGATTCTGTTTATTGGAAGGTACTGTACAGTATTCTAAACAAGAATGTGAACGATGACTCCATTAGTGAAAGCTTTACACACTTCAAGCCTAGATATCTGTGTGCATAGGTGTGATGAAATTGAGTTAGCCTGGCATGGTAGGTAGCTCACACATGTAATCTCAGCACGTTGGGCGGCTGAGGCTGGAGGATTGTTTGATGCCAGGAGTTTGGGTCCAGCCTGGGCAACTCTCTACAAAAATTATAAATAATAAATTTAAAATTTTTCTTTCAATGGGATGTCAAGTGTAAAAGAAAAATAAATAAATGAAAAGAAACTGAATGAACTACCTATTTATAGAAAGAAATTGAGATGATGTGCCCAGCCAGATAAAATCAGAAGTTATGGTATTTTCTAAAGCAGAAGGAAAGAGAAAGAAAGACAGACAGAAAGACAGAAAGACAGAAAGAAAAGAATTTAGTTAGTAAATGTTGTTTCACTCCTCTGAGAGCCATAAAAAGCTATTCGTAAAAATAATATGAATTCTCAGAAATAGTGTGAGATTTTATACCATATATAGTCCACAGGTTTATTTGGTTAAAAACAAAAAACAAAAGAAATTTAACATAATTTTAAACTATGCTATACATAAAAGTAGTCAAAAGCAAGTGAAATATATAAGGTTGAAGAATTTGAGTGAGTACACATCAAGAGGTCCTATGAATAACGAAACATCAGCCTCTTTCTATCCTCCAGTTTCTCTTTACTCTATTGATACTTTTTCCCAAATTATTTCCCGCAAAGCTTGAGAGGGATAGATGTTTGGGTGTTTTCAGCAAAATTTCAGAGAGAATGAGTTTGGAAAAGCGGGAATGTAGTCAGGGTGGGTGAGATAAATGTTTTATTCTTTTATTTTTCTTCAACTCAAACAATTTTTATTCCCAGTTCTTTCCAAGCTTGAATAATAATTACCAAAAATATTTTTGTTTCAATACTAATTTCTGACAAGAACAGTGAAATAAACTATTAAGTGCCCTCAAACTTGTTTTTTTAAAGGTCCCTAAGACGAGATAACTTGACAATCAGTTCCATGGACATGGTGACCACAGCCAGCTGGAACCTGAAGTCTAAACACCATTCCTGCTCTCCAGCTTCCTTTCCCATTATCCAGAATCAAGTCCAAATAAACAAAAAGGGAGTAACCAAAGAGAGTATGGACCAGAGTGAATAGATCCTAAGTCCCAAATGGCCAGTGTAAAAATGTCCTTATGTCTGATGCTGTCTCTTGCTCTTCAATGATTAATTGAGGGGATGTTACTCATAAAACAGATAATCAAATAGATCTTCTCCAGGATTCCCAAAAAGCTTTTGGCAGTGAGTAAATACAGAGTAAACATGTCAGTTTCTTAATGTAGACACTATGTCTTCAATCCCAAAAATTATAAAACTGAAACCCATGAAGCAAGAATAGATGTGAGAAATCTATGTAAAAAAATAATTAAAGAAATGCATGTGTGTAAAGTAGTAATATGATGATTTTAGGTAGTGCTTTTTATTTTAAAAATAGTCTAGTTAGTAATGTTGTATCCTTGCATGAATATTATTCTTAATTCCTTTTGCATGTTGACTATTTGCAACGAGCTCAAATGCTATCTGATCAAAGTCTATTTTGCATAAAATGTCCAATAATTAAATATTGTTATAAAATAAAACATCAGTCTTTGACTCTCCTTTCTTTGGTAGTTGGAATTCATGTCAGTAACAAGCACACAGGTGCACACACACACACTTCATATTTAGTCCACACTCAATTTAAATATTTATCATGTATTTGCTATTTTTAAAAAATCAAGTTAATGTCTCATTATAGAATGTTGTAAAAAGTTAAATTTTAGAAAAGATAACTGACATCGTCAAAAAATCATTTTTAAGAAAATCAAATAACTTATTTTTTCTATCTGGAAGCTTTTAAAGATTTTTCTTCTAGCCTTGGAGTCCTGAAATGTTCCCAAGATGTATCTAGGTATCAACAAGGAAATCAGCCCTACCATAATTAACAGAACACCAGCTTCAGAATGAACTTAAAAATTATAACTAAGAGTGGATTATTTAATATTTTATTCCTTGAAAAAAATTATATAATTTATATTTTATTCATGTATATTACTTGACATAGTTGACTTCTTTTCTTTTATTTTATTTTATATATATAATTTTTATTATACTTTAAGTTCTAGGGTACATGTGCACAACGTGCAGGTTTGTTACATATGTACACATGTGACTTGTT
This sequence comes from Homo sapiens, assembly GCF_000001405.40. NCBI lineage: Eukaryota > Metazoa > Chordata > Mammalia > Primates > Hominidae > Homo > Homo sapiens. Next base: position 49,604,596 of record NC_000006.12, on the reverse strand, counting down.
GGTGTGCTGCACCCATTAACTCATCATTTACATTAGGTATATCTCCTAATGCTGTCCCTCCCCCCTCCCCCCACCACACAACAGGCCCCAGTGTGTGATGTTCCCCTTCCTGTGTCCAAGTGTTCTCATTGTTCAATTCCCACCTATGAGTGAGAACATGCGATGTTTGGTGTTTTGTCCTTGCGATAGTTTGCTGAGAATGATGGTTTCCAGCTTCATCCATGTCCCTACAAAGGACATGAACTCATCCTTTTTTATGGCTGCATAGTATTCCATGGTGTATATATGCCACATTTTCTTAATCCAGTCTATCATTGATGGACATTTGGGTTGGTTCCAAGTCTTTGCTATTGTGAATAGTGGTGCAATAAACATACATGTGCATGTGTCTTTATAGCAGCATGATTTACAATCCTTTGGCATATACCCAGTAATAGGATGGCTGGGTCAAATGGTATTTCTAGTTCTAGATCCCTGAGGAATCGCCACACTGTCTTCCACAATGGTTGAACTAGTTTACAGTCCCACCAACAGTGTAAAAGTGTTCCTATTTCTCCACATCCTCTCTAGCACCTGTTCTTTCCTGACTTTTTAATGATCACCATTCTAACTGGTGTGAGATGGCATCTCATTGTGGTTTTGATTTGCATTTCTCTGATGACCAGTGATGATGAGCATTTTTTCATGGGTCTGTTGGCTGCATAAATGTCTTCTTTTGAGAAGTGTCTGTTCATATCCTTTGCCCACTTGTTGATGGGGTTATTTGTTTTTTTCTTGTAAATTTGTTTAAGTTCTTTGTAGATTCTGGATATTAGCCCTTTGTCAGATGAGTAGATTGCAAAAATTTTCTCCCATTCTGTAGGTTGCCTGTTCATTCTGATGGTAGTTTCTTTTGCTGTGCAGGAGCTCTTTAGTTTAATTAGATCCCATTTGTCAATTTTGTCTTTTGTTGCCATTGCTTTTGGTGTTTTAGACATGAAGTCCTTGCCCATGCCTATGTCCTGAATGGTATTGCCTAGGTATTCTTCTGGGGTTTTTAAGGTTTTAGGTCTAACATTTAAGTCTTTAATCCATCTTGAATTAATTTTTGTGTAAGGTGTAAGGAAGGGATCCAGTTTCAGCTTTCTACATATGGCTAGCCAGTTTTCCCAGCACCATTTATTAAATAGGGAATCCTTTCCCCATTTCTTGCTTTTGTCAGGTTTGTCAAAGATCAGATGGTTGTAGATGTGTGGTATTATTTCTGAGGGCTCTGTTCTGTTCCGTTGGTCTATATCTCTGTTTTGGTACAAGTACCATGCTGTTTTGGTTACTATAGCCTTGTAGTATAGTTTGAAGTCAGGTAGTGTGATGCCTCCAGCTTTGTTCTTTTCGCTTAGGATTGACTTGGCAATGGGGGCTCTTTTTTGGTTCCATATGAACTTCAAAGTGTTTTTTTCGAGTTCTGTGAAGAAAGTCATTGGTAGCTTGATGGGGATGGCATTGAATCTAAAAATTACCTTGGGCAGCATGGGATTTTCACGATATTGATTATTCCTACCCATGAGCATGGAATGTTCTTCCATTTGTTTGTATCCTCTTTTATTTCGTTGAGCAGTGGTTTGTAGTTCTCCTTGAAGAGGTCCTTCACATCCCTTGTAAGTTGGATTCCTAGGTATTTTATTCTCTCTGTAGCAATTGTGAATGGGAGTTCACTCATGATTTGGCTCTCTGTTTGTCTGTTATTGGTGTATAAGAATGCTTTTGATTTTTGCACATTGATTTTGTATCCTGAGACTTTGCTGAAGTTGCTTATCAGCTTAAGGAGATTTTGGGCTGAGACAATGGGGTTTTCTAGATATACAATCATGTCATCTGCAAACAGGGACAATTTGACTTCCTCTTTTCCTAATTGAATACCCTTTATTTCTTTCTCCTGCCTGATTGACCTGGCCAGAACTTCCAACACTATTTTGAATAGGAGTGGTGAGAGAGGGCATCCCTGTCTTGTGCCACTTTTCAGAGGGAATGCTTCCAGTTTTTGTCCATTCAGTATGATATTGGCTGTGGGTATGTCATAAATAGCTCCTATTATTTTGAGATATGTCCCATCAATACCTAATTTATTGAAAGTTTTTAGCATGAAGGGCTGTTGAATTTTGTCAAAGGCCTTTTCTGCATCTAGTGAGATAATCATGTGGTTTTTGTCGTTGGTTCTGTTTATATGCTGGATTACATTCATTGATTTGCATATGTTGAACCAGCCTTGCATCCCAGGGATGAAGCCCACTTAATCATGGTGGATAAGCTTTTTGATATGCTGCTGGACTGGATTTGCCAGTATTTTATTGAGGATTTTTGCATCGATGTTCATCAGGGATATTGGTCTAAAATTCTCTTTTTTTGTTGTGTCTCTGCCAGGCTTTGGTATCAGGTTGATGCTAGCCTCATAAAATGAGTTAGGGAGGATTCCCTCTTTTTCTATTGATTGGAATAGTTTCAGGAGGAATGGTACCAGTTCCTCCTTGTACCTCTGGTAGAATTCGGCTGTGAATCCATCTGGTCCTGGACTTTTTTTGGTTGGTAAGCTATTAATTATTGCCTCAATTTCAGAGCCTGTTATTGGTCTATTCAGAGATTCAACTTCTTCCTGGTGTAGTCTGGGGATGGTGTATGTGTCCAGGAATTTATCCATTTCTTCTAGATTTCCTATTTTATTTGTGTAGAGGTGTTTATAGTATTCCCTGATGGTAGTTTGTATTTCTGTGGGATTGGTGGTGATATCCCCTTTATCATTTTTTGTTGCATCTATTTGATTCTTCTCTCTTTTCTTCTTTATTAGTCTTGCTAGCGGTCTATCAATTTTGTTGATCTTGTCGAAAAACAAGCTCCTGGATTCATTGATTTTTTGAAGGATTTTTCGTGTCTCATCTCCTTCAGTTCTGCTCTGATCTTAGTTATTTCTTGCCTTCTGCTAACTTTTGAATGTGTTTGCTCTTGCTTCTCTGGTTCTTTTAATTGTGATGTTAGGGTGTCAATTTTAGATCTTTCCTGCTTTCTCTTGTGGGCATTTAGTGCTATAAATTTCCCTCTACATACTGCTTTAAATGTGTCCCAGAGATTCTGGTATGTTGTGTCTTTGTTCTCATTGGTTTCAAAGAACATCTTTATTTCTGCCTTCATTTTCTTATGTACCCAGTAGTCATGCAGGAGCAGGTTGTTCAGTTTCCATGTATTTGTGCAATTTTGAGTGAGTTTCTTAATCCTGAGTTCTAGTTTGATTGCACTGTGGTCTGAGAGACAGTTTGTTTTGATTTCTGTTCTTTTACATTTGCTGAGGAGTGCTTTACTTCCAACTATGTTGTCAATTTTGGAATAGGTGTGGTGTGGTGCTGAGAAGAATGTATATTCTGTTGATTTGGGGTGGAGAGTTCTGTAGATGTCTATTAGGTCCACTTGGTGTGGAGCTGAGTTCAATTCCTGGATATCCTTGTTAACTTTCTGTCTCGTTGATCTGTCTAATGTTGACAGTGGGGTGTTAAAGTCTCCCATTATTAATGTGTGGGAGTCTAAGTCTCTTTGTAGGTCTCTACAATCTGGGTGCTCCTGTATTGGGTGCATATATATGTAGGATAGTTAGGTCTTCTTGTTGAATTAATCTCTTTACCATTATGTAATGGCCTTCTTTGTCTCTCTTGATCTTTGTTGGGTTGAAGTCTGTTTTATCAGAGACTAGGATTGCAACCCCTGCCTTTTTTTGTTTTCCATTTGCTTTGTAGATCTTTCTTCATCCCTTTATTTTGAGCCTATCTGTGTCTCTGCACATGAGTTGGGTTTCCTGAATACAGCACACTGATGGGTATTGACTCTTTATCCAATTTGCCAGTCTGTGTCTTTTAATTGGAGCATTTAACCCACTTACATTTAAGGTTAATATTGTTATGTGTGAATTTGATCCTGTCATTATGATGTTAGCTGGTTATTTTCTCATTAGTTGCTGCAGTTTCTTCCTAGCATCGATGGTCTTTACAATTTGGTATGGTTTTGCAGTGGCTTGTACCAGTTGTTCTTTTCCATGTTTAGTGCTTCCTTCAGGAGCTCTTTTAGGGCAGGCCTGGTGGTGACAAAATCTCCCAGCGTTTGTTTGTCTGTAAAGGATTTTATTTCTCTTTCACTTATGAGGCTTAGTTTGGCTGGATATGAAATTCTGGGTTGAAAATTCTTTTCTTTAAGAATGTTGAATATTGGCCCGCACTCTCTTCTGGCAGTTTCTGCCAAGAGATCTGCTGTTAGTCTGATGGTCTTCCCTTTGTGGGTAACCCAGCCTTTCTCTCTGGCTGCCCTTAACGTTTTTTCCTTCATTTCAACTTTGGTGAATCTGACAAGTATGTGTCTTGGAGTTGCTCTTTTCGAGGAGTATCTTTGTGGAGTTCTCTGTATTTCCCGAATTTGAATGTTGGCCTGCCTTGCTAGGTTGGGGAAGTTCTCCTGGATAATATCCTGCAGAGTGTTTTCCAACTTGGTTCCATTCTCCTCGTCACTTTCAGGTACACCAATCAGACGTACATTTGGTCTTTTCACAAAGTCCCATATTTCTTGGAGGCTTTGTTCATTTCTTTTTACTCTTTTTTCTCTAAACTTCTCTTCTCACTTCATTTCATTCATTTGATCTTCAATCACTGATACCCTTTCTTCCAGGTGATCGAATCGGCTACTGAAGCCTGTGCATTCGTCACATAGTTCTCGTGCCATGGTTTTCAGCTCCATCAGGTCCTTTAAGGACTTCTCTGTGTTGGTTATTATAGTTAGCCATTCGTCTAATCTTTTTTCAAGGTTTTTAGTTTCTTTGCGATGGGTTCAAACTTCCTCCTTTAGCTCAGAGAAGTTTGATCATCTGAAGCCTTCTCTCAACTCGTCAAAGTTATTCTCCATCCAGCTTTGTTCTGTTGCTGGTGAGGAACTGCGTTCCTTTGGAGGAGGAGAGGCACTCTGATTTATAGAATTTTCTGTTTTTCTGTTCTGTTTTTTCCCCATCTTTGTGGTTTTATCTACCTTTGGTCTTTGATGATGGTGACATACAGATGGGGTTTTGGTGTGGATGTCCTTTCTGTTTGTTAGTTTTCCTTCTAACAGTCAGGACTTTCAGCTGCAGGTCTGTTGGAGTTTGCTGAAGATCCACTCCAGACCCTGTTTTCCTGGGTATCAGCAGCAGAGGCTGCAGAACAGTGAATACTGCTGAACAGCAAATGTTGCTGCCTGATCATTCCTCTGGAAGTTTTGTCCCAGAGGGGTACCCGGCCGTGTGGGTGTCAGTCTGCCCCTACTGGGGAGTGCCTCCCCGTTAGGCTACTTGGGGGTCAGGGACCCACTTCAGGAGGCAGTCTGTCCCTTATCAGATCTCAAACTCCATTCTGGGAGAACCACTACTCTTTTCAAAACTATCAGGCAGGGACATTTAAGTCTGCAGAGGTTTCTGCTGCCTTTTGTTCAGCTATGACCTGCCCCCAGAGGTGGAGTCTACAGAGGGAGGCAGGCCTCCTTGAGCTGCAGTGGGCTCCTCCCAGTTCGAGCTTCCTGGCCACTTTGTTTACCTACTCAAGCCTCAGCAATGGTGGGTGCCCCTCCCCCAGCCTCCCTACCTCCTTGCAGTTCAATCTCCTACTGCTGTGCTAGCAATGAGCGAGGCTCCATGGGCATGGGACCCTCTGAGCCAGGTGCACAATATAATCTCCTGGTGTGCCATTTGCTAAGACCATTGGAAAAGCACAGTATTAGGGTGGGAGTGACCTGATTTTCCAGGTGCCGTCTGACACAGCTTTGCTTGGCTAGGAAACAGAAATCCCTGACGCTTTGCACTTCCCGGGTGAGGCGATGTCTCACCCTGCTTCAGCTCACACTTGGTGCACTGCACCCAGTGTCCTGCACCCACTGTCGAACAAGCCCCAGTGAGATGAACCCGGTACCTCAGTTGGAAATGCAGAAATCACCCGTCTTCTGCATTGCTCGTGCTGGGAGCTGTAGACTGGAGCTGTTCCTATTCGGCCATCTTGGAACTGCCCCCTAGTTGACTTCTTTTAAACACACGTCAGAACTTCTTTCAAATAGGTGTTCTGGAGTGTGCTCATTTATAAAGTCCACTCTTCTCTCCCTTCTGATCCTTAAAAAGAATCATTTTCATTACCAGGGTAATGAGACCCCCTCCCCTCCCTGCTGATCATAAAGCAAATCTTGGAGGGTCTTGGGTATACTCAGGAATATAAGTAAGTCTATCATTTTGATGTGCCAGGGAACTGGCTCATGATCATCATCACTCCCTGGCTTGTAAACACTCTCTCCTGCCTTCCTGCAAGGCAGTTCTTGTAAGTAATAAAGCCTTATTTTTCAAATTCTGAGATAGTGGTCTTCTTTTCACAGTAGAATAATATGTTTTTTATCTATCTTGCCTGGAATTTAGTGAAGCATTTTAATTGTAATACTTGAGTCTTCTGTTCAGTTACATTTTTTTCTACTATTTAGTAACTTTGTCTTCTTCAACTGTTAATTTTTTCTTTTTCTGGCACTCTTGTTATTCATATGGAAAGTCTGCTCGGTCTCTTATCCAAGATCTTCCCGATCTTTATTTCATTGGTTCCATTCATCTATTTCTTCAATTTATTTTTGTTTGTTTCATTGTTGTAAATCATGGTCCATTTTTGTAGGTCCAGCAAATCTGTGTGTGTGTGTTCACACGTGCATACACGTACATGTGCTATGCCTGAATTTCCTTACTTTTATAATTTTGTTTATTGGAGATGGGTGCTATTTTTGTTCAAGTTCAAAATCTGTCTGCAAAACTTAAATAACATCATACTTTATCTCTTCACACACACACACACACACAAACATCTAGGATGTTAACTAATACTGTATTTATGATAATTGGTTGATTTGATTAGAAATCTCGAGTTGTACTTACATGATCAATTCCAGGAAGTCTTTGTTATTCTTTGTTGTTATCTAAATCTGAAAGATTGACTCATAATCACTAACTGCAATTTCAGACAGTTTGGTGAAAGCTGAAATCTTCAGGCTTCCCCAACCCTTTTTTCCATAGTCCGTAACCCATTTCTTGCACAAGACAAGAGAACTCTGCTGAGGAAAGTTGTGGGCGGACTTTTCTAGTAGCTGCATTTTGTTAGAAGCCACTTACTTTGTGTGTTTTCTTGACTCTCTTCACTTTGAGTGCTGGAAGCATTAGGTGGATTGTCCTTTTTCTTTTTGTTTATTCACTGAGGGTTAAATTCCAGCTGCTGAGATACCTTGGGTGACAAAAATCTTAAAAATGAAGGAAGGGACAGTAATCTCTGGCTGAATGGATTAAAGTTTTGCCAGATGCCAAAATAGAACTTCCTTGGATTGGCACCCAAAGGAAATCTCTTTGTTCATTTGTTTTTTCACCTGCTAAAGCGTTGCATTATCTTAGAATCAGGGCTAAAAGTAGCTCAATGTATCTGCTAAGCCCTCCTGCCACCTATGGGGGACCAGAAAGACCCACTGTCATTTCAGGAACACTCAACTGAGAAGCTACATCACGATCCACTGGGAATTCACAAATCTCTGCAAACCAGCTGTACCCACATCCTTAGCTCATGACTCTACAACTGCCTCCAGACTTTCCTCCAACATACAGGAGGGAAGTTCTCTGTAGGTGTTGTCATTGGTGTCTTCCCAGAATCTAAAGGTTTCACATCCTTCAGTCCTGGTTAATGCTCAGCTCAGGAGAGGTCCTATACTTTAATTGTGGACAAGGTTAAGAGGGACACATTGAAGCGCCCATCTCCCCACTTAAATAAGCTATAAAGATGTCACTCCATGTATTTTACAACTCGATAACGTTACATGTTTCATTTAAAGTCTGCTCTTTTAAGAGCAGACACAATTCATTTATTTCTTTGTAACCCTCACATCTTCAATAGAGCACATGTTTTAGGGAAGCTTGTTTAGTGGATGAATTGATAAGTAATTGAATGACTTGAACAAACCAAGGCAATCAGCCTCAAAGAAGCAAAGGTATCCTTTTTTAAATTTATCTGGTTACTCATTTATTCAATAATGATTCATTGAGCACTGGCTAAGTTTGACTTTATAAATACAAAGTCATATAAGATAAAGCTCTTGATATATCCTAGATATATATATATATCCTAGATATATATATATCCTAGATATAGATATATCCTAGATATATATATATATATCCTAGATATAGATATATCCTAGATATAGATATATCCTAGATATATATATATATCCTAGATATAGATATATCCTAGATATATATATATATCCTAGATATATCCTAGATATATGTCCTAGATATATATATATCCTAGATATATATATATCTCCTAGATATATATATCTCCAAGATATATATATATATCTCCTAGATATATATATCTCCAAGATATATATATATATCTCCTAGATATATATATCTCCAAGATATATATATATATCTCCTAGATATATATATCTCCAAGATATATATATATATATCCTAGATATATATATCTAGGATATATATCAAGAGCTTTATCTTATATGACTTTGTATTTATAGAGTCAAACTTAGCCAGTGCTCAATGAATTATTATTGAATAAATGAGATATATATATACATATATATAGATATAGATATAGATACCCTAGAATATAGCTGGTGGATCAGTGACATACTAAAGTGTCTATACTGACAGGTTCTATTATGGTAGCAAACACAGAGTAGTATACATAGGAGGAGACAAGAACCTAAATCAAATTCAGCCACTCAAGGAAAACTTGCCAGAAAAAAATTCAAAATGACATAAAGAAAGCATACAGCTAAGCAGAGACTGGATTAAGAACGAATTCTACTGAAAATAAAACCGATACTCTTTTCCCTGGAGACCACCCTGCTCATGAAATGAAAGATTGAAAGTCTGCTCAATCAATTTCTTCTTCTCTTTTTGAAGGTAGAAGTTATTTGTGTGTGAGTGTGAGTGCTAACGTGGAGTAGGTCAGTTGGGGAGATTAGCAAATGGGAGGAGTTAGCAAACCCATGAACTATCAGATCTCTCCACTTTTCACTTTACTTCCTGGGCCACCTACCTCTATCCCTGTCCAACTCCAGACCTAAGTTCCCTTCTATTTTAGGAGTATAAAATCTAGTCTTTTCTAACTAATAATTTTGGCTTTTATATTGGCCTTATTTTGATGTGTGTCCATTGAAAATCTCTCAGAATAGTATGTATTCCAGCTTCATCTAACATAAATGAGAGCAGTTATAGTGCACCCTAGCTTTGTTAACCAGACAGACACTTCCAAGAATTAATTTGATAGAAAGTATAATTCCATCAAGCTGGGCTCAGTGGCTCACACCTGTAATCCCAGCACTTTGGGAGGCCGAGGCGGGCAGATCACCTGAGGTCAGCAGTTCGAGATCAGCCTGGCCATCATGGTAATACCCCTCCTCTACTAAAAATACAAAAATTAGCCAGGCGTGGTGGCATGCACCTGTAATCCCAGCTACTCAGGAGGCTGAAGCAGGAGAATCACATGAATCCAGGAGGCAGAGATTGCAGTGAGCCGAGATCATGCCATTGCACTCCACCCTGGGCAACAGAGCAAGACTCCATCTCAAAAAAAAAAAATATATATATATATATATATATTTAATGATATAATTTATATATATATATAAATTATATCAGATCTTCTTTTGAACAAAGTCATTCTCCCTTCTTTTGGCCTTGAATTTAATCCCTTCTTAATCTTTTACTATTTAAGTATCTTTAGACAAAATACTTTCTCTCTGAGCCTCTTTATTCAGTTATAAAAAGAGATAATACCTACTCTGCAGAGTTATTTTGAGGATGGGGAGGGACACACAATTCAGTCTATAACAACCATCGGATCCTGATATCCCATTCAAGTTTTGCCAAATGTTTTCATGATTTCCATTATAGCAAAATGATCTAGTTCAGGATTCCACTTTATACCTAGTTTCTTGCCTCTTTAGTCCTTCAGTCTGGAACAGTTCCTTGGTGTTTCTCTGACTTTCATGACCTTGACACTTTTGAAGAATGTAGGCAGTTATTTCATAGAAGGTCCCCACTCTGGGTTTTGCTGATGTTTCCCCATGATTAGATTTAGGTTATACAACTTTAAGAGCAATATCACAAAAGTGAGCCTATATACTGAATTGCATCCTACCAGGTGGAATTCTTTTTGAACTTGTTCCATTATTAATGATTATTCACTTCAATCATTGATGGAGAGCGTGTTTCTCTGCTTTAAAGTTTCTTGTTTTTATCTTTATAATTCATTTTATTTTGTGTGAAAGCAATATGAAATCTTCCACATCCCTATGTCAATGTCCCATTCCTCCTTAATCTTTCAATGCATTCATTTATTAACTTATATCCCTATAGATTCATGATTTTTTTATTTTATTAAATTATTTACAATACATTATAAAAACATTTGTTGTGACGGTGAAATTGTCCCAGATTTGCCAGTGCAAGTCTATTCATGCTGGTTCCTATGTCTTTCTGAGATGTGCTCATCTTATCCTTTTCCTGTTCTAGCTGTTTTCTCAATTCCTAATTTCTTTGTTTTTGTTTTGTTTGTTTGTTTGTTTGTTGTTTGTTTGTTTTTGAGACAAAATTTTGCTCTTGTTGCCCAGGCTGGAATGCAATGGTGCAATCTCGGCTCACTGCAACCTCTACCTCCCGGGTTCAAGCGATTCTCCTGTCTCAGCCTGCCGAGTACTTGCGATTACAGGCACCCGCCACCAAGCCTGGCTAATTTTTTGTATTTAGTAGAGACAGGATTTCACCATGTTAGTCAGGCTGGTCTCGAACTCCTGACCTCAGATGATCCACCTGCCTCAGCCTCCCAAAGTGCTGGGATTACAGCCATGAGCCACCGCACCTGGCCTCTGATTTCTTTTAGTTGTATTTATAGTCTGAGATCTGCAAGCTATGTGTGCTCATTGCTATTGGGATGCTGCCTTTCTCCAGCCCTCTCAGTTGGAGAGATAGGGAATATAAATGTCTCTGAAGGCATATATGTGCATCTACAATTATTTCTATATCTATCTATATATTTTAATATTCAATGAGTTCTGCTATAATGCTTGTTTGGAAAATGTGAATCTGTTTCAGTACAATTGACATATTAAGGAACAAATTAAGCATAGCATATATTTTGTGTTTGCTTATGCATTATTTTGTTTACAAGAAACACAAGATGAAAACAGAAAACTGCATCCAGCTGAACCAAGCCTGGACACAAAATATGCACATACACACATGCACAAATCTCTACATTACCTCAGTTCATCTCATGTGCTATGAGCTATACCCATCTCATCTAATGTCACAGCTTTCTGTCTGATTTAAAGTAAACCTCTTCCACCATTGCATAAGTTGCAATTCTTCTGTTCCCCACTTCCACAATCAAACTTCAGGTCCTTTTCAAGGTAAAATGACATATTTAGTATAATATTTATGTACTTCTTACCCACTTCACATGTGTAAACTGTACTATCATTTTTAAGTTTCAATCTTTTGTGTGTGTGTCAATAATGAAGTATTTGAGTTTTGTGCTCCAATATTATTTTATCATAAGCCCTGTGGGTTTTATTGTATAATTCTGCATGGCACAACAATTTTAAGTAATCAGCATGTCATGTTATAAAAGAACTGATTCTATCCAAAATCATAGGTTTGTTGCCCTGTATGGTGGCTCACACCTGTAATCCTAATACTTTGGGAGGCCAAGACAGGAGGATTGCTTGAGCTCAGCCTGGGCAACATGACAAGACCCCATCTCTACAAAAATAAATGAATTAGCCAAGCATGGTGGGGTGTGCCTGTGGTCCCAGCTGCTCAGGAGGCTGAAGTGGGAGGATCTCTGGATTCTGAGAGTTTGAGGTTGCAGTGAGCCATGTTCATGCCACTGTACAACTGGCCAGATGACAGAGCAAGACTTTGTCTCAAAAAAAAAAAAAAAAAAACCAAAAAACAAAACCTATAATTTTGCACAAGATGTCTAATTCTAACCCAACACTCAAAGATTCATTCTGGTTTTCTCATTTTCTGTATTTGGAGCTCCTTTCTCCAACAGCAACAAATCAGATTCCTATCATCCTTACTATAATTACTTAATTGATCAAGCTCCTGTATGTAGCCAATCTCTTATCGCTACTGTTGCCCCATTCTCCATGCAGATGGCTTCCACACCACCCACAATCAGGCTCCATAACCAGGGTTTCCCCTGTGTGTATGCCACTTCACCCTGCACAAGGCTATGACAATGCACACCAGACCACTCTTCCCTGTGGTCACCCTTCTCACGCCTCTTGGCTCTTATTCTCCCCAGGGAGCAGCCCTTTTACATGCACACACTCCTCACACTGCTCAGGCTCCAACATGTCGTGATCTCAAACATCACATCCCCTCATCACCAGGTGTGGACACCTACCTAGTTCTACCCAACTCAATGGCTATGTAACCGAATTGTTCATTAAAAGAAAAAATGAGAGAGGAAGAGCAAGAAAGAGAGTTGCCATTTGGGGCAGAGGAATAAAGAGTAGTGAACTATCACTCTGGGAGAATTCTATTTCCTGGACTTGCATTATGGAATTAGCTCTATTTTACTTTGGAAGAGTCTTTTACTCTTCTTGAAGGAGTGAGCTGGGGACAAATTCCTAGCCATCTTTCTTCCAAAATTCCAGTGGAATATACACAAAATGGGGCATAAAATGACTAAAAAGTATTGCTCCATAAACTGGTGGTTTAATAATTGTGGATGTTTAATGTGTTATGTGTTAAGGAAATTCATTTTATCCTTGATTTCAAGCAGAAAGTGATTTTTCAGTTCAAAGTGAGTTCTGCATGTCCATGATAAAAACATATAAAACATACTTCTTTTACAGATAAAATGCTGCCAAGGAGGGAGGAAAAGTATGTAGGCACCAGAGCACATAAGCAGTGAGCTGTTATGATGCTCCAGTACATCCTGGTTGTCTGTTTGTTGACTTCACCAGCAAACAGTCAGGATTTAGCTTATAACAGAGAAAAACAAAACACACATTCATTGATGCACACCTCTCCACTATTCTTTGAATAAGTGAATTATTTATTTAATTAATGAAGGCTAAATTTAAAATCTCAGGGCAAAATATCCTAAAGCAAAATAGTGTAAGAAGAAACAAATGGGAGACATAGGAGGATCTCTAGGATTTGACCTACAAAGAATCTAGTTCAATCCAAAACTAGTCTCCTAGAAACACTTTGTTTGTTTGTTTGTTTGTTTAAAATCACTAGTTTTTTAGTGAGCTAGGAATGAGAACTTAGGCCGAACACAGCAGCTTATGCCCATAATCCCAACACTTTGGGAGGCCTAGGTGGGTGGATCACGAAGTCAGGAGTTTGAGACCAGCCTGCCCAACATGGTGAAACCCTGTCTCTACTAAAAATACAAAAATTAGCCAGGCCTGTAATCCCAGCTACTCAGGAGGCTGAGGCAGCAGAATCGCTTGAACCCAGGAGGCGGAGGTTGCAGTGGCCTGAGATTGCGCCATTGCACTCCAGCCTGGGTGATATAGCAAGATTCTGCCCACAGTCCCCCCACCACCAAAAAAAAAAAAGAAAGAAAGAAAAAAAAAGAAATGAGAATTTATATCAGATCACAAAATGCATTCCTTTTAGTGTATTGACCATTCATGCACATAGTGAATTGTAAAATTTCGCATTATGATGTGCAGGTTCAGTCACTCTGTTCAAGCCCATTAGACATCTTCAAAAATCCAAGGTAATATATTCCTTTCAGATATCATCATATGTTTATACACAATGATATTGAAAATTCATGTGTCTGAAGTGAGCAAAATCAAGCAAAATGGTCTTATCATTTTTTTAACCTGCACACAAAAGTTTTTTGTTTTTTTTACTGACATGCATTTTACTAAACTCCTGGAATTAAGCCAAGCTGTCTATCCTGTGGTAAAACACACCAAGATGTCTTATAATACAAGGTTTTTGAATAAATGCATATGTGTGGATCTTTGTTCACTAAATCCTTTTTCTCATTTTAAACAAGTTTTTCAATTAACACGCCAAATACTAAATAGCGGAGATTTGACACTGTTTAATTTACCTGAGCCTTGTGCTCTTAGAAAATGGTGAAGGTTAAAGGGATTCCCTCTGCCACCATACACACACCCTTTTGTGTTCCAGAAAATGGCTTACTGCAAGAAAGCACCCTTCCCTACATGACTTAGACAAGACTCACAGATACCCCCTTGTTTACCTATGACAAGGCCAAGCACAGACCCTCCAAATTTCTATGCTTTACTGCATAAATGCTTAGCTGAACTACTTGTTTTTACTTATCAATTGAACAAAAATGCATGTTAACCAAATTGGTTAAGCTTCTTTCCTCCCCCTAGGCTGCTGAACTTTGGCTCACCCTCAGCCTAACCAGCATAGAACCTCTGCTGAGAATATACTGCCCCATAGTGAAATATTCTCTGATCTTCTCTCCAATCATGCCACTCTTATGCCGCTTCTCCAAAGCCAGTTCTTTCTGGCTTTGTTTATACCTCTCCAAACCCTTAAGACAGTAATAGACCTATGGTCTTAGCATTTTCCATATTTCAAGAGTCTCTCCTACTCTGTTGCAATAGTCCCTTTTCCTCCCTGCCAATAATCCTTTGGAGTTAAAGCCTCTCCTTACTATGTTGGATTTATTTTTTATCTGACAGATTCTACTGAATGTTGAAGCTATATAGATTATGGGGCATATTTATATATAAATTAATTTAAGTTAATATTCACACTAAAGAAGAATGTGGCAAAAAAAATATGGTAAAATTCAAAAACGAACGTGAAGATCCAGACATACTCCCACCCATTTATTTGAAAGACTCTGGGGTGATTTTAGGATGAATGTGTGTATGTATGTGTGGCGAATATTCATGAACCTAAAGATACCATATATGTGTGTGGATGCCAAGGCCCTTGGCTCTCTAAAAGCCTGCTAAAAAAATAATCACTGACATGGAACAGATTAATTAATAGGATAAAAGGCATACAAATTTGTTGAACATGTATACACTGGAGCCCTCAGAATGAAGACCCAACATTCTAAAAGAATGTGGCCTTTGACACTAAAAAGATCTGAATTTGAATTCAAGTTCGCACCTTTTATTATGTTGCTGGTGGCAAGCTACAGGGGAAATTTCCATTTTCATGCTTAGGTTTAACAAAGTATTGACGGCCATGAAGAAATATGATTGGACAAAAAAGGCATGATCTAATGCTTACAGACTAAGTGGGAAAACCCAGTGTGTTAGTCTGTTCTTGCATCACTGTAAAGAAATAACTGAGACTGGGTAATTTATCAATAAAGGAGGTTTAATTGATTTGTGGTTCTGCAGGCTGCACAATCATGGCACCGGCATCTGCTCAGCTTCTTGTGAGGCCTGGGGGAGTTTTACTCATGGCAGAAGGTGAAAGGGGAGCAGACACATCATATGGTGAGATCAAGAGCAAGAGGAGGGGGGAGGGACCACACACTTTTAAACAACCAGATCTCACAAGTATCATAGGATAGCACCAAGCTATTCATGACGGATCTGCCCCCAAGACCCAAACACCTCTCACCAGGCCTCATCTCCAACATTGGGGATTATATTTCAACATGAGACCTGGGGAACAAACGTCCAAACGGTATCACCCATCAAGGACTGTCCGTCTAGATTTTTCTTGGTTTCTCTATGTAGCGTTCCTTTCTTCTGAGTATGAGGTAGGACCCTTTCTGAAATGGAGGTCTTATGACCTACAGTCAAACAAGGTAGGACAGATAATTTCATTATGGCCAGTTTTTACACGGAATAATTTTAGGTTTTATGGCTGGCATTCGGGAAAAGGCGTTCTTGTTTCTTTGGGGAAGAGAGATTGGGACTCCACTAGAATCTCAGAGGAGTCCCAATCTCAGAGGAAAATGGGACTGAGAGACAGGAGGCCTGGAGAACTTCAGAGAAAAACTATTGTTTCTGAGGCTGCTGCTGTAGTCTTCATTTTAGGGTATTTGTTTCTGAGCCCCAACATATGGTATGGCTATCTGTGAATATAGAATTTTTTTTAATGTCTTTTCTCATTTTTTCCTTTTTATCCTATTTATTTATTTATTTGAGACAGGGTCTCCTTCTGTCACCCCGGCCCAGGCTCAAGACAACTTCCCAAGTAGCTGGAACTACAGACACCACCATGCCTGCCCAATTTGTAAAGTTGTTTTTTGGGGTTTTTTTGTTGTTGTTGTTTGGTTTTTTAATCAGGTCTCATTATGTTGTACGGGCTGGTCTCAAACTCTTGGGCTTGAGTGATCCTCTTGCCTCAATCTCATAAAGTACTGAAATTACAGGCATGAGCCACCACACTCAACCTCGTTTTTTTTTTAACATTCTTCCTTTCTCTCTTCTTTTTCCTCTTTCATTGCACTAGAAATCATCTCTTTCTTTCATTTCTACTTCTTCTTTTTTTTTCTTTGTTATTGCCCAGCTGTCAGGAAAATACTATCTCCCCTTACTCCCATTTTACCCTTTCCACACCCTTGTAATCTCAGGCCTGAGCATAGAACATCAAGCCCCTCTTCCTGAGGAAGAACCCTGAGGCCTAAGTCAACTAGCAGGCCCTCTAAGAATGTTTTTGGCATGTTTGTGCCTTACCTATTCTAAAGTCATTTAAGGCAATAATATTTACATTGATCAGATGATCTGGTTAAAAATTTTAAACTCAACTCAGAGAATGACCTATTTCTTAACATTTTTGTCATTTTTGATTTAAATTTAAATCTGAGTGATTAGTTTATAATTATTGACTGTAATTACAGATAGTGGTGTGAAAACTGATTTGTTTTCAGGCTGTTAGATATAAGTTCTGAATTTCTTTTCAAAGAATCAGTATGTCAGCATGTTCAATTCTTTGCCTTCTACTTTTAAACTTAATTTCCTTGTAAAGCAACCTTTTTCGATTACCTGCTCCATCCTGACTCATTCCGATTACCTACTCATCCCTGACTCATTCCGATTACCTGTTCTGTCATAACAATTTTTCCCGCCAAAACACCCTGTCATTCTCTTTAAATTAGCCAATTGGAATTAGTTTAGCCTGTGCAGTCTAACCCTAGCCAATAGGGGAATGACACAGCAGCAGGGGCCACGTTGCTACAGGGATAAGAACCCCTTCCCCTCCCTTGTCCTAGTGTGGCTCACCATTGCTCCATCTGTAAGGGCACACCTTTCTATAGAAGTAACTTGCCTTTCTGAGAACTAAAAAGAAAATTTTATATTCAAGTACTATTTCTTTTGCAGCACCGAAACTTTATTTATAACAAGGCTTTACCTGTCTTTGTTTCTGACAACAACTTTAAGCTACGTATTATACAATTTAAGAGAGTATGCTGAAAAGAAAAAAAAAAAAGAAGAAGTTTTTTCTCTGTTATCACACCACAGCAATCAATACAGAAGACTTCTGTGACCTCTGGTCACCAAGAAGTGTGTGGGGATTTCTCCCCACCAGCAACCACTCAATTCTGCAACAGACATCAATTGGGTGTACTCTAATTCAGTTCAATTCTGGCACTGTCAACATTGAGTTAGTGTTATGTCCAGATTGAGGGCTCAGTTCCATAAGACTGCCCTCCATTCCAGTACCAATCACAAGCCCCAGGTTGTTTTACCTTTGCTTTTGACCACAAATTGAGGTTCCCGTGACCTCATCCTTGGGTTTGATTACTTTGTTAGAGTAGCTCACAGCACTCAGGGAAACACTCACTTGTGTTTACTGGGTCATTATAAAGGATATTACAAGGACACAGATGCAGAGATGCATAAGGCAAGGTATGGGAGAAGGGGAGCAAATCTTCCATGCATTCTTGGGCATGCCACCCTCCAGGAGCCTCCACGTGTTCAGCTATCTGGAAGCTAAGTCCAATTCAAGGCCAGGCACAGTGGTTCACATCTGTAATGCAGCACTTTAGGAGGCTGAAGCAGAAGGATTGTTCGAGCCTAGGAGTTTGGGACAAGCCTGGGCAAGAAAGTGAGACCCCCATCTCCACAAAAAAATAAATACAAAATTGGCCAGATGTGGTGGTGTGTACTTGTAGTCCCAGCTACTTAGGAGGCTGAGGCAGGAGGATCACTTGAGCCCAGCAGGTTGAGGTTGAGGTTGAGGTTGCAGTAGGCCATGATTGCCTGGACAACAGAGCAACAGAGCAAAAACAAAACAAACAGCCCAGTTCATTTCTGTTTTTATGCAAGCTTCATTATATAGGCAAAATTGATTAAGTATTGGCCATTGGTCATCAACTTAACCTTCAGCCCGTCTCCCTCCATGGAGGTTGTGAGGTGGAGTTGAAAGTTCCAACCCTTTAGTCATAGCCTTGGTCTTTCCTGTGACCATACCTCATTCTGAAGCTACCCAGGGACTGCCAGCCACCAGTCAATTCATTAACATACAAAAGGACACTGATTACTTTGGAAATTCCAAGGAAATTAAGAGTTGTATACCAGGAGATGGGGATGAAGACCAAATAAATATTTCACAAAATCACATCTGCCTATGCAGAAGATGATGTGAGACTATACTTTACTCATCTAGGGGTTTTATCAGAGTTAAATAATATATACAGGAGTCCAATTTATTGACAAGGTCACCAATATGGGGAATAATGGGCATATTTTTCTGTATTTACAGATTACTTTATAACCCAGATTCCAATTATATGTAACCCCCAAGAAATATTCTTGAGAAAGTTTGGTATTCTGGTGTCCAATAGATGATATACTTAAGTTACTTCTTAAGTAAAACAATTACAGAATCATGGCTGATAGTCTTGGATGTAGTGAGAAAGAGATTAATAATAATAATAGCACATTTTATAAAGAACCAAATACTGGAGGGGTATGGAGGCTCACACCTGTATTCCCAGCACTTTGGGACACTGAGGTGGGCAGATCACTTGAGGTCAGAAGTTCAAGACCAGCCTGACCAACACGGTGAAACCCCACCTCTACTAAAGATACTAAAATTAGCCAGGCGTGGTGGTGAGTGCCTATAATCCCAGCTACTTGGGAGGCTGAGACAGGAGAATAACTTGAACATGGGAGGCGGAGGTTTCAGTGAGCTCAGATGGCACCACTGCACTCCAGCCTGGGTGACAGAATGAGACTCTGATTAAAAGAGAGAGAGAGGGAGAACCAACTATTTACCTAATAATTTCTATCCGCAAATCTACCAAAGTAGGTCAAATTTTGGAGATCAAATTGCCCAGCTTTTAAGTTGGAATTTTGGTCATCTAATGTCCTATAATTACAGAAAACATGCCCAATCATTAACAAATATGGACAACTGGCCAAGAAATCAGATATATATATATACAAACATGTATTTACATAAGTATTGATAAATTCCCTAGATGAGTAATACTACATATTGAGTCATATAGAGTTTAAGTAGCTTGCTACAAGCAACATAATAAAAGGGGCAAAATTGAATTCAAATTCAGATCTTTTTGGTGCCAAAGGCCACATTGTTTTAGTTATGATGCTGAATCAGACCCTTCCTAGGTCTAGATATTAATTACCATGGTGTAATATTTTGGGATTAAGGGAAAAAAATTTGGGATCATACTTCAAGAATCCAGGCAGTAGGTTATGTTTGTAACATCTAAGGTTGCAGAAGCAGTTGTGATTGATATATGTCTATAATCAAGCACTGCATATATTAATATAAATCAAAATTGTATAATTAGTATTAAGGCATAGTTTTAAAATATGAAAAGAAAGTGCAAACAGAATTTTGAGATCACTTTCACATACCTTTCTATGAGGAAAAAAGTATGAAAAAGGCCATTAGAATAATAAACCATCTTCTTTCTCATCAACTTCAGCCCAAAAAATGTTGGCTCAGTGGTTGGTGCCCAAACAGGTTTGTGACCTCCATCATTCTCTACCTGCCTGTGCCTTAATTTTCAGTAACCATCCTGTTATGAGCTGAATTGCATTCCCCCAAAATTCATATACTGACATCTTAACACCCAGTACTCAGAATGTTCCTGTAATTGTATTTGAAGACAGAGTCTTTAAAAGGTAATTAAGGTTACATGTGGTCATATGTCTGGGTCCTAACCTGATATGACTGATATCCTTATAAGAAGAGACAATTAGGATAGAAGCACACACAGAAAAATGACCCATTTGATGACATGGAGAAGGAGACCATGGATAAGCCAAGAAGAGAGGTCTTCAGAAGAATCCAACAATGTGGACATCTCAACCTTGAACTTCTCGCCTGCAGACTTAAGATAAAACAAATTTCTGTTGTTTAAGCCAGTCAATCTGTAGCACTTCGTTTTGACAGACTCAGTAAACTAATGTATACTCTGTCTGACCTAAGGAATTCTCCAGGCTCTCCCAACTGCCTCCTGTTTCCAATCATGCATGTTACCAGGTTTATGTATATTTAGCCTATTGCTTCTTGCTTTAATTTCCCCTGCCTATTTAGAAACTTATATAATGGTGCCATGGTTACCAGGCCCTAGAATAGTATTAAAATCCATTTTTGCCTGCAGAATCTATCTCTTGGGTTGGATCTTCAGACACTGAAGCTCATGGCCAGTTACTGCTTATTTTACATCCTGACATTGCAGCCAATTCTAGTCATAGCACCTTAAGTGATTATCACTTAAATTCAAGATAAAATGGTTGTCATGAAGGACACTTAAACAACTATGAAAAGAGTAAAATGTTGTGATCAAAGTGTAGATTCTGGGGCCAGGCTGCCTAGCTTGGATCCCAACTCTGTCTTTTACTTGTTACGTAACCTTAGAAAGTTTACTTATTTCCATTTTCTCACCAAGGATGATGGTAACAATGCCTAATCTCATAGGCTTATTGTGTTTATTCTGTACATACACATAAGTACTTATAATAAGCAAGTATGTGATAAACTCATAAGTAGTATGTTAATATAAACAATAAAATTATATGTTATCAAAACTATATGTCTCAAGGATTACTCTCTATGCTCCATTAATTTGCAGGCATGACAAATT
Source organism: Homo sapiens (assembly GCF_000001405.40). Taxonomy (NCBI): domain Eukaryota; kingdom Metazoa; phylum Chordata; class Mammalia; order Primates; family Hominidae; genus Homo; species Homo sapiens. Next base: position 49,583,474 of record NC_000006.12, on the reverse strand, counting down.
AAACTTCTCCCCAGAATTAACACCCAACCCCTGACCTGCCATATTTCACAGTCACACACACATACACACACACACAAACACAAGCAAGTTCTTAACTTAGCATGAATTAGAAAGAAAAAACAAACAAGTTTTCTTCACAGCTTCCTTAACTCTGAGATGATTTTTTTAATTTCCAATTGTTTAAATTATGAAAATAATACACATATATGGCAAGTATATGGCAAAAATTCTAATAGTATTAATTATTTTTCAAAATGACAAGTGATAGCTTCCCTTTCCTTTACCACCAGACCGATGCCCTTTTCTTCCCTAACAGATGTTGCTACGACTACAGTTTAGTTAGATCCTTAAAAAGTATACATAAACAAACAAATGTTTGATTTCCTTTGTGTAATTGAGATCAAACTATACACTCTTTTGCCTATCGTTTATATTTTCACGTACTATATTTTACAGGCCTTCCAACTTCCACATCTGGCTAAAATGTATTCGTAGGAACCAAACTTACCCTCCCACTTGAACCAAACCAACAAACAAAAATAGGAAAATAATATATGGCAAGACATTGGACATCAGGTAACAAAGCACAGTTATCCATGAAAGATGTGAAACAAATGAGGTAACGTCTACTATTTTCTCAACTTACTGCCTTATGAAAGTTTTTAGGTTGTGGTGCAGGAAGTGGCAGCCCAGCACATTCCTGAGCTGAGAATGCATTACTTTGAATCCAGAGAGACAGTACAGTTGAAGTGTGCAAAACAGATAACCAGAGAGAACTGTACACAGAAAGAACCCTTCTGACCCTTATGAATAAGAGTCCCTCAAGTATTCAGCAAAATGCTATTTAGTGTATGCATGTGGAAAGAACTACCTGAGGCCAGGGAAAGCACTACCAAAAAGAATTAGAGGGATTAGTGCCTGATATTTAACAGGGCAGGAAATAATAGTGCCTGTAACCACCACCCAGAAGAAAAATTCATAATTCATGGGGTATTGTGTAAAATACTCAGAAAGGTCTTGTCTCAGAGGTGAAAAATAGCCCAAGATGGCCAAGCATGGTGGCTCACGCCTGTAATCCCAACACTTTGGGAGGTTGAGGTGGGAGGATCGCTTGAGGCTAGGAATTTGAGACCATCCTAGGCAACATAGTGACACCTCATCTCTACAATAGATTTAAAAACTAGCCGAGCATGGTGGCACATGCCTATGGTCTCAGCTACTCAGGAGGCTGAGGTAGGAGGATTGTTTGAGCACTGAAGGTCAAGGTTGCAGTAAGCAGTGATGGTGCCTGTGCACTCCAGCCTGTGAAACAGAGGAAGACTCTGCGTCTCAAAAAAAAAAAATTAGCCCAAGACTAAGACATTTCTGAAAATGACTACCAAATCATAAAAAACAAGACCCAAATTAAACTGTTTCCAAATAATTTAATGTCATTGTAGAATAAAGTGCCAGAATAGTCATATAAATATAAAAATATTCAGTACTTGACAAAGTTTAATTCACAATGTCTGATGGCAAATCAAAGATTACCAGGCATGCAAAGAAGTATAAAATACAACCAATAATGAGGATAATCAAAAAATCTTAAATATATTGAGGGCTTCTTTGCCAATATTTAAAAGAAGTTCAAACCTTCATGATACTAAACTAATGTTCTCCGTGATTACATGAATATTTTATTATCTGAAAGATACAATGACTTCTGTGGGCCCTTAATGTCCTAATACTGTATTCTAAAATGTAAAATTTTAAATATAAACATGAGATAGTCTGAAGAGTTACATATTTGTTATGAATGAGTTTTATGTAATACATGATTCACAGAGTAATATTATACTAATCCAATAATTCAGTGAGAGCAGAATCTAATCCTTCATTGGTATCCTTTCAAAGTAAGGCCTGACCTGACATGAGGTGGCAACAGCAACTCTGGAGTTTCTATTCCTTCATGTTGAGACCATATTATCCCATTTCTAACACCTAAGTTGCCTTAGTCTATTCTAGTTTTCTATTTCTGGTTACCAATCAAATTTAAAACATCCTCCCATGTCTTTTGTAACTCTATAGAAAAATGTGGGAAAGTGCAAATGAAAGAAGATCTGGGGCTAGGACTGACACAGAAGGAATAATGTCACTTTTACCACAAATTTCATCATGAAAATATGTTAACAACCTTAGCAACACTCTCTTTCCTTATTTTTCTATAAAGTGTTAGCATCTGCTCCAACTTTTCTGAGAAACTTTGCTTGAGTGATCATTTTTATTTCCTTTAACTATGCACAGATTCACATATCTGTTAATTCAGTAAATATTTATTGAGCATCTATGTGCTATAACAATGTTTCTCTAGATATTAGTATGTATAGCACTGATGTAGAAATTTGACTATACTTCTTGGTAATTATTTATTTCTAAGTTTTTACTTGGGTAATCTTATGTCTGCTAGACTGCATTTTTCCCTGGCAAAAATTACTTTCTTTGCTATTGTTCATCAACTGATTAACTGCAACTAGCACGATATAAGCATATAGCAGGTAATCAATAATTTTTTATCGAATGTGTTGAGAAAATGTAAATAAAAACAAAATCTTCTCCCAACCCAGAAATCTTCTCCACAAGAGTAATGCAGAGAGAAAACACTTTCATTATTGAAGAAGCACTAAACCAGAATAATGTGTATCACTATCCACTAAAAGACTGCAAAAACACAAAGAAATCTCACTCTCTCATATAGCCAATCAGATGCAACCCATTAGATACATGTTCTCAAGATAAACAAAAACTAGTCCTTAAATAAGAGGACTTGACCGCACTATTTGTCACACCATTTATTCTAGATTCACCTGGCAATTGAGATGATCATTTATGTTAACTGGCTTTATAAAAAGGAAAAATAAATTTATCATCTCTTTGTGACAAGAGGTAGTTTTGCAACTTGAGGAAGTACCCACTGAAGTTAGGCTCCTAACCTCACATGGAAACTGAGAGATAGGGTGCTATCTCCTTTGATGTTTATATTTCAAAAAGATTGTCCCCAAGTCCCTGAGAAAGGCATTCTTGGGTCATAAAGCTGATTAAAAAACTATCTTGTTTTCAAAAGGATTTATGAACATTTCAAAGAGAAGAGGAAGTACTTGCAAAGTTTTTTAAAGTAAAATCTCTAAGTAAAGAAAGGAGAGAGGGAGAAGTTTCTTCTTTTATTTTCAACAGGGAGAATTTACCTATATTTTTAATTTTTACTTGTACTTAAAAATTAAATTTTAAAAAGCTTAGAAGTAATAATTTAAGGACATTTCCTTCATTATAAGGAATTGCCTTCTCTCATGGTGAAACCTGGAAAACTATGAGACGGTTCAGCTTGACCACCTTACGAAATTTTGGAATGGGTGAGTGGATCATAGAAGACACAATTATAGAGGAATGCCAGAATCTCATACAGAACTTTGAGTTTCACAGAGGTGTGTAGGGTAAATAAAACCATGTCTTATTTTTCATCAGAAAGAAGTCAACAAAAGATATATTTAATTGTTTATTTTGTCAAGATAATAATTTCAGACTTATAGAAAAATTCCAAGAATATACAAATAATCCCCAACTACCATTCTACTCTTCTCCAATATCCTCTACATCAGCATTTTACATTTGTACATGTTCTCTTTCTCTCTTTCTCACTCTCTCTCTCACTCTTGGTCTATGTATCTACCTATGTAATCTATATTATTTTTTCTGAACTCTTTGAGAGTACTTTGAAGAAATACTTTGCCTTTATTCCTATATGCTTTAATATTTCTTAACAATAAGTAAAAACATCCTCCTACATAAACACAATACAATTCTCAAAAATCAGAAAATCAGCATTAACATATTATCATCTAATCTGCAGATCTTATGCAGATTTTGCCATTGTCCCAATAGTATTCTTAAGAACAAAAGGAAATCTTAAATTATGATTGCATTCAGTTGTCATGTTTCTTTTCCCTCCTTTAATCTAGAACAATTCCTCAGTAATGAGTGTGTTTCTGATCCTTTTCCATAATAAATGGAATTAATTCTGCATTAGTCCATTCTCATGCTGCTATGAAGACATACCCAAGACCTGAGACTGGGTAATTTATAAACGAAAGAGGTTTAATTGACTCACAGTTCAGCATGGCTGGGGAGGCCTCCGGAAACTTACAATAATGTTGGAAGGGGAAGCAAACACATCCTTCCTCACAAGACAGCAGGAGAGAGAAGAATGAGAGCAGAGTAAAGGGGGAAGCCCCCTATAAAACCCTGAGATATCATGAGAACTTACTATCACAAAAATAACATGGGGGAAACCACCCTCATGATTCAATTCCCTCCCACTGAGTCCCTCTCACGACACGTGGGGATTATGGGAACTACAATTCAAGACGAGATTTGGGTGGGAACACAACCAAACTATATCAAATGCCATATTATGTTCAGCAATATATGGGAGGAACAATCTAAAAATCTCGTTTTTCATGTCAAGAGTTTTACTCATTTCCTCATTAAACTGAGCTCATTCCTTATTCAAAATGAGCTAATTTGATGCAAGAATTAATATGAAGTGAAATGATCAAAGGTAGACAACCTGGGAATACATGGAGATGAGAAACAAAGGACTCAAGAACTCATGTGTTAAATTAGCAGTACCTGTATGTTTAGAAAGAGTGGGTCTTGGCAGTTTGGAGGAATTACATACACAAAAATGACTATTCCTCCCCCAGTGTTAAACTCCTAATGCACATTAATTCCTCAGGGCTTCGTTTACACAGCTTTCCCCAAGCTCTCCCATTTGTATTGAAAAAGAAAATGTATTCTCCATTAGACTTCCCCTAGGCTTTCAGCCTCTACATTTAAGGTGGGCGATGACTTCTTTTTCCCCCTTTTTTTTTTTTTTTTTTTTTGAGATAGAATTCAACACTTGTCATCCAGGCTGGAGTGCATTGGTATGATCTCAGCTCACTGCAACCTTGGCCTTCCAGGTTAAAGTGATTCTCCTGTTTAGCCTCCAGAGTAGCTGGGATTACAGGCATGTGCTACCACACCCGGCTAATTTTTTGTATTTTTAGTAGACACAGGGTTTTGCCATGTTGGTCAGGCTGGTCTCGAACTCCTGACCTCAAATGGTCTACATGCCTTGGCCTCCCAAAGTGCTGGAATTACAGGTGTGAGCCGCTGTGACCACCCAGGTGATGATTTTAAGAGTAAATCTTAGCAACTACAATGCTCTTCACTTACAAATGTATCCCCATTCACTGATATGTTAAGTAATCTAAACAGTCTTTAATGATGCTGAGAAAAACACGATGCAGTAACAGGGGAAATTAAAACAGGGAGCTGCCCTGGATGAAGTATTTTTAAATGAAACCATTTCAATCATCTAGATGTCCTATTTTAAACTTGAATGCAGCCTATTAGTTTGAAGTGACATTTTCCCAGATATTATGCATTACCCATCCGCCCCCAAACACACGTGTATGCATGCACACACACACACACTCACACACACAAGCTGCATACAGACACACACACTACACAGGCACTAAAATGCCCTCATCTGGCACATTTTTGTTTCTTTAGCTAAACCAAATGCAGGTTTCCTTTGACATATAGTTTTAGTTTTCCTCGTGGCAATCTTTTGAACAAATTCTGGGTATTTTTCAAGGCCTGTTCAAGTCTCATCTCTCCTTGAAAATTATAGTCATCAATAATCCCTTTCTTTTATAAAATCCTTTCCTTGACAATATGTCCCAATCAGTCTAGAACTGGTTTAATACTGTATATGTTAATATTCCTAACTTGATTAATGAGTTATCTCGTAGGAAAGCCTTTTGAAATCAAAACAATAATGAATGCTTCTGTTGCTAAGATCATTGTATTAGTGTTGCTTGGAAAATGGTTTGACTACAAGACTCCCAGTTCCTGAGACTCTTAGCCTTGACTGGTGAAAATGTGAAATTCATTGGAGGTCTTAGAATTGCAGTAACTGTATCATTGCTATTCACTTTTAATTTCTCTGAGGTACACTTGATTGTTAAAAGTGACTATGAAAAAGCATTAGAGAATTGCTATTTCACAAATGTATGCTTGTTTGGAACATTCTGAGTACACAGAAGTGGTGTGCTTGTTTGGCTAACACATCTGCTAATTCTCCCCTCATAAAATAGTACATCAAGTAAATTATGATACAGGGATTGTGAATCCCACCAATATCACATGTAAGTTCTTATAATTCTGGCTACCTTCTACCTATACTGCTAGTTAAGCACAGAATGTGGTAAAAGCAATGAGTGAACAAGGAACACTCAATAGAATTCACTGAGGAGAGTGAATTTTATGAAGTAAAAAGTACGATTTATGTATGGGCCAAGGGAAAATTTCCCTTTTGCTCTCTGAAGTTTTGCTGAAAAATCAACCCTAAAAAACTAGATTTTGTGGAGAAAAGGCAAAAACATGTATACACTGGTGCCTTCAGAAAGAAGACCCAAAGACACAGGAGAAATTGTCCATTTTTATGATTTTGTTCAATAATTATTAGAGAGATACAATAAGAGTGTGTTCTAATGCTAACAGACAGAGTGAGGAAACCCAGCAGGCCTGTCTAGACTCCTCTTGGCCTCTCTGAGCAGCATTCCTTCCTCTTGGGTATGGGCAGGACCCTCTCTAGAATGGGAGTCTTATGACCTACAGTCAAACAAGATGAGTCAGATAATTTCTTTATGGCTAGCTTTTACACAGAAAGGCAGAGGGAAAAATTGAGTAATATTTTTAGGTTTAGGGCTTGTTTGGTTAACACATCTGATAATTCTCCCACCAAAAGTAGATTTTGGGCCGAGTGTGGTGGCTCACGCCTATAATCCCAGCACTTTGGGAGGCCAAGGTGGGTGGATCACCTGAAGTCAGGAGTTCGAAACCAGCCTGGCCAACATGGCAAAACCATGTCTCTACTAAAAATACAAAAATTAGCTGGGCATGGTGGTGCACACCTGTAGGCTGAGACACGAGAATCGCTCAAACTCGAGATCATACCACTGTACTCCAGCATGAGTGACAGGGCACACACACACACAAAAGTAGATTTTGCTCTTCAAGCATCCTGAGGTGCTCTGGCTTTGTGGAAAAGGGGTTCTAGTTTCTATGGCTAGGCTCAAGAGAGAAGGGGACTGATAGGAGAGGGTCAGAGAAAAACTTATGCTTCTGAGGCTGCTTCTGAGGCCTTCATTTCGGGGTATTATTTTCTGATCCCCGACAACTACCAAATACAAAAAACCATAAGTGCTAAATAAAACTTTAGTATTTATTCTGAGCTATAGAATTTCACAATAGTGCTAAAATTCAATATTTTATCATTGTGAGTGATAAAGTCACTGTCTTCTAGAATCTAGGAAAAAAGAGCCTTCTCAAATAGATTTCATTTTGAATAGCATCACTGACAACCATATTACTTCACTTTGTAATAATTTAGGCTCTGTTACTATAAATATAGACTTACTCTAAATACAGGTGCTTGGCAACCCTGAAACAGACAATTATACTGTTTAATTTTAGATAGGGCATTTTATGTTGGTTTATTAAGTCATTTGAAGGCTCATGAACTCCTTTGAGAATATGACTAAATACGACTAAGTACATAGACCCTATCTCCCCAAAACTGAATATATTAACAAACACAAAATTTAGCAAACAATAAAGTCCTTCCTGAACTTTTTAAGAATCAGTGAATATTAGATTAAGTAGTGCTGCTCTATAGGACCTGTGAATAGTAAGTCCATTATAAACTTTTTAGTTTTTGTGATCTTACAGAAGACAGTAGTGGTAAGATTATGGTGTTATGTACAACTAAAATAGTTTGATTGTTCACCTGCAATCACCCAGGATTTTGTAAGAAAAACACTTGGATTTATAGCTCTTAACATAAAGCCAATATTATTTTCATGCCCCATCTAACCTCTAATTAGAGCTATTGCCACAGGAATAACATACAAAATACTCTGGGTACATAGAACTTAGTGTAAGCCATATCAGTATTCATTGTAGGTTAGTTAATTCCAAAAATTGAGGAAATCTCATCTAGTTCAGTCTGCCACTGTTATTAGGTTGGTGCAAAAGTAATTGCAGTTTTGCTCCAACCTAATAGTTGAGGTAAAATTCAAGGTGCTATTTCTATAATCCTTTCAGAAATAATGTTCTTTGTATTGTCACAAGTTGTACATATGTATATTTAATTACTTTTTAAAATTATTCTTTTAGCTTTTCAATATGTTTCTTGTTTTGGGGTTTCTCCTAAAAAGTCATAAGACCATACTCAGAAATAGAGATGAGTTGTTTTCTTTTATAAGGATGGCCTTTCTAGATCACCATCATAAACTTGACAAAAATGATCCAAGAAATTTCACTGATGTCTTTTTGGTAACACAGCAGGAGCTCATGTTTTTTTCTTTAGAGGTTTCCATAGCCTATTTTTTATCATTTGGTTTAATAGCATCTGAAGGAAAAACATTTCTTTTGAAGAAAGATTACTTTACTCAAGTTACTGGTAATTTGTACACTCCAAATAATGCTATTTATTACATTTTACATTCTTGAATATTCCCCACCACATTTTATATCACTTTCTGAAAAAAAAACAAAACATACAGAAGATCTCACATGTGTTAGTTTTTAGAATTAATATTTTTTTCTCAGCCTTGAGAAATATTTAAATTGGCAAACCTGAGAAAAATTATTTAATTAAAATTTGTTTAAGAAACTGCTGGCAATATTCTAATCATTCAATTAAAACTAATTTCCCACCTTCCAAGTGGCAAACAGCCTTGCTCATTTTTAGAATTATGTATTCTGGAATGTGCTTTATCCTAAAATTCTTCACTATATTTGTATAATTAAAAAACTCCACTCAATTGATGAGAAAACGTAATGCTTTGTTTTTTAAATCAATGATAAGGTACTTGTTATGGTTATCCATTACAAAATTATTTCATCGGTGGTTCATTTTACTCTTTCAGGAGAATGACACATTTGCTGACTATTTCAGTGATAAAAAGTTGGTGACACTTGTTAATAATCTGTTCACGACAGGTACAGAGACCACAGCCTCCACATTGCACTGGGGAATTTTGCTCGTGATGAGATATCCTGAGGTCCAGAGTAAGTCTCCTAAGATTCTGAGCTTTGTCTGAAAGAGAGAAACCAGAAATCTCTTGGACTGGACAAATGCAGAATTTTATAATCACAGAGGGTAACCTGTAATCTGTACCTTGAGGATAGTCTGTATCTTTAGTTTCCCTTCGATATAAGAAAGTAGATTTTGCTCTTTAAGCATCCTAAGATGCTCTGAAGGCACCACAACGTGCAGGTTCCCAGAAGAGCTTTAGGAATAGAGGCCGAGAGGTGGAAGCAGTGCAGGGAAAAAATGAACCAAAATTGGAAGAACACTGGGTTTAATTTCCGCAAGTAAAGAAAATGTTCCAACACCCACTCCCAGCCCAGACTCTAAACAGTTTAATTCCATTTTAACCAGAAAAGGTCCACAATGAGATCACCAAAGTTGTGGTATCGGCCCAATCTTGACTTGCACACCGAACTCAAATGACACACACAGATGCTGTCATTTAAGAAGTACAAAGATTTGCTAACATTCTGCCCACAAGCTTATCCCATGCAACAACCACAAATATATTTAAAAATTACTGCATTCCAAAGGTAAGGCTTAAGAAGGGGAGGTAAGGGGAGAAAACTTCTGATGCTTACAATCACAGAAGCACTGAGATAAACTGTCAAAGACAACCCCAGCCTGCCTTTCCCTCCCTCCCCTCTTCCTCCCTTCCTCCCTTCCTTCTTCTTTCCCTCTCTTTGCTTCCTTCCCTATCATTCAACAAAAGGTAACTGAATGTCTGTGTATGCATGTGTGATAATTATTGGATGAATTAGTGGATAATTAAGGATGACAATTATTCTGTGAAACTTTATAAGACAGTATGACATTTTATGTTATAGTTGGGAAAACTGGGGTTCAGAGAGTTCCAGCAAGTGTCAGGAATGCATGGTTGGCCTATAGGGAGCCAGAGTCCCAGGTAAGGTGTGCTCCTCCCAGAGCCTGTGCTTTCCCCACACAGTCCTCTCGCTAGGGTTACCTCCAGGCTTCACTTCCGTCCTCTCACAGAGACACTCTCATGCCCTCTGCTTCCTAACATTGAGATACCCAGATGCACCCCTCTGATTTCCCCTGGTAAACTGAGGAATTATGTGTAGATATTTCCTAACTGAAGGCAGAAATTGCCATAAAGTTACATGGTATACCCATAGTGCTAATTTTTTTTCTTGATACCTAGTTTCCTCATTGCTTCTGGGCCCACCTCTGCATGAATCCACAAAATCACTGGTTATGTGGGCCTCTCCCCTCACTATCACTTCCTATTCCGTGGGGACAAAAAGACTACATCCATCTTTGAGCTTCTCTTCTGGGCACACGTTAAACACTGTTGGGCTGAATGAGTGAGATTAGCAATGAAATAGAAAACAAATATAAACTATGTCAAAAGAATTTTTAAAGACCATAGAAACAGTAATAGTGGCAGGATTGTAGTTCCACCCACTTACCTTGCTGTGAGCTAGGTTGAGCATTGTATTAGAAAGGGGGCCAGGTATGGTGGCTTACGCCTATAATCCCAGCACTTTGGGAGGTCAAGGCAGGAGGATCGCTTGAGCTTAGGTGTTCAAGACCAGCCTGGGCAACATAGCAAGACCTTGTCTCTACAAATATAATTTAAAATATAGCCAGATGTGGTGGCATGCATTTGTAGTCTCAGCTACTCAAGAGATTGAAGAAAGAGGATTGTTTGAGCTCAGGAGTTTGAGGCTACAATGAGCCATGATTGCACCACTACCCTCCAGCCTGAGTGACAGAGCAAGACCCTGTCAAGGAAGGAAGGAAGGGAGGAAGGAAGGGAGGAAGGAAGGAAGGAAGGAAGGAAGGAAGGAAGGAAGGAGAAGGAAGATATAGGGGGTCTCACTTATTTGCTACAGAGACTCAGCCACAATCATCTCTTTTTTTATTTGTTTTTTTGTTAGTTTTGTTTTGTTTTTGAGATGGAGCCTCACTCTGTTGCCCAGGCTGGAGTACAGTGGCAGGATCTCGGCTCACTACAACCTCTGCCTCCCAGTCAAGCGATTCTCCTGCCTCAGACTCCCAAATAGCTGGGATTACAGGTGCATACCACCACGCTTGGCTATTTTTTGTATTTTTAGTAGATATGGGGTTTCACTATGTTGGCCAGGCTGGTCTCAAACTCTTGACCTCAGGTGATCTACCCGCCTCGGCTTTCCGAAGGGCTGGGATTACAGGTGTGAGCCACCATTCCTGGCCTCAATCATCTTTTTTGTGAAATGGAAACAACTAGCACAGTTGCTATGAGGAGGAGAAAGTCTGCACAATATCAGGATACAAATAATCACTCATAGATAAATAGACAGATAGTTTTTTATTTTTTATTTTTTTTAAACATAGGGTCACACTATGTTGCCCCAGGCTAGCCTTGGAACTTCTGGACTTGAGCGATCCTCATGCCTTAGCTTCATGAGTAGCTGGGACTACTGGTGTGCACCATCACACCCAGCCTAAAGTTTTAAAACAGAACATTTTAAAGCAGTTGTTTGCTTTTTGTAATTTGAAAAACTATACAGATTCATGTTGTAAAACAGCTAATCACCAAGATAGTATTACAAAGCCTTCTTAAAGAGGCCACTGTAGGGCCAGGCATGGCAGCTCATACCTGTAATACCAGCACTTTGGGAGGCCGAGGTGGGTGGATCACTTGAGGCCAGGGGTTCGAGACCAGCGTGGCCAACGTGGTGAACCCCATCTCTTTATGGTATTAAAAATACCGAAAAAAAAAAAAGTAGCTGAGTGTGGTGGTGCACACCTGTATTCCCAACTACTTAGAAGGCTGAGGCATGAGGATCACTCGAACATGGGAGGCAGAGCTTGCAGTGAGCTGAGATCGTGCCACTGCATTCCAGCCTGGGCAACAGAGTTAGGCTCTGTCTCAAAATAAATAAATAAATAAATAAAATTTAAAAAGAGGCAACTGTAATGAACCAAAATGAAGTAGAGAATATTGTTCTTAATTTGGTGGAGAGATTTTGTTTTTTATCATTATTTTATTTTATTTATTTTAGTTCTCAGAATATCCTTTCCCACATCACAATTAAAATTACTTTCTCTTTTGTAGAAAGTTGTTTCCCAGTATGCAGCAAGCTCTGGAAGCAGGGAAACTTGTTTTTGAGAATGTTTGGAATGGGCTTGTTTGATTTAATATCCACTATCATAGTCACTGGAGATAAAAGCCAACCTTCATAGAGCCCCCAAACCTTCCAGGAACTGTGCCAGTTTCTTTCACATGTATCCTTTCCTCTAAGGCTCAGTCTCAGATGAAGACTATTTAACTCTCATTATACAAATATAGAAAGTGGGGTTTATCAAAAGTTAAATGACATGCTGTTATCACATAGCCACTAGATGGCTAAGTAAGAATTTGTTCCCAGTTCTGAGTCCAAGGCTTGAGTTTTTTAGTAAGCACATGAATAAACATGTGGTTAGGAAAGCGAATACTCCACACTAAGCCTCAAGTCCACCTGCCACTGTTCGGCTTCCCCTTCTTCCATTTCCTTCCAGAACACCCTGCTTCTGAGTAATTGCCAACCAAGATCATGATATGTCTTTAGAGAGTGACCTTTTTAGGAAGAAATTTAATCTCTGTTACTAATACGAACATTTGTATTTCTAGGGCACTGAGGTTATCATCTTGCTGGCTTCAGTAGCTCGAGATCAAGCACAGTGGGAAAAACCAGACACTTTTAATCCTGAGCATTTCCTCAACTCTAAGGAAAAGTTTATCAAGAGAGAAGCGTTCCTGCCCTTTCAGTGGGTAATGTATCTTACTTGAGAAAGGCGGTTTGAAAAATCTGGAGAGACTTAAGACTGTGCTAAGGTTTCGTACTTTTCCATATAGCACTAAACTTCAGAACTGGTTCTAAATTGGCTCTGGGACACTAGGCACTAAAGCAACATTTTCTAAGGGAATCTTTGAAGACTCCTTGTGGCTGAGGCTAGGGTAGAACCTCAGGAGTTTGAGGAGAAAGTTAAGCAACAGAAAGACAGTTGGCAGCAACTTTACCCCAACCAAAAAAGTTCTGCCTTAATAATATGTGTAAATAGAAGATTTTGTTGTTGTTGTTTTGTTTTGTTTTTAGGATTTCTTTGGGGAAGGTAGGTGGGAGGAAAGAGCTTTCCGCTAGTGTTAATTTTGAAATTCAGAGAACGAAATGAATTTGTTCCATAAATGTCTGAAGCCTACGAACTTGAAATAAATTCTCTGTTCCTAGCAGAGTCACAGCAAAGCTGCACCACAAGCAGTTTGTGATTTTTGGCCTTTCTGCTTATACAAACAATGGCTTAACATTCACTCCAGATATCCACTCAGTGATGGATAAACAGCAGCCACCCAAGAATAGTCTTTCTTCACCTACTGGTAACTAAGTAATAAAAGATACACAGTATAATTCAGTCTCCTGATTTTTACACACACACACACACACACACACACACACACACACACACACAAGAGGATACATGAGAAAATATTACCTGGATTAATGACTTTCAAGTAAAAAATGTAATATCACACCTGGAACAAGAATTTTAAAAAATGAAAAACAATCTGCATATAATTTGCAGTGTTATAAACTCGATGTCTCTCAACATTTCAAAACAACATTTTGTTTTTTCTAAAAAACAAAAGAAAAAGAGCCTAGAAACATAAACAATGGTCTCTGGAGTGCACGTTAACAACATCTGACACTGAGCCATCATTTTGTAAGAGAAGACATGGAGCAATAATTTTTTCATGCATAAAGTTTTTTTTTTTTTTCAGACTCTTTTCCAGACTCTTGGACTTACTGCTGTTAGTATTTGGAGGGAAGGAATTATGTTTTTCTTAACACTCCCTTTTCACTATGAACAATTCTTTTACTTTGTCTCTTGAGCTCTAATCAATATTGTATATAAGCTCTTCCTGGTTTCTTACACAACTGGACCTGGAGGCTTCTTTGTACTAAGAGACAAGTAGCAATAGTCCAGATTTTCAGAGTGGCTTATTCTCAAAGGATTTTGCTGTTTACTTCAGGAATTCTAAACTTCCCTAGTTATACTTGACCTTTTTTTTTTCTGTTTTAATCCAGAAAATCCAGTAATAATACTATTTTTATTTTAGGCAAAAATGCATACATATTCCTTTTTTTTTTTTTTTTTTTTGACAGGGTCTTCTCTGTTGCCTAGGCTGGAGTGCAGTGGCATGATCACAGTTCACTGCAGCCTCGACCTCCTAGGCTCAAGCGATCCTCCCAGTTCAGCCTCCCAAGTAGCTTGGATTACAGGTTCATGGCACCATGCCCAGTTAATTTTTGTATTTTTAGTAGAGAAAGGGTTACACCATGTTGCCCAGGCTGGTCTCAAACTCCTGGGCTCAGGTGATCTACCCACATTGGCCTTCCAAAGTGCTGGGATTACAGATGTGAGCCACCACACCCAGCTGGAAATATTCTTAAAATACAATCATCGTTAAACTGTTACAGTGAGAAAAATTAATATTATAAAACTAATTTTGTGTTTCAATCATGAGTGCCACAATCTCTTCAAATCTTCATATTCCTCTAGTGTTTAAGGCACTCTTTTCTTCAATTATTTCCTTAACATTTATTACTTACTGCATTCAGATAGAAATTTTGCGAGGCAGACGGATCACCTGAGATCAGGAGTTCGAGACCAGCTTAGCCAACATGGTGAAACCCTGTCTCTACCAAAAATACAAAAATTAGCCGGGTATGGTGGTGGGCATCTGTAATCCCAGCTACTCGGGAGGCTGAGGCCGGAGAATCACTTGAACCTGGGAGGCAGAGATTGCAGTGAGCCAAGACTGTGCCTTTACACTCCAGCCTGGGTGACAAGAGCAGAACTGCATTTCAAAAAAAAAGGTAATTAATTAAAAAAATAAATGAGATCATCCTACTGTCTTCCCTTACTCTCAAGAATAAACAATAATAATATGTAATTTATCTTATTGGATAGCTAGACTCCTGCCATAAAACTGAATAATGCCTAAACATAGGGTACATAATATATACCTTAAGCTGCTTTATTTATCATCCAGTTGGATGACACCGCTCAATCATGCATTTATTTCTGGGCAAGTGGGAAAATCTAACCCAAAAAGCTAGATTAGGCCTTCCTTCCATGGGCAACCCCAGCACTCTATCTTGTAATACTGATAAAAATTATTTATCAGTAATTACTATTTAACTGGGCACAGTGGCTCACGTCTGTAATCCTAGCACGTTGGGAGGCTAAGGCAGGCAAGTTGCTTGAGCTCAGGAGTTCAAGACCAGCCTGGGCAACATGGTGAAACCCTGTCTCTACTAAAATTCAAAAAATTAGTGTGGGGTGGTGGCTCATGCCAGTAGTCCCAGCTACTCAGGAGGCTGAGGCACAAAAATTGCTTGAACCAGGGAGGCGGAGGTTGCAGTGAGCTGAGATTGTGCCACTGCACTCCAGCCTGGGTGAAAAAGTGAAACTCTGTCTCCAAAAAAAAAAACAAACAACAACAACAACAACAACAAAAAACTACCTATTTACTGTAAGATTCACCTATTACACAGCAAACCCCTTGAGAGCAAATCTCAGAGCCAAGCTCAAGCGACATTGACATTAAACATATCAATCTTGTTGCTATGAAACATACATTTGTGAATTGAATGGTTAGCTCTTATTTAACAAGCATTTCCAGGCACTATCTGCAGCCTTTCACCTCCCAAAAAGCTTGCTTTGTTATCAGACATAGTGAGAAAATGTTTCTCATTCTTGGAGTTAATCTATTTGCTGGAAGTCCTATATAAATAATGCTTTTTTTTTTTTTTTTTTTTTTTGAGACAGAGTCTCCCTGTGTCACCCAGGCTGGAGTGCCGTGGCGCGATCTTGGCTCACTGCAACCTCCGCCTCCCAGGTTCTAAGTGATTCTCCTGCCTCAGCCTCTGGAATACCTGGGATTACAGGTGCATACCACCATGCCTGGCTAATTTTGTACTTTTAGTAGAGACAGGGTTTTACCATGTTGGCCAGGCTGGTCTCAAACTCCTGACCTCAGGTGATCCACCTGCCTCAGCCTCCCAAAGTACTGGGATTACAGGGGTGACCCACTGCACCTGGTCAATATATCTGCTTTTAAATATTTTTCTGAGCTTTGAAGTCTTCAGTACACTTATCACACTTACCTTGTAAATTAAAGAAACAAAAACATGAAATCTAACTAAATTATATGCAACATTTTACTGACAAGCAGCAAGCAGCAAGTTTAGGATTTACAGACTATGGGAGCAGGAATGAAAAGACCTGGTTGGGTCTTCTGAAGGACTGGAAGTAGAAACATTTAATAATACTACATTTCAGTGCAGTAGGCTATCTTTGCTCTGTAAAACAACCACAAAGCTCATTAAACTTAAGCTGAAAAAAAATACCATTCTCAACACAATGTCTTAAGAAATACATATGTATAATCATTAAGACCACAGTAGTTTTAATAAAAACTTACCTAGAATGCTTCCTTCCTCAATTTTAACTCATTCCACTTTTCAGACACCTTGACATTTCCCAAATAATTCATGTTTCAATATAATACTAATCAAGTCTTTCTCCTCAAGGTGCTTTGGCAGCTTCTTAACGTTGGTTTCCAAGGTCCCGTGATGTAGTTTCTACTCATTCCTCTGGCTTCGGGTCTGAGAACCTAGTTCGCGCTCTATGCCCTAGCCAGAGTGAAATTTCTTCCAGCCCTCAAATCTTTCATGACCCCTTCCACAAATTCCCCATCTTTGCCTGGCCAACTTCTCACCCTTTGTATGAGAGTTTAGATACAAAGCCGTTGTACAAAGCACGAGCCCTCCCTGACTCTCCAAGCCACATTAGGCCCCTTTACTATGTCCCCTTGACACACTTGGCTTTACTTGTCATTAACATTTTTCACATTAAAATATGACCATTTTATTGTGTGTCTTTTCCATGGAGCTCATAAAGCAAAGCTGGCTTTTGTGCTTCGTTATGTATTTCCAGGGCTTAAACTGGAAGGCAGAGCTCATGAAGCTCAGGGAAAGTTAAGTGAGTGATCTACACATTCCAAAATAGAAGAAATCACATGTGGACTGTTTTTGTCTTTGTCTAGATTGTTTTTCAGATTTTTGTGCCAATATGTTTTATAACCCCCCAGCATGTCTGTGTCCAGGTCGCCGGATGTGTGCTGGTGAGTCATTCGCAGGAAGGAGCTTTTCCTGTTTTTCACCAGCCTCCTGCAAAGTTCACCTTCCAGCCACTCCCTGGAGTCTCCCATCTGGACCTGGACCTAAGCCTGGACGTTGGCTTCACCACTTGACCAGTGCCTCATAAGACCTACGCTCTGCCCAGGCCTAGGCTCTGCATATGCGCCGGAGCCTCAGTTCTCACTGTTATCTTGTCCGTAGCATGAATTTCTCCTTCCTGCACTTCGCCGGCCACAGTATTCTGCCAAGCGGTTTGAGATTATTTAGGTGGTCAGCTGTACCATCACAGAGCATTCTCATGTCACATCAGAATGAGTTCCTATGCTAACTGCTGTAGTGGAAACATCCTTACTGCCATCCTCCATCCAACAAATAAATAAAACATTTCACAAATAGAACCTTCACTTAGAGCTTTAGGGTTTTGTCTTTCAAACATGAAACTGGTCCTTCTGTCACCAATCAGTAGTTATAATTGATGTGTGTTTGTGAGGGGAAGGTACTTTATAACACTTTGTCCTGAGATCATGGACGTCACCAAAATGGCAATGAAAAAAACTGCAATAAAGAAAATTCAACTCTTAAGTGAGGATCACATCATACTAAACATGAGGCAATGGTTTTACTCTGTGAATAACTAAAAAAACAATGGTTAATAACAGAGAATTGTTTGGGCATACAGCCAGCTTGCTGAGATCAAAAGTATTCACTCCTGGCTGGGCACAGTGGTTCACGCATGTAATCCCAGCACTTTGGGAGGCCAAGGCAGGCAGATCACTTGAGTCCAGGAGTTCAAGACCTTCCTGGGCAACATAGCAAGACCCCATCTCTACTAAAAATACAAAAAAATAAAAATAAAAATAAAAATTAGCCAGGCTTGGTCATACACACCTGTAATCCCAGCTACCCTGGAGGCTGAGGCATGAGAATTGCTTGAAGCAGGGAGGCAGAAGTTGCAGTGAGCTGAGATTGTGCCACTGCACTCCAGCCTGGGTGACAGGGTGAGACTCTGTCTCAACAACAACAAAAAGGTATTCACTCTTTTTTTTAGCAAGGTTGGAACTTGAAGACTCCCACGTCCCTGTTTTCAGTGCTCTGAAGTCCCAGCAAAGGCATGAGCAAGGGACTCCTATCAGCACCATAAAGAAATCATTGTCAGTTGCTTGATACACAACTGATACACAAAGCATCTTTAGCCTTTATGAAATCAAATACTTCCCCATCATCAACATAAATCCTTCTCCCCTGCTGTTAGCTGATTTTTGTCAAAGAAAAAATTGCACTAGATAAAGTCAAACAAAGAAGACTTTATTTAAGGCTATTGCAACAGAGGAGAGAGGCTAGAATTGTCTAAATGCAACTCTGCTGAAACAAAGAGCAGAAAGGTTTAAAGCAGTGGGGTGAGCTATGAAAAAGTACTGAAGGAGGTTAGGGAGAGTTTCATCAGTAGGATGTGCCCACAACATTGTGTTACTCCTAACTTTACAAATATTTTCCCCTGTGATGAGGTTATCTGTGCTTGCTAATTGGTTCACGTTCAAATCAGGCTCCTACCCTTCCGCAGAGACTGGGAGTTAGGGGGGTTTTATCCCTTGATTACTACTTTTCAAAAAGATGGTTCCTAAGCCCTTGAGAAAGACATTTCTGGATTGTAAAACTAGCAAACTTTTTGATAGATTTACATCTCAAAGGAGAAGAGAAAGAATTTACAAACAAAAATTTTCCCAAAAAAACTTTAAAGTTTAGTTAAGCTGAGAGGAACATTAGGTGATCTTGGTCATCCCCAACCAGTATTTTCTATAAAGCATTTAATTTGTTTGTACTTTGTATTTTTAATTTTTGTGAGTATGTAGTAGGTGTATGTATTTATAGGGTACATGAGATGTTTTGGTACAGGCATACAGTGTGAATTAGGTAAGTCCATTGGAAAATACTCTGGTTCCCTGACTTCCCAGTTGAACTAAATGAAACTGTACATAATTAAAAAAATGGAAGCTGCTAATCTTAGTTCATTGTTTGAACACATTTAAGGGGTAGTTCCATTTTCTGAATTACACTTAGTTCACAAATGGTGTTCAATAACATATCAGTTAATTCTTAATCCAAAGTCAAAATTAATTCTGCAGTCCACAACCTTTTTGGCACCAGGGACTGGTTTCATGG
This sequence comes from Homo sapiens, assembly GCF_000001405.40. Lineage (NCBI taxonomy): Eukaryota > Metazoa > Chordata > Mammalia > Primates > Hominidae > Homo > Homo sapiens. Next base: position 49,563,944 of record NC_000006.12, on the reverse strand, counting down.
AAGACAATTTTTCCATGAACCAGGGGTGGGGAGGGAGATGGTTTTGGGGTGATTCAAGCACATTACATTTGTTGTGCACTTTATTTCTCTTATTATTACATTGTATTACATAAGAAAATAATTATACAACTCACCATAAGGTGGAATCAGTGGGAGCCCTGAGCTTGTTTCCTGTAATAGTCCCATCTGGGGGTGATGGGAGACAGTGACATTGAAAGTGTGTTCCATATGTCCAGGTTACTCTGTAATCTCATTTTGGTTGCAGCCACTGCAGAAAACCCTGCTTCACAAAGATAAGATACTGAAAATGGAAGCAGGCTTTTCAGTGCTTTCTTTTGTGGGAATCTTAGGATATTCCACCTTAACTTTGATCCAGAACATACAGAGATTTGAAGTTGTTTCAAACAAACTTAAGGCCACCAGATGCAGCTGTACAATTGAAGTACAACTCACTTGCCACTATAAAGCCTGCTACCAAATGCAGGTTGTCACTTACCACTCACTGATAGGGTTTTGATACGAGTCTGCAAGCAACTGATTTATTATGGTCTCTGTGTAGTCAACCCACTCTGCTAATGCTAATCTGTATTTGCAGCTGTTCCCAGTGCTAGCATCACTGCCTCAGCTCCACCTCAGATCATCAGGCGTTAGATTCTCATAAGGAGCATGCAGCCTAGATCCCTTGCATGCGCAGTTCACAATAGGGTTCATGCTCCTAGATGAGAATCCAGTGCCGCTGCTGATCTGACGGGGGGCAGAGCTCAGGCAGTAATGTGAGTGATGGGGAGCAGCTGTAAATACAGATGAAGCTTGCTCACTTGCCTGCTGCTGCTCACCTCCTGCTGTGTGGCCTCATTCCTAACAGGCCACATACCAATACCAGTCTGTGCCCTGGTGGGTGAAGACCCCTGAAATAGTGGACTACTTTCTCTTGCAGGGAATAGAAACAGCTTTAATTAAAGATCAAGAAATCTAGCCTGGGCAACATGGTGAGACCCCCATCTCTATTAAAAATACAAAAAAAAAAAAAAAGTAGCTGGGTGTGGTGGCACACACCTGTGGTCCCAGTTACTCAGGAGGCTGAGGTGGGCAGATTACCTGAGGTCAGGACTTTGACACCAGCCTGGCCAGCATGGTGAAACCCTGTCTCTACTAAAACTACAAAAATTAGCCAGGCATGGGTGGTGCAAGCCTGTAGTACCAGCTACTTGGGAGATTGAGGTGGGAGGATCACTTGAGCCCAGGGGGCAGAGGTTGCAGTGAGCCGAGATCGTGCCACTGCACTCCAGCCTGGGTGACAGAGTGAGACACTGTCTAAAAAAAAAAAAAAAAAAAAAAAATCTAATTTTAGTTGCAACCCTATCTTCCTTCCGTATTTAGGACTCTATGACTATATATTGGCAGTGACGTACTTAGTGTATCCGCCATCAGAAGCGGTCAATTTTTACATTAATATGAGAAAATAAATTTTAGTAATAATCATAAAATAAGACAAATAATAACTTTGCTCTTTTGGTTAGTCTGATAATAATATTTCATGTAAATGTCAAGTTAATAAGAAAATTTTAATAAAACTGAAATGTCTGCAAAAGAAATGTATTAGTCCATTCTCAGACTGCTATAAAGAAATACCTGAGAATGGGTAATTTATAAAGAAAATAGTTTTAACTGGCTCATGTTTCTGCAAGCTGTACAGGAAGTATAGCGGCTTCTGCTTCTGGGGAAGCCTCAGGAAGCTTTCAATCATGGTGGAAGACAAAGTGGGAGCAGGCTGTCTTACATGGTGGGAGCAGGAGCAAGAGAGAAGGGAGGTGCTACGCACATTTAAACAACTGGATCTTGTGAGCGCTCACTCACTACAAGAGCAGCACCAAGGGGATGGTGCTAAGCCATTCATGGGAAACCACCCCCATGATCCAATCACCTCCCACCAAGCCCCACCTCTAACATTGGGGATTATAATGCAACATGAGATTTGGGCAGAGACACAGATCCAAATGATATCAAGAAACAATCAAGACAACTAAATTGTACCAGTCATGTAATGTTTTATTTTCTTCATTCCTTAGTTTAAAAAAAATTAACAAAAAAGAATAGCCAGGCATGGTAGCTTGTGCCTATAGTTCCAGCTACTTGGGAGGCTGAGGTGGGAGGATCACTTAAGCCAAGGAGTTTCAGGCTGCAGTGAGTTACAATGATGCCACTACATTCCAGGCTGGGTGACAGAGTGAGACTCCATCTCTATTTTTTAAGAAAAGAATAAGTTTTAATTAAAGACATTCACTCAAATCCAGTAAAACAGCTCAGCTGTGAAATAAATTAACACTTATCAAAAATAATACATTTTGCTATTTTCTTATTTTAAATGTTACACATAAATAAGTCATATATAATGGCAGGATAGAAGTAACTCAAGTTCTCTTCCTCAGACACCACAATTGCTGTGGTATTGTTTGTGTTAAATCTGTTCTTGAAGTGCAGGTATTTATATATAAGGATTGAAGACACAAGGTACACTCAAAGCGAGCTCTAAAGATTCTGAACCTGGCCAGGCGCGGTGGCTCATGCCTGTGATCCCAGCACTTTGGGAGGCCAAGGCAGGGGGATCACCTGAGGTCAGGAGTTTGAGACCAGCCTGGCCAACATAGTAAAAACTCCGTCTCTACTAAAAATACAAGAATTAGCCAGGTTTGGCTGCACGCACCCGTAATCTCAGCTACCTGGTAGGCTGAGGCACGAGAATCGCTTGAACCCAGGAGGCAGAGGTTGCAGTGAGCTGATATCGTGCCACTTAACTCTAGCCTGGGCGACAGAGAAAGACTCTGTCTCAAAAAAAAAAAAAATTACTCTCACAATGAATGCATTTAGTTGAGTTTATGTGTGAGACAGACAGAGAGAGAGAGAGAGAGAGAGAGAGACGGTGATGGAGAGACAGAGATATTAGGAGGACAACATAGAGGCTTTTCAATGACCTTCCACACAGAAAAAATAAAGAAAAATAAAAATGTGGTAATTTGAAAATCACATCTGCTTTATTAAAATTTAAGCAATAATCACGAGAATTTTTTAGAATTTAGAACAACAAATTTTTTTTCAGATAGAAGCATTTTATCACTAACTACATGACAGTAATAAAAAGTAGAGGCCAGGCTCGGTGGCTCAAGCCTGTAATCCCAGCACTTTGGGAGGCTGAGGCAGGCAGATCACCTGAGGTCAAGAGTTCGAGACCAGCCTGGCCAACATGGCAAAACCCCATCTCTACTAAAAGTACAAAAATTAGCTGGGTGTGGTTGCAGGCGCCTGTAATCCCAGCTACTCAGGAGGCTGAGGCAGGAGAATAGCTTGAACCCGGGAGGCAGGTGGTTGCAGTGAGCTCAGATCGTGCCATTGCACTCCAGCCTGAGCAACAGGCTAAAAAAAGAAAGCAGAAAGACTTTTAGTCTGGCTTTATCATTGTTTTAAAATCTCTAATGATGATGCACTGCTTATTGTTCTCTCCTGAGCAAACCCCACCCATTGCCTGGTCCTTAGCATGCCACTGAATATATAGGTCAGAGAATCCCTTCTTCCACTCCAACAGAATCCCAAACAGGGAGAAAAATGACCAATCTCTTTCTTTTCTTTTTTTTTGAGATGGAGTCTCACTCTGTCACCCAGGCTGGAGTGCGGTGGCGCGATCTCGGCTCACTGCAACCTCTGCCTCCTGAGTTCAAGCTATTCTTCTGCCTCAGCCACCCGAGTAGCTGGGATTACAGGTGCGCACCACCGCATCTGGCTAATTTTGTGTATCTTTAGTAGAGACAGGGTTTCACCATGTTAGTCAGGCTGGTTTCGAACTCCAGACCTCAGGTGATCCACCCACCTCAGCCTCCCAAAGTGTTGGGATTAAAGGCATGAGCCACCGCACCCAGCCTGATCAATTTCTAATATAAGGTTATTTCATTTGTAACTTTGTACGTTATTCCACCCAGTTAGGATAGAAAGACTGTAGGATAAACCCTATAACCTCAGGAGCCTGGGATAACATTGAGGCTGGATTGGAAAGTCCATAGGTTGGCTTAGGGCTTTTCCTGACACAGGGACACCAGTTAGAGAATCCTTACAGAAGCTGACTGCATTCCGAAGTTCTCCCTGAAAGTTCTCTCGCTTTGTTAAAAATTATGTGGTACCCCTTATGCCTCCTTTTTCCTCTTCCAAGTAAGCTGAATTCAAGATACCCAATTGTGCCCACTTTTCCAGGGACCTCATGGCCTTTCCAAATAAGCTCAAAGTCACAAGATGTTTTGAAGGTAGAAAATGGCCTAAGGATGGTCCAATGGTCACACAAAGCAAATTTAACACTCAGGGGTTTGGGCCAGGAACAAGTCACGCAGTCTAAAGGTAATGCTTATGTATGCTATAACCCCAGTGACCACTAGATAATACCCCATGCCTAGGTGGACTTATGCAGACTTGACTTTGCTTTCAGTAAGTAGCACTCATCCATTACATAGCATTTTGGATGTCAACAGGATTAAACTATGCCAAAGCATATTTCACTTCCAGAAAAAAGCTACTTGCAAGGCTGCATTCTGGATGTTTCTAATAAACAAGTATAATGTGATTATCTCCATAAAAGAAATCTGTGACTAAATCTTCCAGAATTTTATGACTGGGTTTTTCAGTTTCTAACTCTGTCTTTAGGATTGGTCTAACATAAATGAAAGACTGAATATATATATATATATATATATATATATATATATATATATATATATATATATATATATATATATATATGGACAATGACCAGATCATATATGGTAAAATATGAAAAAAGACAGAAAAGAGTCTTAGTAAAAACCACTGGTTTGGATTTGATTGTTTTGTGTGTGCTGTATGTCTTCTGCTCTTTGTCATTAAAGACTAAAGCCTAATTAGATTGAAGAGTAAACTGAAGGCTGGGCATGGTGGCTCATGCCTGTAATCCCACCACTTTGGGAGGCCGAGGCAGGTGGATCACGAGTTCAGGAGATCGAGACCATCCTGGCTAACACAGTGAAACCCCGTCTCTACTAAAAATACAAAAAATTAGCCAGGCATGGTGGCGGGCACCTGTAGTCCCAGCTACTCGGGAGGCTGAGGCAGGAGAATCACGTGGACCCAGGAGGCGGAGCTTGCAGTGAGCCAAGATCGTGCCACTGCACTCCAGCCTGGGCAACAGAGCAAGACTCCATCCCGCACCCCCCCCAAAAAAAATACGAAAAGTAAACTGAACACACTACCACTACCACTAATACTAATTATAATAATAATAGTTAATTTTGAGTATTTATTATAGGCCAGACACTGTTCTAAGAATTTTTTATTCACCTTAATCCTTGAAAAAAACTTATGAGGTTGATACCATTTATTACAGAATTCCAACCTACAAGTTTTGTGAGAAGGAAGTCACAACCTGGGAAGTCAAAACACAGCCTCTGGAGCAATCAGCTCAAAAGGTCAGGACTTGGTCAGTGACTGCCAGCTTCTCTCTCTCTCTCTCTTTTTTTTTTTTTTTTCCAACTCAGGGCCTACCTGAGAAATCCCTAAACTAATCATGTAAGAAGTTGTCCTAGATCACCTGCCTCCAGCTCCCCCCATGCCAATAGGCTCCAAGCAGAACATAACTAAAGCCTTTCTTTTTCCACTATTGTTGAAGAGTAATTGCATGGGACAGAGTTAAACAGCAAGGAAAACTTTATTCAAGACTATTGCATTAGAGGCCGGGCATGGTGGCTCACACCTGTTATCCGAGCACTTTGGGAGGCCAAGGCAAGTGGATCATTGAGGCCAGAAGTTTGAGACCAGCCTGGCCAACATGCCCAAAACCCGTCTCTACTAAAAAAAAAAAAAAAAAAAAAAAACATATTTGAGTGTAACGGCATGCACTTGTAGTCTCAGCTACTCAGGAGGCTCAGGCAGGAAAATCACTTGAACCCGGGAGGCGGAGGTTGCAGTAAGTCAAGATTGCGCCTCTGCCCTCCAGCCTGGACAACACAGTGAGACTGTCTCAAAAAACAAACAAACAAAAAACAAAAACTATTGCATTAGGGGAGAGAGATTGAACTTAATTCCTTTGAAACAAAAGGTGGGAATATTTTAAGCATTAAGGCGAGCTAGAGAAAAACTACGAGACAATGTTAAAAGGGACATTGGTCAATGTGATTATGCCATCTATGTTTGCTGATTGGCACTTTGAGAAGCTGGGCTTCCACCCTCCCACAGAGACTGATAGTTAGAGACCTCTGAGTTTTGTTTGTTTGTTTGTTTGTTTTCAGTGATTACACTTCACAGTAATGGCTCCTAGGTCCTCAAGAAAGACATACCTGGATCTTTCTTAGATTTACATTTCAAAGGGGCAGAGAAATAATTTACCATTCAAAGTCTTCTAAAGTAAATGCTCTAAGAAAAGGAAAGTCAGGGACCTAAGTCAAGAAGCTTATCTGAAATTTAGTCAAGCTGAGGAATGGGTAAGATCATCTTGGCCACTACAAAGCTTTCCTATTGCCCTACCTGCCTTCGCTTTCCTGCCAAGCACAAATGATGTTGGCTGACTCTCTTATTATAGCAAGCTCTGCAAACACAGCCTCTGTTTGTTCTATTTTGGGGAGGGCTGCAGTCTCCTCAAAATACTCTTGTTCTGTTTATTTATTAATTATTATTATTATTTTGAGATGGAGTTTTGCTCTTGTTGCCCAGGCTGGAGTGCAATGGCGCGATCTCAGCTCACTGCAACCTCCTCCTCCTGGGTTCAAGTGATTCTCCTGCCTCAGCCTCCTGAGTAGCTGGGATTATGGGCATGCACCATCACCTCGGCTAATTCTGTATTTTTAATAGAGATGGGGTTTCTCCATGTTGGTCAGGCTAGTCTTGAACTCCTGACCTCAGGTGATCCACCTGCTTTGGCCTCCCAAAGTGCTGGGATTACAGGCGTGAGCCACCGTGCTTGGCCTCTTGTTCTGTTTTAAGGTTAGAAATGTAAGTTTGAATTTGGTTAGTTCCTTGCTTTGAAGATAACCAAGTCTTAATGTTTTGTTTGTGACTATTGGCTGCATAATGCCTGAAAACCAATCATAACTCCTTACTCTCTCCAAAGTAATCTGGACTTTATCTTCATCTAGAGAAGTAAATTCACAGATTTGCCCTCCCTAATTACAGAGCAAAGTACTGACTGCAGTTATAGAGATGTCATGGTGTTCAAGAGTCACAGCCCTTTGTTTACTTATCTGAATCAGTTGATTCAAATTCTGGCTCCACCTTTTCCCCACCCCTCTCAATTCATCACAAGTGGCTGACAAGTTCTGACTCAGCCTGCAGAGTTGCAATTGTGCAATGTGTTAATGACTTCCTGCTTTTTCACCTTTACAGGAGTTTTTTATAATGTATTATTTCATATTCCTAGACAACAAAATAGCCATATTTCTGAAATAGTTTGAAATTCAATGATGAGTCAATGGTTCATTAGGACAAACTTTCAAATAATAAGGCTCTTTAAAAAAGACACTATAAAGCTTCATAGAGATCTCTTCGCCAATTTACCCATTCATATCCTCTATCTTTCACCTTCCTGTAATCTTTAACTGTGTTCAAAACTCTATGAATTATTATCTTCATGGCATTGTTAACAATTAATTGGGAATACAGAATAAAAAAACTTTTCAGTTTTGGTAAGTGACAAAATAGGATACAGAACTAAATATATGAGAATATGTCAGTGTTTCTCAAACTTTAATGTGAATCATCCAATGATCTTGACAAAATGCGAATTCTGATTCAACAGATCTGGAATGGGGCCTGAGATTCTACTTTTCTAAAAACCTTCTTGGAGATGCCCACGCTGCCGTTTCACAGAACGCCCATCTTGAGTAGCATCAGTATATGTTTGTTTATATACAGATCATATTCAGAAAATATACAGAGGTTACATTAATACTACTTTATATAGTTTATGCTTAGAAAGATGTATGTATATATGTAGGTATATTCACATGAAAATACAATAAAATAAAACCACACTTGGCCAGGCATGGTGGCTGATGCCTATAAGCCCAGCATGTTGGGAGGCCAAGGCAGGAGGATTGCTTGAGTCCAGGATTTTAATACTAGCCTGGGCACGCCAGGTGCGCGGTGGCTCACGCCTGTAATCACAGCACTTTGGGAGGCTGAGGTGGACAGATCACGAGATCAGGAGATCGAGACCATCCTGGCTAACATGGTGAAACCCCATTTCTCCTAAAAATACAAAAAATTAGCCGGGCGTGATGGCGAGCGCCTGTAGTCCCGGCTGCTCGGGAGGCTGAGGCAGGAGAATGGCATGAACCCGGGAGGCAGAGCTTGCAGTGAGCGAAGATTGCGCCACTGCACTCCAGCCTGGGCAACAGAGCGAGGCTCCGTCTCAAAAAAAAAAAAAGACTAGCCTGGGCAACATAGCAAGGTGCTGTCTCTATAAAACAAAAACAAAACAAAACAAAAAATTCATGCTTGAAACTTGCCAAATATTAAAAGAGATTTGGGGTCATCTGTAAATTTTTGTTTCCTTTATTATATCTTCTTTTTCTTCATAATATTTTCCCAATTTTTATGCAGTGTATACAACTGTTTCTTTTAATAAAAAGTTTTTTTCTTTTTCAAAGCAAAGAGCCACATCAAGTTTTATCACCAAGCACTGGTAACATCCAACAAAAATAAGCAGTAAGTCAAATGTAATGATTCCCAAAAGGAGATCATGGTTGTAAACAAAGAGTTTTAAGAGAGGATAACACTTGCCTGATCCTGGGGGTTATGCGATTCTGACATTTATCTTATGGTCACTGGAGTGGCTTCTGGAAGTCTTTGATGCGGTTCATCCACCTAACACAATTTTAGATAATCATGTTTTTCAGAGGAGTAGAGGTAAGATCAAAGAGCCAAGATCCAGTCATTCTCAGAGATTTCTTAGTATTGAGGATGCCCAAGTTTCACTTTGGATGCACTCCCAGGACATTTGTAAACGGGATAAGATTTCTCAGGCTCTTCAAATAACAGGGTTCTGCTTGGATCAGGAACACCTGTGAAGCAAATTCAACAGTATTTGGACTTACTACTTTTTGTTTCCAATGAAAAGGAACTCTATATTAAATGAAATCTATAAACATGTTCTAGGCAGTTAATAGGGAAGTTGAGTAAGCACTTTAAAAATAAATTTTCATTGCTTGAAACAGTGAGAAAAGGAAAAAAAAAATCACTTAAAATTAACTCAAACAGGCCGGGCATGGTGGCTCAGGCCTGTAATCCCACCACTTTGGGAGGCCGAGGCGGGCGCATCACAAGGTCAAGGAGATCGAGATCATCCTGGCTAACACGGTGAAACCCCGTCTCTACTAAAAATACAAAAAAACTAGCCAGGCATGGTGGCGGGCGCATGTAGTCCCAGCTACTCAGGAGGCTGAGGCAGGAGAATGGTGTGAACATGGGAGGCGGAGCTTGGAGTGAGCAGAGATCGTGCCACTGCACTCCAGCCTGGGCGACAGAGCAAGACTCTGTCTCAAAAACAAAACAAAATTAACTCAAACATATTTGGTTTAAAGGAGTTAAGCTAACTTGACTAAATACGTTTTTGGCTGAAAGACAAAATGAAAACAAATTGTGTCTATTCTGCTTTTCTAGACAACAGGGCATCAGATTTAAAATCCCAGAGGGAAAACAAACTAACCTGACAGGTCAAAGAAAGTATTCAAAGCTCCCATCTGCCCAGAACTAGGAGGTATGTAAACTCTTTTCAGTGACTGTTAAGGATAGTGTACCTTAGTCCTTTGAGCTTTACCATGAGTCCCTACAGAAGATGTGAAGGTCATTTCTAAAGAATTTAAGAAATATACTTACTGATCCATTAAAGGTTAGGAAAAGCTAGAAATAAGTCCTTTCTTTCAGGAGTAGAGAAGAGTCTTATTAAAAACCACCGGCTTGACTTTCATTAGCTTTCTTGTGTTATACAATTTCTGCTTTTTGTTACTAAACAAAAGACTAAAGCCTAGTTAGGATGAAAAGTGAACTAAACAATAACCGTGCTAATAATAAAAAATGTAACTAACTTTGAGGATTTATTGTATGACAGGCAGGGTTCTAAGTATTTTCATTTAACTTAACCCTAAAAAAAAAAAACCCTCTATGAAGTTGATACTATTTATTGTCCCCACTTAACAAATCAGGATACAGAGGCACACAGAGATAAGGCAACTTGCCCAAGGACACAAGTTAATAAAGAGGTAGAGCCAGTTTTGAACCCAAGCAGCTGAACGCCAGAAATTGCCTCCAGAGAAGGCAGCTGAGTGATGCTACTTACCATTTTTGGTTATTGTGAAAGAGACTTTTTTTGTTCTCTATATTCAATGATTAGTCACCTGGGACATGTGATGATTCAACCAAATTAATAAGCTCAGGTCTGAAACTTACATGCCAAGTAAGTTAATCTCCCACTGGAGTCAGGGAGGGTTGTTAAGGAAAAGAGATTCATTTTAAGGGATGAATCTTTTCTACCTGTCAAGCAATTTTGAACACAGATGAGCTCAGATGCTGAATTCCTCTCCCAAGTGAGGGTCTCACAGGCCTAAGAACTGCTAGTGATGATTCTCCAGCCAAGAGGCCTTGCAGAATTCAGGAACATTAAGGTGATTCTAGTACTTCTCATAAACATGAGTTAGAAAACCTAAGATATTGGCCAGGCATGGTGGCTCATACCTGTAATCCCAGCACTTTGGGAGGCGGAGGCAGGAGGATCACCTGAGGTTGGGAGTTCAAGACCAGCCTGGCCAACATGGAGAAACCCCATCTCTACTAAAAATACAGAATTAGCCGGGGTGATGGCACATGCCTGTAATCCCAGCTACTGAGGAGGCTGAGGTAGGAGCATCGCTTGAACCCTGGAGGTAGAGGTTGTGGTGAGCCAAGATCGTGCCGTTGCACTGCAGTCTGGGCAACAAGAGAGAAACTCTGTCTCAAAAAAAAGAAAAAAATAGAAAAAGAAAGAAAACCTAGGATATCCTCAGGCATCTTTTGACCCCTAAGTAAGGGTCAAATAAATCCTCTAAAGGCTGCCCCAAACCTTTAGGAGGGAGATTATCACATTCTTCATCCACTTAGTAAGCATATGCAATTACTAGCTGTGTGACTTAGACATGCTACAAGACCTCTAGGCCTAGGTTGGCTCATGAGTAAAACAGGGGCATCTTATCTATCTGGCCTGCCAGGAGGCAAGAGGTAGATCAGATGATCTTTTGAGAACACTTCAAGCTCTAAACTAAAAATGAAGGCAAAAGGGAAGACTGGGGAAGGAGGCACTTTTCAACTATTTGCTCATCAAAAGCCAGAGTCCTACCTGCTTTGTTAATTCTTGCAGTAAATACTCCTTCAGGTGGTAAAGTCAAGCAGTTCACCTGGAGAGGGCTGCTTTGCTCCTCACAGAGCTTCAACCAGGCCAACTACTAAAGAGTTAATTCACATAGTATTTAATAATAAAGAGGAACAAACAAAATAAGAAAAATTAGTTGTTTCAGTATTACCAGAGGAGATTTTTTTGAACTACACAAGGAGAATGGTATCTTCAATCTATTCTTGACTACAAGTCTCATTAATGAAGAACTATGGAAAAGAATAAGACATGCATTCATTTTATGGCAAACTACATATTGCTATCTACCTTTAGTTCAGAACATTTACATGCAGTATTTTTAATATTAAAATTAAAATGTATGATAAATGCATGTTTACAGGACTAAATTAGCTATTGTTTGCAGTAAAGCCTTTGTAAATGGAATTTCACGTTGAAATCTTAGTCTTCTGTCCCCAACTCCTTCTTTCCCTAGCTCCTCTCGTTTTCTTTCTAACACTGAAATGTGGGGGAGAAAAATGAAAAGTGCACATCAGAAGAGAGTCACTTGCTGCTTTGGTTTTACTTTCCCATTTCTTTTTACTTTCTGTTTTTGGCTTTTAAAACAAGCCTCTTCTCCACCCACTCCCACCCTCTTTGCAGAGAGCAGACTTCAAACTTCACTTCTGTTTCTAGGTCCTAAAGAGAAACAAGAGGGGGGCGGGGAACAGAAAAGAGATCAATTGAGAGTTATTCCAAAATGCAAATTAACAACAGGTTTTCTCATTTCAAAACTCCCACATTCTGCCAATCTGAAAATATCTTTTCTCCACCTCTTCTGAATGACTTAGGTCCCCAGACAGCGAAGGAATTCAAGCCACAAAGGAGGTATTATGCTGCTTACAGTTCTTAATCTGCCTCCCCGAAGCGCTGCACCAGCCTCTCAAAAGGTTCCTTCTGTAGGTTAATTGCAGGTTGGAGCTCCCAGAATAGCATTTTCTTTTAAGGATGATCGCTCATCCACCATCCCGGAACATTTCTCGAGCTACTCATTAGAGTTTAATTTCCTCGAGCCAAGTCCCTGGAGACGGTGAAACCCTCCTCCCCGCGGCGTGGACGCGGGATGCCCCTGTTCGTGCCTGGAGAGCCCGGGATTCAGCAGGGCCCCAGCGTTCCCCAGGCTGTCCCTCTCTACTGCTGCGAAAAGTGAGCGCGGTCACGAAGTGCTCCTCAGTCCTCGTGGTCATGCGACCCTTGGCCCAGGAGGTCTGCAACACTTCTTGTGTTACCTGATAATCCTCCACCCGCACAAGCACGTATTTGGGTGGGTCTGCTGCGTCCCGCGGCGGGGCTACACGCCTGCCAGAAATTCGCTTTTGTCGTTGAAAGACAGAAGGGTAGTTGGGCTCCTCGCCGTGGTCCTCTCCACCCGCATGAGGAAGGTCCTCTGCACCGGCCACCTCTTCCCGTGCAGGGTCCCCTCGAGTCCCTAACCACCTCTCTGGGTGCAGGAGAAAGAGCACTTTCTCTCTGACCCAGGACTCACGGTCCAATTCCTCCCCGGCCCGAGGTCCGAGGGCCCGATCTGCCGTTCTGTCCTCGTGGCCGCCGCCCTGGCTTCGGCTCGCCCCTGCCGTCGCGGGATTCCGGGCGCCCGGAGCTAGCGGAGCCCCGCGCCCTACCTCCCGCGGAAAAGGCCCGAGGTCCCCCAGGCTGCGGGAGGAGTCCATGGGATTCGCAGCTCCCTGAGGCCCCCGGGTCTCCATCCTGGCAAAAGGGTCATTCATTCGTTCCTTCTTTGACCGGTTCAAGCAGCAAGCGCCTGCTGAGCTCCGGAAAGCGCGGGACCACCAAGCCCTGGGTGTGGCCTCTGCTGCAGCTCCGGACTCCCAGCCGGTGAAAGCTGAAGACTAGATCAGCCCCAGGCTAACCGCGTGCGGAACCCGCCTCTTCACCCTCCGCCTCTCCCACCTGGCGGCTGTCTAGCCATTCAGAAGAAGCTTGACACAAGCCCCAGTCACTCCTCTTCTTCCTCCTACCCCTGTCCGGAGCCCTGCTCCCTTTGTCATTCGCTGATTCAGTCCCCTCTTACTTTTCACCTCTATCCTAGTTTCCCACCCACCTTTCGTTTTTCTCCGGAGCTGAGGCGCAAAGGACACCCTCGCACTGCGCCCCCACTGAAATGCCCCGAAGTATGTTTGCTTTCCAAGGACGCTCCTTGAGGTGAAGGAACAAAGAAGTTTGTGTGCATTTTAATTAGCTGATCTAATTCTGAAAAGGGTTTTTGTCCATTCCGAATCCACTCCCACCATGCTGCCAAAATAATGGAATGTAGATCAAATGGTCAGACTGAAAAGCTGAAGCCTTGGAGAAACTGGTTTTGGTTTCTTTGTCCTTCTTCCTTTAGAATGCCAGAATCTGTAGCTCTGGAGGACAATGGTCACACCTGTGTCCTCCTCCTCCTCTTCCTCCTCCTTCTTTTTTCCCGCTCTCTTTCTCTCTCCCTCTCCCCGCTCCCCCTTCCTCTTACCCCACCCCCCCACATTAGATATGGTCTCGCTCTGTAGCTCAGGATAGAGTGCAGTGGCGCAGCCTCGACTTTCCAGGCTCCCACCTCAGCCCGTCAAGTAGCCGGGACTACAGGCGCGCACCCCCATGCCCGGCTTTTATTTATTTATTTATTTATTTATTTATTTATTTATTTATTTATATTTTTCTAAGAGATGGTAGGGGTGGGGCTCTCCTATATTGCCCAGGCTGGTCTGGAACTCCTGGGCTTACGAGATACCCAGGATCCCCCACCCTACCCACACACCCACCTGGGCCTCCCAAAATTCTGGGATTACAGGCTTGAGCCACGGCCCTGGCCAGTCTTCATTTTGTGTGTAATCAACGCTTGTCTCAGGAAGGTGTAGTCTTTGATTTAAAACAAGCTATAAAACAGAAGCAAAACAAACATCCAAATGAATTTTTTCAGGACTTAAAATTGTTTGTGTTTGTGTCGTTTATAAAATTCCCTCTGCACCCACCCGTCCTCTTTAACCACAGGGGTTAAAAAAAGTTAAGTGTCTCTGGCGAGGCTTTTAGAATTTACCCATAGGCAGGCCCGCTGACCACTACTCTTTGCCTAAGGTTAACCGGGGAGGCTAGGTCATAGAAAAAGAGCTCAGTTTGTGGTTTCCAGTTCATCCTTAGCTGTTTGTTTTATTAAAAAACCCACTGATGGCTGGGTGTGGTGGTTCACACCTGTAGCCCCATCATTTTGGAAGTCTGAGGCCGGTGGATCACTTGATGCCAGGAGTTTGAGACCAGCCTGGTCAGCATGGTGAAACCCAGTCTCTACAAAAAGTACAAAAATTAGTCAGGCATGGTGGTACACACATGTAAGTAATCCCAGCTACTTGGGATGCTGAGGCACCAAATCGCTTGAACGGGAGAGGGGGAGGTTGCAGTGAGCCAAGATCATACCACTGCTCTCTAGTGTGGGTGTTAGAGCAAGAATCTGTCAAAAAAAAAAAGAAAAAGAAAAAAAAAGAAAGGAAAGAAAGAGAAATCTAAATCCTGCCTGATTTAGAAAAATGAGTGCAATGGTGAAAAATTCTGCCCATATGTAAAAAACAAAGTAGTATAGTGAGATATTTGGAAAGGGAGGACTTTTGATATCTGCCAAATCATATAAAGAAATAAAGTGATAGAGGAGGAGTGAGAAAATCTGGGTCAGACCTGGGTGATTAGAAGCCTGACCTTAGTGGGCACAGCGGCGCCTACTGGTAATCCCAGCTGCTTGGGAGATTGAGGTGGGAGGGTGTCTTGAGCCTAGGAGTTGGAATCTGGCCTGCACCATATGGTGAGACCTCTGTCTCTTCAACAACAAAAACAACCAAAAAATATACATGCCTGACCTTGGGCTGGTTTCTCCTCAATCACAATGAGCTCAAATTTTTGAGTGTCTTAGCCAAGAATTGTTCTAAGCACTCTATATATTTAAACACATTTATTCTTCACAATAAACTGTGAAAGTAGTAGTATTTCTTTGGTCTCCTTGAAATCTTTGAAGCACAAAGAGGTTAAGTGTGTGCCCAAGGTCAAACACCAATAAACAGTGGAGCCAAGATTCTAACTTATTTAAATGCTTGCTCCAAAATGACTTCTAAATTACCTTCATATTTTAAGCCTGTGACTTCATGTTCTTTTCTATTCATTTACATAACCACTAATTACTAACTATATGCTACTCTTCTAGGTGATAGAGACATCTGGAGGAACAAACCAAATTGCTTATCCTCTTAAAGATTTTATTTATTTATTTATTTACTTATTTATTTGAGACAGAGTTTCACTCTTGTTGCCCAGGCTGGAGTACAATGGCACCATCTCAGCTCACTGCAACCTCCACCTCCAAGGTTCAAGCAATTCTCCTGCCTCAGCCCCCTGAGTAAGCTGGGATTACAGGTATGTGCCACCACACCTGGCTAATTTTGTATTTTTTGTAGAGACGGACTTTTACCATGTTGGCCAGGCTAGTCTCAAACTCCTGACCTCAGATGATCCACCCACCTTGGCCTCCCAAAGTGCTGGGATTACAGGCATGAGCCACCACATCCGGCCTAAAGTTGTTATTCTTATATATGCAGTAACATACATCAATCCTCTGTTCAGAACTAGGAGATAATCAATTAACCTTAATATACATGAAAATTACCTGCAGCTCAAGTCTTACCCTCCTTACAAAGATTCTGTTCTTATAGGTTTGGGGTAGAGATTAGGATACAGATTTTTAGCAAATCCCTCAGTAATTCTAACCTAGTGGTTTATGGACATTATGAGAAGCATTTCCAAAAATATGTATAGATAAACTCTAACACTTTTTTGCTTATTTAGAGTTGCAACAAGAATACTATATTTTCTTTCCTTGAAGAATATTGGGAGAATTCCAATAAGGTATCTGTATTTTAAGGGAAATATAATGTAAACCACAACATTTATTGCTTTCAAATAGTTTTCTTGCCATTGTGGATTGCATGAGATATTAGAGTAGGGGGATGAGAAAAGAGGAAAAGTTATTTGCTGAAGAATGAAGCAGACTCATTTGTCATATTGCACTTGAATTTCTAGATGTCAAGAAGTTATGTATTAATGCATGAAAGAACATGAAGGGGAAATGCTAAATAAATCAATCTTCAAAAAGGTAAAGTCTAAAAAGAATATCAACCAGAAAAACAGGCAGCTTGCCTCAAGGATAGTGGTGTCTGTTGTGCATTAATATCTCAAAGTGCCTAAAAGACTGATAGAGGACACTAAAGTGAACCCATTTACTTCCTCTCTGATGTGCCCATTATAGCTGCAAATATGCAGGCCAATGAGGGGTAATAAAGAAATTTATATTTCTGGGATCTGTAAAATTATTGGGGATCATCAGCACATGCTCTGCCCTGGTAGGGCCAAAAGAAGAAGACTTTAATTAATAGCCCAATCTAACCAAAGACCAGTCCCTCTTATTTTGCCTATTAGAACTAGAACTTATTTTACATACTTATGACACTCTCAATCATTTGAGCAATTCTGCCTTCCGAAGGTTTACTCTCCACTTGCAGACCTCTGCCTTTAATTTACAACTGTAGCAATATTTCATAGCTTATTTTTCCCCAATCAGATATAACATTCTTGAGTTGAAAAACTTGTCTATTCAACAGTTTTTAACTTCTGAGAAAGCAAAAAGTGGCCCTTCAGGTGGCCAGGCCATGGTGATCCCAACTGAACATTATCAAAACTCAGAATAGAAGCATCGTTTATATAAAACCACTCTGTGACCATGTTTGGAACAAGACAGACAAGAACACTAAAAACCGTAAAGAAGATTAAACATCCCCCTCTTATAGCTAACAGAAGTGACTATCAATCCTTTACTAATGATACTTCTGGTCTACATCTACTTTAATCCTCTCCTTTCCTAGATAAAAGTCACCAAGGTACCCTATCACGGAGTTGATCCCAGTTCTTGACAACATCTAATGCAGCACTGGCTCCTGCTTCCTTAAATCTTATTTAGGACTATCATCTCTAGTCCAAATCCTATACAAAGCCTCTCCCAAATCCACTTAGTGAATTATCCCATAATTACTCAAGGGTGCATTCTTAGCTGCTGAAGCAAGAAAAATAAACCTAACTTATTTTTCTTTAGTACAGGAGTGTTCCTGCTGGTCTTTGTTTACTAAAATGTAAAACTTGTCAATTTAGAAAGCATATAATGTTGTACTCCCAAATGAAGTAGATACATACATTGTGGGTAGAAAGTGAGGGGGACACATTGGAGCAGGAATGGATTTGTAGTTACTTGGTTACAATCAGCTTGAAGTGGCTGATTAAGAAATGCGGCAATGCATCAATTGAATACATATATCAATCAAATAAAACAATACATTAATAGGATTTTACTTTTAAGTGGGAAATACAGAGTTGTAGCAAGTAGAAGGACAAAGAAGAACTCTTCTATTTAAGCATATTAGCTACAGTTTTTGTTTCTGTATCTGGTTGTAGAGTTAATGTGACACTCTATGAGTCTATACAATATTGGCAGATTAGTTGTCCATTAGTGCTTTTGGCAACAGAATTCACAATTCAGACAAGAGTCTTTCAGCAAAGACTCTTAGGCCCACTTACTCTTATTAGGTCAGTTGATAAATAAATATATTCAGATAATATTTTTCATCTTTAGAGATAAATGAGCCTGCCATGTTATGACAGGTTGTGCTCACTCACATATCAATTTCATCAAGAAATAGATTAGTGGTTGTTCTCAACTGTGGTTGTACATGAAGTTCAGGCCTCACCTGATACTATTTGATCAGACTGAATGAGGGGGTGCAGGCAAGACCATTTTTTGCACCACCCCATCTGAAATGATCAACGCGTAACTAAGATTAAGGACCATTTCGTAGGCTAAGTGTGATGGCTCATGCCTGTAATCCCAACACTTTGGGAGGCCGAGGTGGGCAGATCACTTGAGACCAAGAGTTGGAGATCGACCTGGCCAACATGATGAAACTGCATCTCTGCTAAAAAATACAAAAAAATTAGCCAGGTGCTGTGGTGCACACTGGGAGTCCCAGCAGCTACTCGGGAGGCTGAGGCATGAGAATCACTTGAACCTGGGAGGCGGAGGTTGCAGTGAGCTGAGATGACACCATTGCACTCCAGCCTTGGCAACAAAGCGAGACTCTACCACAAAAAAAAAAAAAAAAAAAAAAATGGATAATAAACCTTCTTTGCATAAAGAAGCTCATTAATTGTTTGCTAGATATGCACCCATCCTATATAACTACATTATTCTTGTTAAGTAAATGCAAAAATTTCTGTAACTAGAGTTTATAATCAGGTTGGGGGAACAAAACTAATAGACATAAAACAGCCAAATTTTCCAACTTGTAAATAAGATTGAATTACTTCAGTAATTTTCACATTTGGCTGTGCACCGAAATCACCTAGGGGAATATTTGTAAACAAAAATGTTATTTGGCTTCCTCTGAGCGGTTTGGATGTAATTGGCGGGGAGTGGACCTTAGGACACTGGCATTTTAAAAATCTGCTCAGATGATTCTAATATGCCACCAAGTCTGACAACCACCAAATTAGATTACCTTTAAGGTTATTAAATAAGGAAAAATTAAGAACAACATGTATATTTGGGACCACAATTTACTAAAGGGAATTTAAAGTAATGAAATTTAGTAAAGGAAAGAAAGTGGTGAGAGCTAGAGTAGTTGAGACAGGCTTCTTGGAAACAGGGAAATTCTGTCTGTATGGTTTGGATACTTTAGTTGGAAGCTACAGAAACCAAAGGCTATGTACTGAATGATAACCCCCCAAAGTTCCTAGGTTGAAACTCTGCCCCGCAGTGTGAATGTATCAGGAGCTAGGGTTTTTTTTAATGTGATAATAAGGTTAAATGAGGTAATAAGAGTAGTGACTTTAATCCCACAGGACTGTGACCTTAGAAGAGGGGAAGAGAGATTGTTCTCAAGGAAGAAAATCCCAAACCATGCTGACCCTTTGCTCTCAGACTTCCAGTCTCCAAAAACTGTAAGAAAATAAATTTCTGCTGTTTAAGCCATGCAATCTATGGTATTTTATTATGGAGCAGCCTGAGCTAATATACCAACTCTAATTCAGTTAAGGAAAATAGACTTAACTAATATAAGGATATTAGTAGCTCACAGGTTTGTTGGGGAAGCAGATGTAGCAGACTTTAACATAGGTAAAAAGGAAAGTTCTTGCAGATAATATTGCAGGAGAAGTCTCTGCAGTGGAAGCAGATTCCATCACTAGGCTGAATAAACTCTTTTTTTTTTTTTTTTTTTTTGAGACAGGGTTTTGCTCTGTTGTCCAGGCTGGAGTACAGTGATGCTATCGTGGCTCACTGCAGCCTCGACCTCCCCAGCTCAAGCAATCCTCCCACCTCAGCCTCCCTAATAGCTGTGTCTAAAGTGCACACCACCATGCCCAGCTAATTTTTGTGTTTTTCATAGACAGGGATTTGCCATGTTGGCCAGGATGGTCTCAAACTCCTAGGCCCAAGTGATCTACCCGCCTCAGCCTCCCAGAGTCCTGCGATTACAGGCATAAACCACCATGCCCAATAAATAAACTTGAACTCTCTCACTTGTCTTTGAGGCATTTAGGAAACAAAATCCCACTCAGAGGTATCCACTTGGCTGAGTTTATACCACCTGCTTACCCTTTGATAATACAGGACAATAAAAGAAAAGATATAGTCAAAAAAACTTTGGGGACCTCTTTGGCTTCTATAATGGAAAAGCACTCAGCTGAACAACAAATCCGTACAATACATTAGAAGTAGAATTTTGATATGGAAGTGACAAATAGGGTATTCTGAACAAAGCAACATTTTAAGCTATGATGCAATGGAGGCATATGAATAGAGCAATTTTGTTCTTGATATTTCTTTTATCATAAATCTAAAATACTCTCCATGATTTTAACTATCTCCATAGCTTCAACTGCAACCTGTACACTGATGATTCTCCAATTTATATTTCTATTCTAGACCATGCCGCTTACCTCTAGACTAGACTTGTGGTAGATTATATTATTGTCTCCAATTATTTACTTCCTCTTCCTGAAGGAGGATCATACTTATGAGCTTGTTTTTTATGTGATTTGCAATGCTTCCTCTATACAAATACACTTGCCCATTCCACTGATGTTGACATTGGTCATGTGACTTGCTGCAGCGTATAGGATGTAAGCAGATGTGACATTGGATGCATCTGAGCAGAAGTTTAAAGAGTCATTGCAAGGTTGGCTCTGGGAATGCCCCATATCACGGCTGCTATCTTGGCCATAATCCCAGAATGAAGACAACACACAGAACAAAGCTGAGTAGAATCGTGAAGCTGCGGCAGCTGATATGTATTTTGAGCATGAAGTAAACTTTTGTCGTTGAAAACCAATGAAATTTTGGGATTGTTTCTTATCACAGTCTAATGTAGCGAAAAATGTTTCACTGAGTTTTCTACTGGACTCTTTTCTGAGGGTTCTGCAGTCACTCTAAATCCAAAATCTCTAAAATTGAATTTATCATTACTTAAATTTGTCTTCTCTTTCTGCATTCCTTATTCTCAAAAATTACATAACTGGAAACTGTATGATCTTCCCTTTCTCTCAGAGGTTATCTGTATCCCGTATATCTAATACTAAGCCAAGTGCTATAGATCCCACTTACAAATTATTTATTTATTTATTTATTCATTTATTTATTTATTTTTGAGATGGAGTCTCACTCTGTCACCCAGGCTGGAGTGCAGTGACATGATCTCAGCTCACTGCAACCTCCACCTCCCAGGTTCAAGCGATTCTCCTGCCCCAGCCTCCTGAGTAGCTGGGATTACAGGAAGGCACTGCCATGCCTGGCTAATTTTTGTATCGTTAGAAGAGATGGGGTTTCACCATGTTGGCCAGGCTGATCTCTAACTCCTGAGCTCAGGAGATCCACCTGCCTCAGCCTCCCAAAGTGCTGGGATTACAGGCATGAGCCACTGTGCTTAGCCGTAAAATATTTTTTCTTTTCTATCCCTTCTTCTTCAATCCCTGAAGCTACAAAAATAAAGTCAAACTTTTAGACATGGCATAAAAGAGCTTCATAATCCTACCCTAAATGGTTATTATATATGGTTGAAGGTGAATAAACATTAATAAAAAGAATAAACAAACAGCCTAAATGAACACAAAGCACAGGTTTGAGGATAGAGTGAGATTACTCTAAATAAACAAAATTTAACCTGATTATGGACCGACATTAAAAACAGCAAGCCTTTAAAATGAGATCTTAATCATATTTCCTCTTATAATTAAGGTTTTCATGACCTGGATAACACAGCCTATGCAAAGAAAAACACCTGGCTATTTTTCTGGACTGAGTCAGGAGACTTGAACGGGTCACGTTACCTTGGCAAGTCTCCCTATGTTCTCATCTCTGAGGTATAAAGAATACCAGCCTTGCTTTCTTCCCAGTGTTATTATGGAGTTCAGCTGAAACAATTCTTCTGATAACTCTTTGTAAACTCTAAAACCTGTAAACAAATTTTAAAATTTAATTTTTAAAGTTCATTGTTCTTTAGAATTGTGGACCCAAAGCATAGTTTTTGATGAGGTCCTCAGGGAAAGATGTAGAAGTCAAGGACTTAAGCTAGATAATGAGAATCAGACTCGTAATTTTTGGGTAGAAGAGAAAATGTTGGAAGTTACAAATTTAGGGGGAAAAAGGAAAAGAGGGAGAGCGGCAATACTGTAAATATCCCCAGTGGTCTGAGATTAAATGGAAAGTGAAGTAACTGTTTTAAAAAGGTTTCTTCAGCTTAAATTTTGAGTGACTAATATCTTTCTTTTTTCCTGGGAAAAGATAAAAGAGGCTTAAGTTTACTTAGCATGTGGCCCTGAGACTCTCTCTCTCTCTTTTTTCTCTCTCAAAAGCACTTTCATTCCAAAGAGATGTGGCAACTCCTAAATGATGCTGGCAAGACATTTTGAAATTGCAGGTTAAAAGACAAAGAATATGAGGTTAGCTAGATAACTGCAAAGGATGACTCATGTAGTACTCTGATTAGTTGTTGCTTTAATGGGATTTTAAAAGTGTAATTCCGTGTCAGCTGCCTGCATTATCCAAAGTTTTAAAGTATATTCATCATCATTCTCTCCTGTCAGAGAACAAGATTTAAGATGAGGCTCTCTGACTGAGTTTGAATAAGCAAATTACTAAACAGGAAATTGCATCACCAGTAACTGAGTCAGCATTTAATGATGATAATAAAAAACCACTTTAGCCCATATCCATCTTGAGCACAAACAAAAGTTTACCTCTCCAATAGACAGAATTTAATCTTTGACTCAATATCAGTTAATATTAAATATTTCAAATAAAACAATCACTCATTATAGTTATAAAGAAAAGGTCACAATCAATATCAAACCTGGATTAGATAATAATTTAAAAATTTTTAAAAGATCAAGGCAATTTTTCCTCCAATTATATTATTACATAATCAATGTACAAGATCAAATTAGGTTATAACAACTGGAGGAATCTTCAATAATATATTATATCCACAGAGGCTTCATTTTCCAAATATTTAGCTCCATGTGAAGACATACAAATGTGCTATGTTATATCAACAAAGCAAAGAGTGGGTGGGTGGAAAATACTGTCTGTTGTTTGGCAGGTTTGCAAACAAGTTGATCTGGAATGTCCATGAAGTCAAAGAAACTGTTAGTAATAATCCTTCATTATCTTATATATACTTCATAATTCATCCCTCAAGGGCAAGGCTTGGGAAAAATGGCAAGGCAGGCTGAGTTGTGGTCATTGAGTTGGTCATTAATCAATTCTGCTCCTTACTTCTACTCCTCCTTCTTTCTTTACCTCTTTGTTAAGGATAAACTTGTATTATTTGCTTGTTTTCTTTCTTTTTCCTTTTTCCTTTTTTTTTTTTTTCTCTTGAGACAGAGTCTTGCTCTGTTGTCAGGCTGGAGTGCAATGGCACAATCTTGGCTCACTGCAACCTCCGCCTCCCGAGTTCAAGCGGTTCTCCTGTCTCAGCCTCCTGAGTAGCTGGGACTATAGGCACATGCCACCAGGCCCAGCTAATTTTTGTATTTTAGTAGAGATGGAGTTTCACCATGTTGGCCAGGATGGTCTTGATCTCTTGACCTTGTGTCCCACCCACCTCAGCCTCCCAAAGTGCTGGGATTACAGGCGTGAGCCACCGTGCCCGGTCCCTTTTAAAAAAAAAAAATGAAAAAAAATGAAAAAAAAGACAGGGTCTCACTCTGTTGCCCAGGCTGCAGTGCAGTGGCACTGTCATGCTCACTGCAGCCTTGGCCTTGCAGGCTCAAGTGTTCCTGCCTCAGCCTCCTGTGTAGCTGGGAATACAGGTGTGAGCCATGACACCCAGGTAATTTGCTGTAGTGATAAAATGTTCCTATATTGTCCCGGCTGGTCTCAAAGTCCTGGCCTCAAGCAATCCTTCTACCACAGTCTCCCAAAGTTTTGGGATTGCAGGCATGAGCCACTGAACACAGCTATTTTCTTACTTTCTATACTATAATTTTATTAAGAAAACCATGGAATTAGCCCTCTCTCAGTTAAATACTGATAGCAATCTTTTCCTCTGGCTGTGATTTACATCTGTTTTACTCTTTCTCTGTAATTTCTCACTGTCCCCTCCTCCTCCATTTTTATTTATTTATTTTTATTATTTATTTATTTATTTTAGTTTTTATGTAATCCTTCCTAATCCATTTTTCCATTTTGTGCTGCCACAACAGAACAGCACAGAATAGGCAATATACAATTAATAGAAATCTATTGGCTCATGGTTTGGAGGCTGGAAAGTCTAAGACTGAGGGGCCAGTATCTGGCAAGGGCCTTCTTGCTGCATCAGCTGACAGGAAAAAGTAGAAGGGCAAGAAAGAGGAGAGTACAGGGGGCCAAACTTCCTCTTTAATAATAAACCCACTTCCTCAATAAGAATATTCATCCGTTCATGAAGGCAGAGCCCTCATGGCCTGATCATCTCTTCTTAGGCCACACCGCCCAACACTGTTGCATTGGGAATTACATTTCCAACACATACTTTCTGGGGGACACATTGAAACCACAGCAGAATCCCTTCCTTACTTCCTAATGTGGTGTAGTGCAGAATTCAATAGTGAATGGTAGAGCCAAACTCCCTAGATGCAATTCCTACCTCTGCTACATGCTAGTTGCGTAATCATGGGCAGGATACTTACCTTCTCTTTGCCTTAGTTTCATCACATGAAAAAGTAGGTGAAGAAGAGTACAAATCTCATAAAGTGAGATAATAAATGTAAAGCCCCTAGAATAGTGCCTAGGTAGGCCTTTTTTTTCCTAGAACGAAAGTGGGGATTTTTGTTTCTTTTGTTCACTGCAGTTTAACCATTATCACTCTATCTCTAATACCTAGAAGAGTGCCTGATACAATTGTTTATTTTCTCTTCCTCATTATTATTATTAATTATTATTATTATTTGTTGTAGAGATGGGTCTCACTGTGTTGCTCAGGCTGGTCTCAAACTCCTGGCTTCAAGTGATCCTCCCAACTCAGCCTCCCTAAATTGCTAGGATTATAAGCATGAGCCACAGCACTCAGCCTGACACAATTGTTGAATTAATTAATTTGTCACTTTCCTCCTTATTTCTATCGTATTTATCTTACTATTTCTTTTCTCTTTGGAGCTTTGCTTCCTCTTTCCTCTGTGATTCATCTTTGTTCTACTGCATTTTTTCCTTCTTAGGTTTCTATCATCTACTGCTAACACTTTTTCTTTTATGTCTGTGTTTAAGGTTTTTGAAAAGAATAAAACATTAAAAAATCAATATTTATTAATAATTAGTAGTCATAAGGTTAATGATGAAGAGATAGAGAAAGAAGAACTCCTTAGTCAAGGAAAACTAAAAATAAAATACCATTTTTAGTGTATTATTTTATATTACATTTGTGATGACTTCTATTTCAGTCTTTTGTACATATTAATCTGCTACTTTTTATCAATAGCTTTAGTTTGGCTCAAACATAACAATAGTTCAAATAATGATATAATAAATAGTTCTATAACATTGATCTGGATTCATTAATTATTAATATTTTATCATTAAAATACTTTATTTCACATCTCTCCCCATCTCCCACCCTCCCTTACACATACAACCATGTATACATCCCTTCACTAAGAACAATTTGAAATTATTACAGATGCCACGTTTACCATTAAATACTCAAGGATGAATTAAAAAAATAAATTTCTATGTAACCACTACCATATTATACGTAAGAAAGTTAACACTAATCCAATAATATCATTTAATATGGAGTCCATATTTAATTTTTTACAGTGGTCCCCAAAAAGTGTATTTTAGATTTTATTCTCCTGCAGGTTTATAAATTACAGTTGGTTAAGAATCCTTAGTTCCCTATAATCTAGAATGAAGGAAGCATTCAATTTTTTATGACATTGACTATTTTTATGAGTTCAGGCCAATTGTCTAATAGAATGTTCCACCTTTTGAATTTTTCTGATTAGATTCTGCTTAAACACTTTAGACAAGAATTCTACATAGGCAACATATGGCACTTCTCATTGCATCATATCAGAAGACTCACGGTATTAGGTTGTTCTACCACTACTAATGCTAATTTGAATACTTAAGATGATAATTACTAGATATCCCATTATAAAGGTACATTTTACCCTTTGCAATTAATAAATAACCTGTGAGATTAGAGTTTGACACTATGTTATCCTGTTTCCCAATAGCCACTCATGCACTGACTTAACCATCCATTGATAATCCTTTCCTGAATCAATTATTAAACTGAGTTCTTTGAAATGGGAATTTTCTAATTTTGTCATTCCTTCTTCATTTCTTAGTAGATATTCTTCTATAAAGAAGAGCTGTTGGGCCCGGTGCTGTGGCTCACGCCTATAATCCCAGCACTTTGAGAGGCCAAGGTGAGCAGATGGCTTGAGCCTAGGAGTTTGAGACCAGCCTGGGCAACATGGAGAAACCCCATCTGTACTAAAAATACAGAAGTTAACCAGGGAGTAGTGGCAGTGCCTATACTCTCAGCTACTTTGGAGGTTCAGATGGGAGGATCACTTGAGCCTGGGAGGTTGAGGCTGCCATGAGCTGTGATTGTGTCCTTGCACTCCAGCCCCAGCGACAGAGCAAAAACCCGTCTCCAAATTATAAAAGAAAAGAAGTTTTTTGCTTGCTACCTATCCTACCCCTGCTTTTATATCATTGTGGACATAAGTATTTTTTAAAAATCAGTCTGTTATTCATTGCCATTGTTGTTATTTTTGATGCTCAAATTATACTAAATTTGGCAAGTTAGAGTTCTGTTACACCAGTTTTGTTTACTTTTGACAAGATCACATTTAGTCCACACACTTCATTACTTTCTTTCTTTACTTTTTTTTCTTTTTCTTTCTTTCTTTTTTTTTTTTTTTTTTTTTTTTTTGAGACACAGTCTCCCTCTATCACTCAGGCTGGAGTGCGGTGATGCGATCACAGCTCACTGCAACCTCTGCCTCCCGGGTTCAAGTGATTCTCCTGCCTCAGCCTCCTGAGTAGTTGGGATTACAGACGTGTGCCACCATGCCCAACTAATTTTTGTATTTTTAGTAGAGACGGAGTTTCATCATGTTGGCTTGTCTGGTCTCGAAGGCATGACCTCAGGTCATCCACGTGCCTCAGCCTTCCAAAGTGTTAGGATTACAGGCTTGAGCCACTGCGCCCCGGCCCCCACTTTGTTACTTTCTTGCCCAAGATGATCTTTCCTTGCCAGGGACCTAGAAGTAGACTTTTTATCAAAAGTCTTACTCCTCCTAACATGTATTAGAAACAAAGATCTGGATACTAGGAATGGTCATTGTTTCTCAGGAGTAGTTGTAGGTCTTTTCAGTGGGTAGAACTAGGGAGTAGATATTATTTTTATTTTTTTGTTTTTCTGTTTTAATTTTTTTTAGAGACAGAGTCCCACTATGTTGCCCAGGTGGGTCTCAAACTCCTGGGCTCAAGCAATCATTCCTCCTTGGCCTCCTAAAGTGCTGGGATTACAGGCGTGAGCCACTGCACCCAGCCTGATATTATTTTTAATCACAGGTTTATACCTTGTTCAAAACTATGTAAAAGGGATATATTCAAGGGAGTGTGTCCTTAGTCCAATCTCCACTATTTATAGGTCATTTTTTGTTAAAAGTTTCTGATTTAATTTTTTTGAGTTGCTATTTGCAAAATAAGTAGAGATCTATGTTGATGTACGTGTTTCTTATTCTTGTGCACCTAGGTTTTTTTCATACTTAAAAATATCATGGAGAATAGTGCTCCATTGTGTGCACGTATCATAATCTATTCAACTAGATTATTAACCTTGGGAATTTAGGTTGTTTCCAAAAGTTGCAACTACAAATAATATATCAGCATGAATTACTTTGTGCAAACATTTGTTTTATATTCACGGGGGAAATCTCAGGGTAAATTCCTAGACATTGAATTGCTTGAGTAAATGCATACGTACTTTATTAGCTATTACTAAATTCCCCTCACTGGAAATGTAATACTTTATGTGCTCAGTACCAATGTATATATAGGCCAATTTTCCACAATTCGTCAGTATTTAATTTTCAAGATTTTTGACTGTGGCCATCTGATAGATTAGAAATCGTATCTCATTATAGTTTAAATAGCATTTTTCTGTTGAGTGAATTTAAGCATCTTTTCATATGATTAGCAGCCACTTTGTTTATATTTTTCTGTGAATTAACTATGTCACTTGCCCATTTTTCTGTTCGGTTTTAAATATTTTTCATCTCTCAATTTTTGGGACTGTTTACATGTTGTAGAAAATAGCGCTTTATCTCTGACATAAGTTGCTAATTGTTGCTCTTAGTTTGTCATTTGTATTGTTGCTGTAGCTATGCTGTTTTGCAATTGAACAATTACATACATGCACCATACATTTCTACTCAATGTACTGAGCTTAATTTTTTTCTTTTATTGCTTCTAAATTTGTTTTGGTTTGTAGTTTTTGTTATAACCTAGATATTATAACCTCATATCTAGGTTATAATAAAACAAACCCATGTTTTCTTTTAGTAAATGTGTGACTTCTTTTTTAAAGTATTTGTTTATTTATTTTTTATTTTTATTTTTATTTTAGACAAGGTCTTGCTCTGTTGCCCAGGCTGGAGTGCAGTGGCACAATCACAGATCACTGCAGCTTCTCCCTTCCAGGCTCAAGCAATCTTCTTGCCTCAGCCCCCCGAGTAGCTAGGACTACAGGCACACACCACCATACCTGGCTAATTTTTTAAAACAATTTTTTTTTGTAGAGACTAGAGTCTAACTATGTTGCCCAGGTTGGTCTTGAACTCCTGAGCTTAGGCAATCCTCCTGCCTCAGCTTCTCAAAATGCTGGGATTGCAGGTATGAGCCACCTTGCACTTTTAAATTATTTTATACCTTGGATTAATTTGGAATTCATTGTGGTATAGAGTGTGAGTTATGGATCCAATTTTATTTTACTTTTTTCAAATTACTGTACAGTTGTCTCATTATCATTTATTTAAAATAGCATTTTTACCCAGGTGATTTGAGATTACACTTTTATCTTTCTCTAAACTTTCCTAGCTATTTGTTGTTATTTCTGAACTTTTTTTCTGTCTTACTGTTCTGCATAATCATGTACCATTCTACATTGTTTAAAATTATAGAAGGTTTATAGTGTATTTTAATACTGGTGAGGTTAACCTATTCTTTTATCTTGCTGTTTCAGACTTTGTATTGCTACTCTTACCTATTTATTTTACATGTGAACTCTAGAATAAACTTATCTAGCCCCAGAAAGTCAAAAATTAAAAAAACTTGTATTTTCCCCATACAATTGACATATAATAAAGATAAACATAATGTTGAGTGTCCTATTCAAAAGAAGATATTTCCACAAATAATAGAACACTTTAAAAGAAACATCATTTTTCTACTTTTACCAATAAAACCAGCAAGTAAGGCAAAGTAGAACCGCTTCAGTATAAGACCTTGGATATCTTTTAATAAATAGGTAAGAACTAATTATGATGAACTCATTTGTGACTTGAACACATATGTTAATACTTAAGTCATTGCTATTAAAAAGGCTCATGTCTCTTATTTATAAATATTGCTTGGAAAACTTCTTAATAGTTAATAAATAAAATTAGACCAGTTCACATCACAAACCAAAATACATTTCTTATGTATTTAATTAAACACAAAACTTCAAACCACTAAATTTACATATAATAATGAAAAGCAAAAAAAATCAAACAATTAGATTTTTAGAACAAGACTTAAGTCACTGAATCTTGAGTGGAATACAATTTTTAGCATAATCATTAAAAAAAGAGGCAGGGGGCAATGGCTCATGACTGTAATCCCAGCACTTTGGGAGGCTGAGGTGGGCGGATCATGAGCTCAGGAGTTCCAGACCATCCTGGCCAACATGGTGAAACCCTGTCTCTACTAAAAATACAAAATTAGCCGGGCATGGTGGCACATGCCTGTAATTCCAGCTACTCGGGAGGCTGAGGCAGGAGAATCCGGGAGGCGGAGGTTGCAGTGAGCTGAAATCGTGCTACTGCACTCCAGCCTGGCGCCAGAGCAAGACTCTGTTTCAAAAAAAAAAAAAAAAAAAAAAAAAGAGGAAAAGAAAGAAAAATTGATATGGGGATCCAAAAGTGGGGAGAATGTGAGGAGGGATAATGTTGAAAATTTACCTATTAGATAAAATGTTCACTATTTGGGTTTTGGGTACATTGGAAGCTCAATCCTCCCCAGTATGCAATATACCCATGTAACAAACAAGCATATGTAGCTCCTGAATCTAAAATAAAATAAGAAAAATCTGTATGAACTAACATGAAAAGATACTCAAGCTATATTGTTGAGTTGAAAACTAAGTTGCAAAGCAATATACGATGTGATTCCACTTTATAAGTGACAAAGTATATTTATGTGTTTTTATTATGTAATATGCACACACAAACACATATGGAGAGAATTCTGGATGGATATATAAACTATTAACAATTGTTATTCTTGGAAAGTAGCAGGCATGAGAGATGAGAGACTAGAAACTCACTGTATACTTTATATGTATGTAGTTATATACTGTTCAATTTCAATTTTTGTAATAAAGATTTATTTCATGACATTTTAAAATAACTTTTTAAATTTTAAAATAAAGCAATGTAAAAATAAAAGTAAAAGATTGATAGAATAGAAATGTCAAATATTTAAAAGATTTAAAAGCATCATATCTAATATTCTATTACATGAATATTAGTCTATTACATGAATAAAAGTCTGAAATTTTTGCAGCAAATAACAAAGGGCCTTATATTCTCAATAGGTAAACAGTCTCTTGTAGTTAATGGTTTAAAAATACAGCAAGAATCTAGCAGGTATACAGAAATAATTTGTATCATTGCAAAAGAGTATTAAAAATGATGACAATAATCTTGCTAAAAATCGAAGACCCATAAATTCCAGTAAACATAAGTGCTCCCCTCCCAATCAAATTAGCAAGATCTTGTTATCCATCACTTACAATGTAAAACAATTGCTTGGCCAGGTGTGGTGGCTCACGCCTGTAATCCCAGCACTTTGGGAGGCCAAGGCGAGTGGATCACGAGGTCAGGAGATCGAGACTATCCTGACCAACATGGTGAAACCCCGTCTTTACTAAAACTACAAAAATCAGCTGGGTGTGGTGGTCCATGCCTGTAATCCCAGCTACTTGGGAGGCTGAGGCAGGAGAATTGCTTGAACCCGGGAGGTGGAGATTGCAGTGAGCCAAGATCGCGCCACTGTACTCCAGCCTGGCGACAGAGCGAGATTCTGCCTTAAAAAAGAAACAAACCAACAACAACAACAACAAAAAAAAAAAAAAAAAAGAAAAGAAAGAAAAAGAAAAAAGAACTACTCAGCTCTGGGACAGTGAGGTCAAATGGGATAGGTTGGCACAATCATTTGAAACAAATGTTACACATTATATGTTTAGATTTAAAAATGTTCATATCCTTTGATATAGTAGTTAAGCTTATAGGAATCTGCTGAAAGGAAATAGTTCAAAATGCGGCAAAAATTCTAATGAAATGTTTAGAAACAATTCAAGTGCGCCCTCTATTGGGAAATAATCTAGAAGTAAAATCTGACATCTAGTGTTCACTGCAATAACTACATAGTATTAACTGAATGTCTCATAGTCCTATCATAAGCAATGTCTTGTAACAAACAGTGTTTAAAACCTAAAGCATATTTTGCCTTGGAAACACATACACCTGTTGGTGGAAGGGAAAATTGCACATAAATTAGTAAGAGGAAAATTCAGACATTAGCTATGCGTTTTGTAATTTTTTAAGTCACTAGAGCAAGATTAAGAAGTGAACAAGTTGTCTCAAGGAAAAAATTTCCTCAAGTGGTGAACAAAATTGGGACAGTCCTGGGAACACATATGACACTAGAACTACTGAGGTGGGAGGGGGTAAGGAAAAAAGGAGACACTAGGAATGACTATCTTCCTTCTTTTATTCCATCCTTCAGGGCCAAGATCAGAAAAAGCAAAGTGTTATTAATGATTAGGTTTTATTGTTGGAGCTTGGATTGAGAACCCTGGGCTATGAGAAGCTTAGGAAATGTTAACTAGCCACACTGATGTAGAAAAAAAAATATGTATTTTATGTTTCTACTATCTTCATTTTCCCCACTGAAACAAATAATTTTAATCCAACCATTTCAGGCAAGAAGGAAGAAATAATATTTGTACTCCATGTTTTGTTACTCCATCTGCTACCTTTTACTTTCATTGTCATTTTTTCCTTGCCCCTAGTATTTATTGAGGTTAGAAAAAGGATACAAAATTTGAGGTGTATCAAGGACAGCTTAAGGAAATTTAATATATATTTATCTCATGTTCTTTCTGAAAATTCAAATCACTGAACAAAACTTAGTGACTAAAAAAATGCAAAATTAACAGAATCAAATCTTGTATTATTAAATGAGATTCTATTTTAGAGGCTGTATAAATGTTCCCCACAATTGCACTTCCCTCTCTTGCTCCCAAAGTTTGAGCAGTTGAATTTTCAGTTATTCCCCTCTATGTCTCTTCAGTGATTCTTAGGCAGACTGAATACTCATTCTTGCTAAAATATACAGATGCTTACAAAACCTAGTCAAGATTTATCCCAAACAGAGAAACACACGTCTCAGGAAGCTGAGCATGTTGCCTGTACTGACTCCCTTTATCATTATATCTAACCATAGCCACACCATAAAATACGTGCCACCATTTACCAACTTTTACCTTTAATAAAACCTATTAAACTGTCTTCAAAACTATTTACCTACATACTTGCCCCCTCTTTACCTTCACAGTTGAATTTCAAATGGATTACACATATTTTCTGTAATTGTTTTTGCATTTAGTGTTATTATGTACATCTTTTCTGTATCACCAAACCTAGTTTTCTAGTACTCCATAAAATTTCATCGAATGCTTGTACTATATTTAACCAGTGAATTACTTAAAATATTTAGGTTTTTTCACCTTTACACACAATGCTGTAATAAACATCCTTTTATACAAATCTTTGCATACTTTTATATTATACCAATATAAATTTTAAAAAGTGGGATTTTTATGTAATGGAAATATGCATTTTTTTTCCAGATTTCAGGCCTGTTTTTTATTAACGAATATTCCTTATTGCAGTACAACTTGCATACAGAAAAGTAGATATATCATAATTATATAGCTTGATAATCATATGCTCTAGGCCCTGACTCACAGGGGGCGAGGAGGAGGTGGTTAGTCATGCAGATTTGCCTATGGAAAGACTGAGCCCAGCAGGGAAGGGCCTGGCTAAGTCAGGGCTGGAGGGAACATACTTGTGTTACCAAGTGGAACACAGCTGTGTAACAAAGTGTTACAAAGTGAACACACCTTTGTAACCCACCCAAGTCAAGAATCAGAATATTACTGGAAATCCAGAAGCCATTTCATGTCCAGTTTTACTTACTATCCTTCTGAAGGGTAATTACTTCCTGACTTCTACAGATATAGATTCATTTTGCCTGGTTTTAAACTTTATAGAAACAGGATTATGCAATATGCAGTTTCTGGCTTCTTTTTGGTACATATGTTTAAAATATTTGAGAGTGAAATATGGAATGAAGATGTTTCATTCCTAATGTATTCTTGACCTCTCAGCATAATTTGACACCATTGACCATCCCTCCATTTTTAAATTTTTCTTCTTTCTCTTCCATGGGAGTCATCTCCTGGCTTTCCTCCTATCTTCTGGCTGCTCCTTCTCCTATTCCAGAGCCTTTCTTTTCCCTTGCCTTAAATAGTTGATGCATTTAAGGTTCAGTCCTAGACAACCTCAGCTAAATTCATGGCTTCTGTTATCATCTATATCAGTTATCTGTTATCTATATCTATATTTATATCTATATCTATATCTATATCTATATCTATATCTATATCTATATCTATATCTGTTATCATCTAAGTCAATACATCTATCCCAAATAAATTCTCTGAGATTTAGACTCAAATATCCAACTTGGTCCCATCACTTGCATGTTTCAAAACTCAACATCCCAAAACTGAACAAACAATTTTCCCTGCTACAAATTGCTCCAGATCTGAGATTTTTCCAGGGTTTCTGATCTCAGTGAAAACTATCACCAGCTGTGGCTTTCACAACGTAGAAGCCCAGTAGTCATCCTTGACATTTCTCTCTCAGCATACCCTACAGCCACTAAATTATTAAGTTCTGACAACTCTTCCTTTTAAATAGTTTAAGTAACTGTTCACTTTTCACCATTATCATTGCTAGCATTCAGATCCAAGCTACCACCACCTTTTGCTTAGCTTATAGCCTCCCAACTAATTTCCAAACAGATTAATGCGCTGCTTAAGGCTTTTTTTTTGGTTTTTATATTACATTGAAGAATTTCCTTGAATTAACAAATAAAACCTATGTTAATCAAGCCTCTTCCTACTTCTTTTTGTTGAGACACAGTCTGGCTCTGTTGCCCAGGCTGGAGTGCAGTGGCGCTATCTTGGCTCACTGCAACCTCTGCTTCCTGGATTCAAGTGATTCTCATGCCTCAGCCACCCAAGCAGCTGGGCTTACAGGCATGTGCCACCATGCCCAGCTAATTTTTGTATTTTTAATAGAGATGGGTTTTTGCCATGTTGGCCAGGATGTTCTCTAACTCCTGGTCTCAAGTGATCCATCTGCCTTGGCCTTCCAAAGTGCTGGAATTACAGGTGTGAGCCCCCACGCCTGGCCCCGTTTCTACTTCTTGAGTTTTTCTCTTCTCCTTGTCCTCTCCTTACTCCAGACTTTCTCTGCACATGCCTTAAAAGGGTCAGAAACAGTGTTAAAAGTTGAGCAATTATATCCAACATAGTTAGCTGGAAGATGAAAGTAAGAAAATAGTATAAGAGCAATTTGGTAGGAACAAAAATCTTTCAAATATGGGGTCTGTTTTGGAGGTGCGGGTGAAGGTAGAAAATTCAGAATGTAACGAGATAAGGGAATAATTATTTACAAACTGTTCCAAGCTGCTTAAGAGGCCAATTAGCATAATGACTAGTAGTATAGGCTTTGCAATCCAACAAACCCATGTTCTGATCATGATTTGGCCACTTAGAGCCTGCATGACTTTGGTGACTCATAACACCTCTAAGCAAGAATTCCCACAACAAAGCAATACCTTATCCCTCACCAGGATTAAGTTATATACATCTCATATTTGG
This sequence comes from Homo sapiens, assembly GCF_000001405.40. NCBI lineage: Eukaryota > Metazoa > Chordata > Mammalia > Primates > Hominidae > Homo > Homo sapiens. Next base: position 49,528,670 of record NC_000006.12, on the reverse strand, counting down.
TACAATTATTAGCACATAGTTAAACGTTAAATGTCAGGCAAATTATCATTAGGAAGAAAATAAGGCTATAATAATATTGCTATATATCAAGCAGGATTAACTCATGCTTAAGCGATGCTAAACATAATTAGCGTCCTTAGGGCATATTCTCCTAAGAGGTTTATGGACTCTGGTTACTTGGTGCTTTCCCCTCTGGATCCAAGGCTAGATAAGTTTCCAGGTAACTGTGGGCTCAGGATGAACTAAGCATATATTTACTCTTACTGAGTCCTATTTTTTTAATTAAAATGTGTTTTACTTCAGCCAGTTTGCTTCCTTTTCTCAGAATGAATGCCTGAAAGTTGGATTTTCCCTTATCTTTGTAGTCAGAATTTTGTGACCTCCTTGGGGATAAGAAACCAATATTTTCTATATAGCTAAGTCAACATTATCAAGACAAGGCAAATCTAACTATTGTGTTAGTGCCTGCTTTTATTATAAATAGAGAACAGAGCTGGTGATGCTTATCTCTTTCTTTACTGACCTTGAAAGGTATACATACACAAGCAATCAGAACCCAAATTAAGAAATAATGACAAGAATAAGAGAAAACTAAAATTAATATTTTAATTATGTAAGCATTTTAATTTTCATTATAAAAAAGGATACATGATTTAGTGAAAATAACAGATTGGAATTAAAATGGCAGCATTCTGGCTTTGCCTCCAGTACTGATTATAAAGAATATAATCTTGAAAAAGTCATTTATTTTCTCTGGTCCTCAAATTTTTCATATGTAATCAAAGGGTTAAAATTTATTATCTTATCAAAATTCTATGAGTATATACCTATACATATAAAAGAAATGAAGAGAATGTATATATATGTGTATGCATATATGTTATATATTCATTTGCATACCCCCAAACACCCCTATATATAAATCTTAGTTTTATATGGGAAAGTAGACTATAAATAAGGGGGCTGAAATAGGTTATAGGTAAAGTCTAGTTCTATGGTGACAGCATTTGTTTATAGCATCAAAATGCCCATATTGTCATTCATCCAAGGCAAATAAGCAGTGGGAAGCTGTTAGAAATGCAAATTTTGGGCCCTACCTCGTAGAAGGAGAGGCCTAGTGATGTGTGTTGCAACCTGCCCTCTGGGTGATTCTGATAAACACTAAAATGTAAGAACCACTATATTTGAACATTCCCAGGGCAGTGAACTATAGGCTAGAGTCCTAGGCAGAAGTAAAGAGCAAGTAATTAAAGGGGAAAAAGGAGGTTACTCTACAGAGAACTTGGTGGCAGAGGTGTTAGGAACAGAGGTTGATGAGACATAGCAGTGGGGACAGGGGAATATGATGGCAGTAGGGAAGCGGTGTGGCTTTAAGAATACAGAGCAGAGGTCCAAGCAGCAATCAAAAAGCAGTAGCCACGTGGTCCTCTGTTAAATCATTTGTTCTCATGCAGTAATTTCTCCTAGTACACTAAAACTGCTGGCTTTAGAACCTATTCTCCTACAGTGGATCCTACAGGAGGACAATCGTCCTCAGTCTTCAGCCACAGCTACTCTTCACCCCCACAGCTATTTACTGGAGAAACCTGAGATACGAAAAATTAAGGCTTCTCAAGTGGATCCTGTATATATTCTCCAGACCCTTTCCAACAACTCAAGAGTCCCCTGATTCCCATTTTAACTCTCCCCTCGTTGGCAGCCAAGAGTGTGTGTATGCTCAGGGAAAGTAATAAAACCACTGCAGTTTTTTACTGGGCTAGAGGTGAGGCAGGCCAGAGAAAGTCGCAGGGGTGAGAATAAGCCTGTGGAAGCGACAAGGCAAGAACTCAGCATGGAGACTCTTCAGGAGGCTTATAGACGCCGTGTTGTCATCCAGGACGTTCCCCTGAGAGGGGAATCCCCGGCTTTGCAACTTCCTGGCCAGCGTGAGGGCCACCAGCCGGCTGTAACCTTTCCTGCGATGTTCTGGCAGGGTGTAGCCATGGCACATGGTGGCAAACTGGTCTGTGATGGACCAGGAGACCGGGTTTCCCTTCTCATCCCGGACACACACACTAGGGAAGCAGGAGATGAGGTTGGCGATGTACCGGAGACATTGTTCATTGCCTCCCCGGGACCAAGTCCGGTTGAGTAGATCCGCATTGGCAACACTCAGGTAGGTTAGTCGTGGGGAAGGCCCCTTGCTAGACCAGAATGACACAAAAACAAATAGGACCTCAGACTCATGTGGTTATACATAACTACACATTTTTTTTTTCGAGACACAGTCTTGCTCTGTCGCCCAGGCTGGAGTGCAGTGGCGTGATCTCTGCTCACTGCAACCTCTGCCTCCCGGGTTCAAGCAATTCTCCTGCCTCAGCCTCCCAAGTAGCTGGGATTACAGGCACCCGTCACCATCCCAGCTAATTTTTGTATTTTTAGTAGAGACGGGATTTCACGATGTTGGCCAGGCTGTTCTCGAACTCCTGACCTCGTGATTCACCCCTCCCGGCCTCCCAAAGAGCTGAGATTATAGGCGTGAGCCACCATGCCCGACCTATAACTACTCTTTTCATATTGGTTCAAACTGAGAAACCATCCCTGAGAGGGCACCTAAGATTTTCAGTGAGTTAGAATCCACCATTCCCGATTTACCAACACCTTTCCGGGTTTCATTTCTGAGAAGACAAAACACTTATTACATCAAATTTAAGTCGTTGCTTCTAATTTTATGTTCACTTGCTTTTGCCTTCAGCACAGGTTAAGGAAAGTGTTTCTGTTGTTAAATAAATTAAGTTTGGCCTGCAGCTCCCTCCATACCTTGAGTCCCCGCGTGTTGAACTGCAACCTAACTTGACACAAAACCAACCCTAGAACTATAATGCACAGCTGAGTTTGTTATACAAGTCAATCACAGGCAGGTAAGTGAGCAGACCATGCCCAAATATACCTAACTGTTGCCAATCAGAGGATTTACCTACTTTGCTTCTGTGTCTGGCGTATAAAATCTCCCACTGGTGGGTATAACTCTGAACTTCTCATTCTGAGTGCTGCCAGATTCATGAACTGTTCTTTGCTCAAATAAACGTTGCTGAATTTTTTTTTTTTTTTTTTTTTTTTTTTTTTTTTTTGAGAGCCTTGCTCTGTCTCTCAGTTTGGAGTTGCGGTGGTGCAATCTCGGCTCACTGCAACCTCCACCTCCCCGGTTCAAGCGATTCTCGTATCTCAGCCTCACGTGCGTGTGGGATTACAGGTGTGCCACCACGCCTGGCTAATTTTTGTATTTTTAGTAGAGACAAGGTTTCACCATTTTGGCTAGGCTGGCCTCCAACTGCTGCACTCCAGTGATCCAACATCCTAGACCTCCCAAAGTGTTGGGATTATTACAGGTGTGAGCCACTGCACCCAGACCAACGTTGCTAAATTTAATCTGTCTAAAGTTTTTCTTTTAACACTTTCTGTAAACAACAACAACAACAACAAAAACCCTCAGAATTGCTTTTATTTAGTCCTGACTCTGCTGAAATCCTCTCTGAGGCCTTGGTAAGTCCAGATTCTTGAAGCCCTAATCTTTTGCTCAATAAAAAAAAAAAAAAAATGTTTTAGAATAGAACTTCTGTGGTTATGCATCCATGGCCAAAAAAGAAATAAAATCTCTTAATATGCCAAGCATATGTGCATGCTTTAGAAATGTTTGTTCTTTTTTTTTTTTTTTTTTTTTTTGAGAGGGAGTCTCGCATTGTTGCCCAGGCTGGAGTGCAGTGGCTCACTGCAACCTCTGCCCCCTGAGTTCAAGCGATTCTCCTGCCTTAGCCTCCCAAGCAGCTGGGATGACAGGCGCGTGCCAACATGCCCAGCTAATTTTTTTATTTTCAGTAGATATGGAGTTTTGCCATGTTGGCCAGGCTGGTCTCGAATTCCTGACCTCAGGGTGATCTACCCGCCTCGGCAAGTGCTGGGATTACAGGTGTGAGCCACTGCACCTGGCCATATTTGTTCTTTAAAACTGTCTCCTCGGCCTGCTGTTTTCTAGGTTAAATAGTACCAACCTTCAACTTTTCCATTGGCAGTATTTGTATAGGCCACTAGCTTTCACTGTATTTATTCTAATGGTATGAAAGTTTTTATTAGTTTACTATATAAAGCCCCTGATATTAAGATAAAGAAAAAGAATTGCTGCAATTTCTCAAAACTGAAATGGATTACTTAGTTGAAAGCCTATGAGGCTGACAGTGCCTCAGAATTTGCTCTCAGTCTTAAAGCTATTAATATCATAAGACTATCCCCAGTGACCGGTAAGAGATAATGTTCTTGTCATCATTTTTATAAAGTAAAAATTTGTGTTTTCTTTTAATTAGAGGTGTGTAGTGTTATTGCACATTTCAGGCATATTATCAGCTATGGAACTGGGCCAGTCATCTATCCACTAAGCAGGGGGAAAAAATTAGCTGGCCTAATGGAATTTTCAATTGAGTTTTTGAAAATGAACTTTAAAGCAGGCAGAAATATCACTGCAAATAAAATCATTGCTAAGGCAAGTGTTTCAGGAGTAGTTGTGTTAGAGACTCTGACCTTGTTTCCAAAGGGCTGGGTGTTCAAAATAGAGTTCACGCAGTTGAGTAATGACTTAGGTGTTAAAGGCAAATTGTTTGCATCAGTGTTGTGTGGGAAGTTAAGAAAAAAAAAAAAAAGACAAAATGTCTAACTGTATGCAGAAGAGTTCAAGTTAAAACCCCATTTCAAAAGGCTTGACTGGACAGAGGAAATTTTAAAATAATACCTCAGGCATACAATAGTAAACAGATTATGGGATACTTCAAAGAACAAATAACTTGGTTTCTTCAACAGAAAAGTAATGCAAAAAATAAAGATGAAGGGGAACTTATAAGTCAAAGGAAACTTCAGATGTATTAAAGAGGTCTATGTATGAACCTTGTTTAGATGTTGATTCAAAACAAGCTTAAAAATATTACGACAATATCGGAAATATGAATAATGTTATTTTACTTTAAGGAAATATGTTAACAGTATTTTAAGGGAATGTGCAGAAAAGACTAACATAGAAGGCTTGAGGCCATCGCCCTTAAAAAGGCCGAATTGCAAGGTTGACCCTTGGTTGGTGTCTGAGAACATGGATCTGGAGGGGGGCTACCATTTCCAGGACTCACATAAATGGCTCACTGTGATTAAGTTGTGCAAACAGTGTGGGTTTTGCTGAACATTGGCTTTCCTTCTGCGAGTCTAGGAAATCAGTCTGTGCTAGGCAGAGGATGCTGCCAATAAAATCCTGGGCACTGAGTGTCTAATAATAAGTTTCCGTGGTAGACAACTTTTAGCAGAGCACGGTGGCTCATGCCTGTAATCCCATCATTTGGGGAGGCCCTGACAGGAGGATTGCTTGAGGCCAGGAGTTTGAAACGTTTTACACATATCATTACAGGTCATTGCTTAGGGACTGAGCACATTCTGTGTGACTCCACTGAGAGAGAACTCTTGGAAGCTTGTGCCTGGCTTCCTCTGGACTTTACACAATGCTCCCTTTCCCTTTGTTGATTTTGCATTTTATCTCTTCATTGTAATCAATCATAGCCGTGAGTATATTTGCTGAGTCCTGTATGTCAATATAGTGAACCATAGAACCTGTGGGTGTTCTTGGGGACCTCGGACACAGGAGTAATATCCGTATAGTGGGTGTTTTTTTTTTAAGACTCATTTTTTAGAGTTACATATTAAAATATTTAAGGATAATGTCTGGGACATTTTCTTCAAAATAATCCAGGAAGTGGAAAGAATATATAGTTGTATGAATTAAATAAGGTCAGCTATGTATTGGTGGGAGGTTCTTTATACTATCCTTTAAACATTTATGTGTGTTTGAAATTTTCATAATTAGAAATACAATAAAAGAAAATCCAGTTGCTTTCCTATGACTTAAAATGTACATTCTTAAGGTTTAGTGCTGTTTTGCTCAACAATTTCTTCAACATTCACTGTAGGAGTAAAGAAAATTAACATTCGTTGAGGTGGGTGATTTTTAACTATCTTGCTTCAGTCTCTTGCAAAACAACGTGTCAGGAAAATATTACAACTTTTTTTAATATTAACTGGCTTGGTTTAATCATTCTACAGTATATACATTTATCAAGACATCACATTGTACCCCATGAATGTGTACAATTATTATTTGTTGATTTAAAATGATATTAATTTAAAAAACACTTAAAGGAACGAATTCAGAAGAAATTGAGACTCAGAAAGGTAATTAGTAAATGACAGAGCAGGGACTCCAAAAGAAGAATAAATGCAGATACAAACTAATGAGTGTTTTGAAAGATTGCATCTGGAGTTGGACTTGGGATTCTTTCTTGGCTCTATAATTTGCCCTTGTGTGTTACTTCATCTCTGTTTAAAAAGGTGTGTGGGGGTGGGAGGGGCAATAATAATAGTCCTACTTCACAGGGTTGTGGAAAGAACTAATGGGATAATATATTTAAGATATGTAGTCCCTGACACATAAGAGCGCAACATAAGTCAGCTATATACCCCCATCCCTGAAACAGCAAAATCAATAACAACTTTGGACTCAGACAGTATATATTATTTAGAATTATTTGAGGGATAAGGACACCAAGGAATGCTTTTTCCATGGATACTATGAAAACACAGGAATTCTGAGTTCATTTATAACTATGGACAAATATACTGATTTGATTTTCAATGAAATTATGAGCAGTCAAGCACAGGAGAGAGGAGAAGAGTAAACACACACACACACTCACACACATACTCCCGTTTGTGCTCAATGGTTGAAATCCAGAGTGCCTGGATATTCCATAGTGATACTAAGTACCCCAGTTACTGCTACGTGTACTTCTATAGCAGTAAGTCCTGCCCCAAATGCAAAAACTTGGTTTACATACAGGAAACTGGTATCTGGCAGAGATGAAACAGGAGAAAAATGAACAGCCTTGAAGGAAGTTAGCTTTATATTCAACTGCTTTGAATTGGCAACCGCTTTGGAAACATCATATAACTCACTCTGCAGCCCTGTGTATAGAAAGACATAATTTAATATGTGGGCATTTTAGTTGAAAAAGCAAAAAGGAAATTTGTTGCAGTAATTTTATACTGAGAATCATCAATACTAGCAGTTTGCCACCTTGTATTATCCTAACCACTGTATACTTACATCTAAATTATTACAGCTATTGTCTAAGTTTCAAATTTTTGTAGGCGTTTCAAATTCCCATGATGTTGCCCATTGGGACCACTCATCACGATCTTCATAGAAACTTATGATGGGAATATCTCACGGGACTTTAGAATTTCTTGGGAGAATATTGATACTTTGGACTCTCGGACTAACCTTAAGCTCCACGAAATAAAGGATGACATTTTAGAGCTCTAAAAGTCTATGAAGTATACAAGAGCTTAGATTTGTTTGGCGTGGCAAACCAACTTCAAAGACTCTCTATTACACCTCGCCATTACAGAACTCAAGGTGTAACTCAGTGTTGGTGAGATTTACCCTGAACTTACCTCACCCAGATTCCACTTGTCATAGTTATTTGATAAATCTTGATTCAGTAGGTGTTGTATATATATAAAGTACTGTACTAGACAATGTTCATAGTGGTACACAAAAATGGTATGGTTTCTTTTCTTTATTTTATTTAGAAACAGGGTCTTGCTCTCTTGCCCAGGTTAGAGTGCAGTGGAATGATCATAGCTTACTATAACCATGAACTCCTGGGCTCAAATGATCCCCCTCTTTCAGCCTCCTGAGTGCATGCCACCACTTGGCTGATTTATTTTTTAAGTTTTGTTTTGTTTTGTTTTTGTAGAGATGGGGTCTCCCTATAAGTCCAGGTTGGTCTCAAACTCCTGGCCTCAAGTGATCCTCCTGCCTTGGTCTCCCAAAGCGCTTGGATTACAGGCATAATCCACCATGCCTGGCCCTTCCTGGTCTTTGTTCTTAGAGAGGTTATAGTATGATTCCTTTCTCCACCTTTCCAAATCCCCATCTACTCCATCCTTTCCAGCCTGTGTCCTGTTGGATTGAATTCTCTGCAAACTGACTTCCCCTCTTCCCATGACTAATGGCTTGTTTCTTCCCCACTGGTAAGGCTCTTCAGTGTGGGCCTGGGACTTCTTGAAGAATGCATGAGTGGGAAGGTGTATTGAACACAGTGTGGTATCGGAGCCTTGGCTCCTCCCTCAGGGAGTTAAGCCTCAGAAAAGATAAGTAGGCTTTTGAGTTAATGTTATTAAAATTACAGATGCTGTGGCTAGTATCTCATATTATAACACTGAATTCCATCTAAGTGATTCAAAAGACTATGAGAAAAAAGGAGGCAGTGCCTACTTTTCAAGTGTGTGTTCTTAAACACACTATAGTTTAATTTTGGTCTCAAATTTTTTAATCTACCTGTTTTCCTTCAATCCCTACCCCCACTCTTTGATTCTTTCAGTTTATTTGTTTAAAACACCGAGGTGTTTGCTGTGCAGTTTTCACAGTCTTGGATTTTGTTGATTGCCTCTTCATGGTGTTCTTGATCATGTCCTTTTGTCTTCTTTACAAGTTACGACTTTTAACAAATGATTTTCTCCTTTCCCACAAATGAAAGGAACTTCCCATCTTGCTCTGCCTCTTTCTACCTACCTTCTATGAGAAGAGTGGCTAACTGGATAAGCCAGAATTCAGGACATTTATTAGACTAGTTACCAATAAGCAGGATTCTGAAACTCTCAGGTTAGTACACATGTAGATTATCTTTTTCACGTCAGTGCAACCAGTAGTGAGCAGAAGAGCCTGGCCTGTGTGGGTAGCTGTATACTTTTTCACTTCCTGCTTTCATATGGCAAACTAAAGGGGTTTAGCTACTCTGGGTAGCTTGTTGGGTTAAACATGATTTAATATTGTTCATTAATGGCTCTCAGATTAAAAATGACAAAGGCATTCCTATGCAGGATATGTCATTCCTCTGGACATCAAGTCCTGAAGCAGCTCCACCACCTAATGCTTGATCTACCCAGTAGCCAAACTAGTATCTGTGACTGGAGCCTGCACTGTGGCAAATGTTGATCATGTATATGGCCAGTAGGTAGGCTTTTTGAATTGTGTTATGGAAACAGAGAGGATTTATGACCTTTTTGGATACTCCAATTAAGAATAGTAAACATACCAATGACTTCTTAGAAGGTATTCAGTATTCCAAGAACATTACAGCTATTACCACAGAAGTCTGTAGTCAAAATACCACAGGAGAAGCCGAAGGTAATGTCCAGGCTGACTTATGTGCTAAATGAGGGACCGTTACTACTCCAGCTATATTAGGTGATACTAATTCACATTTGTCCCCACCAAACCTTCAGAAAGAATGATTGGGTCAATTTAGATGACTATAACTTACAACTATCAGCTCAGCCTTCTGAAAAAGATATTGGAAATTATATAACTTTTTTCTATATAATGATGGATTGAGGTGATTTAGTGATAATAGGCCTCTAGCACCAAGATCCATCCAATTATTACCATGATTTTTCACACCAATGAGGAAATTTATTCATTTCCATGTTAAAGTAATACCGGTCAGAACATTTTTTTCTAAATTGGCTGTGGAAGTGATAGAATCATGTCTCATTTCTAACCAGCGTGACTGGGGCAAATCTGTAAAGGTGAGAGATAGTTTAGAGCTTCTTGCATAAGGTCTTTTTGCGCATTTACGAATAATTTTTTTCTTTTTTTTTTGAGATGGAGTCTCGCTCTGTCGCCCAGGCTGGAGTGCAGTGGCGCGATCTCGGCTCACTGCAAGCTCCACCTCCTGGGTTCACGCCATTCTCCTGCCTCAGCCTCCTGAGTAGCTGGGACTACAGGCGCCCGCCACCATGCCCGGCTAATTTTTTTGTATTTTTAGTAGAGACGGGGTTTCACCGTGTTAGCCAGAATGGTCTCAATCTCCTGACCTCACGATCTACCCACCTCGGCCTCCTAAAGTGCTGGGATTACAGGTGTGAGCCACCGCACCTGACTACGAATAAATTTTATATGACATCTGAAGTCTTTGGGTTATGACCATGTGTTAATCATTACTTGTAAATTTTCCAGGTGGATAGAAGCTTTTCCTTATTGGAGGACCTCAGCTTTCTGTAGTTGAAAAAAAATACTAGACTTTAGATTTCCAATATGAGGTTCCCTACTTTCCTGTTAAATGATCAAGGAACTCATTTCACTGGAACAATCATAAACAACAACATTATTGCCTGTGCCAACACCTAATCATTATGAAAAGCTGGAAGAGTAAGTGTACACTGACGCGGAAACTATTCATCTAAACTATCAGAAACCCTTAATCTTCTTCTCTCCTGGCATAAAGTTCTGCCCCAAGCCCTGATGGCCATGCCGTTATCTCCTCACAGCTCATATAAACTCTTTCTGTATAAAATCACTTTAGCAGCTTAGTCAATATGGTGAGATCCTGTCTCAACAACAACAACAACAACAAAAAAGGGCCCTGAATGGTGCCACCTGTAGTCCTAGCTACTCAGGAAGCTGAGGAGAGAGGATCCTTGAGCCCAGGAGTTCAAGGCTGCAGTGAGGTATGATCACACCACTGCATCCAGCCTAGGTTGCAGAGCAAGACCTTGACTCAGAAAAAAAACAGTCATTTGAGGACATTTTATGCAGATCAATCGATTATTTCTTTCCAGAATCATCTGCTTCAGAAAAAATAAAAGGCCTACCTATTGGCTAAGACCTAAATTATAGTTATTTTAAAAATGTGATAGAAAAGGATTAAAACCAATAAGGAAAAATATTCTCTGATTCTCACTGATATCCATCCATATTACAGTAATAGTAGAAAAAACATGTCACCTAAGAACAGCTCCATTTAAATGGTCTCTTTTTACCCTGAAGGCCATGCATGCCTCATTAGAAGTGACAAATGAGTGTTCTTACAACACTAGAATATAGAAATGGTAAATGCATAAAATGTATGTGTATGTATTTATACATACAGGTGTGTATAGATAATCTATATATTTTCATATATATGAAATATCTATAACTATCTGGATATATGCTAAGGAGGAAAAAAAAGACTGTGTAATATAAGTCTTGCACTTGACCTCACCTTGTATTTGAAAAACTTGGTCCCAGTTAAAAACATCACATTCTTCCAATAGCTGTCGATAAGCCCTGACATCCTTGTAGAACACAGCATAGGCATTAGTATAATGATCAAGGTTATCTGTCTCAGCCTAGGACAGAAGACATAATCACAAAAACATAAACGTATTATCTGGATAATCCAAATCTTAGGTAGATTAGATACCGTTAGCTGGACATGTCTAGCTAATTTTTATAGGTGGCTAACAAAATTAGACCCCTATAAAGCAATGGCTAAATGGGAATGGGGCTAATATGCTGTAGTGAGGGGAAAATGAAGTTGTGTAGCTTTTGCTTGATTCTTTCTTCTGGGATTAGGAAAGAGTTTTTCTTTGTCTTTCTTTCTTTTCTTTTTTTTTTTTTTAGACAGAGTCTCACTCTGTTGCAAGGCTGGAGTGCAGGAGAATCACTTGAACTGGGGAGGCGGAGATTGCAGTGAGCCAGTTCAAGTGATTCTCCTGCTTCAGCCTCCTAAGTAGCTGAGATTACAGGTGCACGCCACCACACCCAGCTATTTTTTGTATTTTTAGTAGAGATGGGGTTTCACCGTGTTGGCCAGGATGGTCTTGATCTCCTGACCTCATGATCCGCCCGCCTAGGCCTCCCAAAGTGTTGGCATTACAGGCATGAGCCACCGCGCTCAGCTGATTTTTTCTTGATTCTTTCTTCTGGGATTAGGAAAGGTTTTGTTTTGTTTAAAAATTTTAAAAATTATTTTTTATTTTTTAGCAACAGGGTCTTGCTTTGTTGCCCAGGCTGGAGTGCAGTGGTGAAATCATAGCTGACTGTAGTCTCGGACTCTGGGGCTCAAGCAAACCCCCTGCCTCAGCCTCTCAAGTAGGTGGGACTACAGGCACAAGCCACCACATCTGGCTAGGAAGGTTTTAAGACATCTATTTCACATTTTTCTAGGATTTTGTTTATTTATAAAAATAAAGAGGGTATATAACTCAGTGGATTCACCTCCAAGAATTACAACTCTCAGAATCTTCCTAATGTGGTCAGGACGGTACCTCTTTGGCCACATGAGCTTCTCCTTGGTCTCGGGGCAGATGTTGTCTTCACTCTTCTTCCAAATACCCACATGACCAAAGTCATCAGTCATAAGGAATCATTCACCCAGGGAAAAAGCTAGTATCTGTAAGTCAGCCATTTGTGCTTCATCCTTCTAGAGATCATGAAACACTAAGGAACCACTTTATTGAACATGTTTGGACTAGAGGTTTTTCAAGTTCCTGACACTCTGAAGCCAGTCAAATTAGAAACTAATGCTGAGGCTGGGCATAGTGACTCATGCCTGTAATCCCAGCACTTTGGGAGCCCGAGGTAGACGGATCACCTGAGGTCAGGAGTTCGAGATCAGCCTGGCCAACATGGTGAAATCCCATCTCTACTAAAGTGTCTACTAAAAATACAAAAATTAGCCAGGCATGGTGGTGGGTGCCTATAATCCCAACTACTCAGGAGGCGGAGGCAGGAGAATCGGTTCAACCTGGGAAGTGGAGATTACAATGAGCTGAGATCATGCCACTGCACTCTAGTCTGGGTGACAGAATGAGAGAGAGAGAGAGAGGGAGGGAGAGAGGGAGGGGAGGGAGGGAGGGAGGGAAGGAAAGAAGGGAAAGAAAGAAAGAAAAGAAATGAATGGTGAAACAGTGTTGTAAGCTAATGTAAATGGCTACTATGATTATAAAATACCATTACCTACTTTTTCTTTCCAATTCTTATTATTTTTAAACTTTTTACCTTTCAAAACTGTACCTCTCTTTGTCGTCGGGTGATAACAGCTTTGAAATCCGGCCATGAATCCAACACCACTTCCTTTTGAAAGGGGTTCCCACGATTTATGTTCATCACCGCTCCGTAAACCTGAGTCAGATAACCCAGAGACAAGCCAATCATACTATTAGCTGTTTCACTCACATATTATCGTCTTTACCTCTTGTTCTACTGTGTAATCATGTCCACAAGAGGGGAAATTATAAATATATATATACATACATTCAGACACATAATAGACACGTATATTAATTTTTCTATTATTTTATCAGTGCACTTGAAAACTTGTAAAAAGTCTATGAAATCCTATAAAAACTCTTTCCAAACCTAGTTTTTTATAGGATAGCAGTGAGAGGTACCAAATTCATAGGCTTACTAGGTGGGTACTTGGCACATAGGTCAGCAGTAAATACTTGCTGAATGAATCAGGATAACATATGCTCTTAGGGTTCATGCATATTTAAAAATTTCTGCAAATAATTTTGATGCTCAGCTTCTTTTCAAGCCCAGTATACTACTTGAAAATAACCTGTGAAATGCGACTACTTCTTCAACCCTAAATTACAATTAGACATCATTAGAGGGTGACACCAACTCAAATTAAAACAAACAAACAAACAAAAACTGTACTTTAGATTTGATGGAGCAAGGCTCTATAAGCATTCCCTGAGGGCTATAATGATGTCTCATTCATTATTATGTCCACGGAGCCTGACATAGATGATTGAATGCTTGGTGACTCAACCAAACTGGAATAATATTATAATTCTTTCTGTGGCCTTTCACATTTTTTATTTTCTTTCTTTAAAGTTTGCCCTTCTTTTATTATTATTATTATTTTGCGACAGTATCTCACTCTGTCATCCAGGCTGGAGTGTTATGGGGCAATCACAGATCACTGCAGCCTTGAACTCCTCAGTCTCGCTCTGTCACCCAGGCTGGAGTTCAGTGGCGCTATCTCTGCTCACTGCAACCTCCGCCTCCTGGGTTCAAACAATTCTCCCACCCCAGCCTCCTGAGTAGCTGGAACTAAGGCAAGCACCACCACACCTGGATAATTAAAAAAATTTTTTTTGTAGAGATGCGGTCTCATTATGTTGCCCAGGCAGGTCTCGAACTCCTGGGTTCAAGTGATCCTCCCACCTTGGCCTTCCAAAGTATTGAAATTACAGGCATGAGCCACCATATGCAGCCACATATTTTTATCTACTAAGAAAGATGACTGTCCTACAAAATAGCTTGCATATGTCACATGTATGCTTGTAGAAGCTGGACAAAGTTGGTGGTAACAAAGACTGCTGAACTATAGGAATCCTTTTTACCACCATTCATGTTCATCAACAGTGAAATGAATAAGTACATTGTCGCACATTGGTACTGTAGATTACAAAACAGCAATGAAATTAATTTCACAAACATAATGTTGAGCAAAAGAAGTTAGATACGAAAAAGATACTTACTGTGTGATCCAATTTATGTTACATTCAAAACAGGCACAACTAAATTATGGCTTTGGAAGTCAGGATAGTGGTCACTTTTAGGGAACAGGGAGAGGTAGCGGTTGGAAAGGGGCATTGCAGGTGGGAAGGAGTGACGTCAAAAGTAATTTTCTTTCTCTGTAGTAGTGGATGTTATGTAGGCATTTGCTTTATGAAAATTCATTAATTAAATTTCATAATTAAATTGTGTGCACTTTGTAGCTAGCATGTGTTAGATTTCAATGGACTTTGTTTTGCTTTGTTTTGTTTATAAGGACATTGGAACCTACATTTACCTCCCTTATCACTTTTTTGTTTAATTAAAAACAACTTTTTTAAAGAAAGGGGACCTTGCTGGCCTTGAACTCCTGGGCTCAAATGAACCTACTGCCTCTGCTTTCCGAGTAGATGGGACTACAAGCTTGCTACTGCACCTGACTTTATCACTATTGTAATCTAAATCACTCATTTTCTTCAATGCCTAGAATTGTACAACTTTCTTCTATATTACCCAATCTGGACCTCATTCACATATCCTCATAGAAGGAGTCTTTCCAAATTGGGTTCGGCTTATATTATTGTGTAACATGGATCACCCTTAGTGAAAATTCAAGATCTAAAGTAACCTGGAAGGGTCATGTTTGTTCTGTTAATCATTAAATTATGTGGCTGCTCATCTTGCATATACAGAGTAATGTTTATTAATAAGTTTCACATGAGGAAACTATACATTCTTACTCAAGAATGTAACCTAAATATGATTGGAATGCTCAGCATCTTAAAAGGCAAAAACCCTTTCAATATTCAGATTCAGAAAGAAAAAACATAACTTATTTGTATAGGATTTGGAACCAACTGAAATATTTGACACTGGTTAAATACAAACTCTTCCAATAGCTATTTATTCAAAGGGTGAATGTTGAGTTGAGGGGGTGTGGCTAGAAGGATATCAATGTGCTGGGGGAATGAGATGAGAACTTATGAAGGAACTTTGGAAGGATATTTAATCACTTAAAAACTAAGCTGAGGTTACAAAATCCATAGCCAAAAACTCCAAAAAATGGAGGAAGTTTAAATAAATGAAACTGTATTTTCTTTAATATTTTAATTCTCTAACACCTTTTATTATCCTGTAAAGGTCACTGAAATTTTTTTCATTATCTCTGGAAAAATAATTATTTGGACATATTATTAAAGCAAAGTAGCCTACCATTTCATTCCATTAATTCACTTCAGTGTCAGCATTGATCTTGGGAAAATTTGGGTTGGATTGTCAATTTGGTACATTTTATTTTTTAGCCAAATGATTCCAAATTCTTATTCATATTTTCGTTACCACATACAGTTTAAGCATGATCAATAAGGCAAGATGGCCAGATTTAATTCACACAGTATAGTGCATTAGAGGACTCCTTCTAGATCACTTTTGTTCAAATTTTAATGTACATAAGGATTAAATAGGGTCTTTGGTAAAAATGCAAGTCTCTGTGTTCACAAATTCTTATTTGTTATGTATCTCATGGGTGATTTGCATGCCACTCACATTTGAAAACCAGGCATAGGGCAGTCTCCTTGCTCAAGAAATTCAGCTCTTAAAGGCAATTTCACTGCATTTATAACAAGATCTAAACCTCAGTTTTATTATTTTAACTAGATTATGTTCTTAACTGCAGTGCCACCTAGTCCATACCCTTCTGCTATTTAAAATACTTTAGAACTCAAATTTATTTAGAAATAATCTAGAAATTACCTAAATTTCCTTAGGAGTCATCCAGGTGACTATGAAAAGTGTAGTTTCCAGGGGGTGAGAGGAAAGGGGAGGGAGAGCATTAGGACAAATACCTAATGCATGTAGGGCTTAAAACCTAGATGATGGGTTGATAGGTGCAGCAAACCACCATGGCACATGTATACTTATGTAACAAATCTGCACATTCAGCACATGCATCCCAGAACTTAAAGTTAAAAAAAAAAAAAAAAGAAAGAAAAAAAAAAAAAGAAAAGTGTAATTCCCTGGGCCTTATCCACAGTCTATTCAATCTGTCTCTAGCAGGAGGGAGCTGGGAAGCTGTATGTTTAACAAGTGCTCCTAGAGAGTCTTATTATCAGAAAAAAAGGAAAATAGCCACAAGTTTGACATTATTTTACAGATTAACACAATAAAGAAATAAAATAAAATTATTAATTTTATGGTACCTTGAGTGATTCAGGAAAGCAACTCTTCAACATTTTCTCCAGTATCAGTAATTTGGTAGAACAGTTTAGCACCAACATCTTTTCCAGAGCTCTTGCAACTCCACACCTAATTAGAAACTTGAAGGTAGGCATTTAATTTTTGCCTGTTAATATTTGGATCTATTTAGGAGTTTTCTTGTAATTCTATTTTCATTGGGTATAATTCTGACTGCCATTGCTCCCCCTGAAGAGGGAAAAGGGAAGATGGGGAGGCACTGGGATGGGTAAACCGGAGAATACATGGGAAGTGTTAATGACCTAATCCCAAACAGATGTGAGTATCTATCCTTGGTTAAGTCTATTATATACATTGATTGTACTCTAAACTCTGTCTTCAGAGCATGTATAACAGTTGTAATTTTGTATTTATTTGTGTTTTATTTGATCTAAATCCATCCTGAGTAACCTATAAGCTGTATGAAGGTAGGACCGATGCCTTCTTTGTGCTCCACTGTATCCACAGCACCTGCCAAAGGACCTGGCACACAGTAGGGACATTCTAAATAGTTGATGAATGGAAAATATGAAGCTCAGGGTAAGAACCTCGAGCTAAGTTGGAAAACATCTTTTTCACAATGTGGGGCAAAGACTAGAGAAAGACTTGAGTGGGTCGGGTCGTTATGAGGAAAAACTGGAGAGAAATACCTAGATTGAAGATGAAGAATCAGAAGTGGTCAAAGGCTGACACTCATTTTAGCCTGATAAAATTAAAGAAAAAAGAAGGGCCTAAATGTAATGTATGCAAAGTCATCTGTTCTCATGCAATTAGATTTTTTTTAGATTTGGGGGCTTCACCTCGCCTGCTTTGTTCCCAAGAAAACTTTTTCTGGCATTCCAATCAGGGATGGACTGAATTAAAGAAAAAAAATATTTCCTACATTCAATGTAGCAGAGCTTATCAACTTACATCTGGCAGACAGGCACTAGGATGGCAAAGAGAACTCAGCTAGACAGGAGAACATGGTGCCTCTGGGGTTGTGGTGGAGAGCTGGGATTATTCCTTTACAACGTATTTTCCAGGTAAAGAAAATTCTACTCAATTTCTCTATGTGGCATACCCCTGTGATTACAAGATACCCTGAATATTCAATTGTAATCTACCTAAAATCTCCTGTAAAATTCTATCATGAGGTTTATGTGAGCCTGAACCTCTGGAAAGCATATGATCAAGCCCTGTGGGCTCTAGTTCACTGAGTGGTACACTTGAGGTGTCTGTGCTCTCTGCAGGAGTCAGAAGAGATTGCAGGGGCCAGGGCAGCACCCGAACATTAAGAGGCTTTTGAATCCCAGTCTGGACCAATATTAGAAACTTTGAAAAGATCTAGTTTCCAGACTTCAGGATGGCAAAGAAAGAAGTACAGCCATCATCTCTTCACTTTTTCATCTGCTTAACTTTTCACTCATTTGTGTCATCTCTAAATACAATTTTAACTTTGTAATAGATACTTATTTGAAATACATTTATTTATTCGAATTCAATATATCCTGATAGAAAACGAAACAAAATTATTTCAAAGGGCAGTGGAATGTGAACCTCTTAATTAGGTTTGATGTCTAGAGATCTTTTTATGCCTGAATACTGAAGTAGCAAATGAAAAGAGTACGAATTAGAACATTTGTTGATAATTTGCTCCTTTATTACCTGGTTTGTTCCCTGAAGGATCTAAAGCCATTTATGAAAATACTTAGGCTGGGCGTGGTGTCTCATGCCTGTAATCCCAGCACTTTGGAAGGCCGAGGCGGGTGGATCACCTGAGGTCAGGAGTTCGAGACCAGCCTGACCAACATGGAGAAACCCTGTCTCTACTAAAAATACAAAATTAGCCAGGTGTGGTGGCACATGCCTGTAATCCCAGCTACTAGGGAGGCTGAGGTAGGAGAATCGCTTGAACCTGGGAGGCGGAGGTTGCGAGGTTGTGGTGAGCCAAGATCATGCCATTGCACTCCAGCCTGGGCAACAAGTGCAAAACTCCGTCAAAAAAATAAATAAATAAATAAATGAAATAAAGGAAGGAAGGAAAGAAAGAGAAAGAAAGAAAGAAAGAAAGAAAGAAAGAAAGAAAGAAAGAAAGAAAGAAAGAGAAAGAAAATACGTAAAATATATCAAGAAAAATAATTAAGTTTAAATTAAAATTTGGCAAAGGAGAAATAGAGGGACAAAGTAATATGGAGTCAAAAGTGAGGTTAATATGCAAAGTATGGAGCATGGAACATAATCCTATGTATACAATTGATCATCCTTAATCATGAATTTCATATTTGAAAATTTACCTGCTTGCTAAAATTTATTTGTAATTCCCAATTCAATACTCGTGGCACTTTTACAGTCATTTGCAGTCATGCATAGAGCAGCAAAAAGAACTGGGTTTCCTAACTCACATGTTTCCAGCTAAGGTTGAACAGGGAATGCTCTGTCTTCTTGTTTGTTCTCATATTGTAAACAAGTGCCCTTTTCATGGTCTGTTTAGTGCTAAGTTTTTCAAGTTTTTGTGCTTTGTGTTGATTTTGCTGTTTAAAAATGGACCAAAAGCATAGCACTTATTGGTTGTACTGGTGTTTCTAAGTGCAAAAATGCTGTGATGTGAATAATGGAGGAAATACACGTGTTAGGTAAGTTTCGTTTGGACATGAGTTACAATGCTCTTGAATCAACAATATATATTAATGTGTCTTTCAACAAAACACATATAAAACAAGGTTACTATTGACCTGCTGATGAAAATACCATAACCAGAGGCTGACAGGAACCTAACTGTATTTCTACTTGGAACAATGTTTCAGTATTGACTAAGTCAGTGTCTGGTATTTTATTGAAAATAACTACCACAATGAGAATCAATTGTACTTGCAGCAGGTGAGAGTCCACTTTTGACACTAAACTTTCTAACATAAAGAGAAACAAATATGATTAGTTTCATGATTCAGTTTGCCCAGAAAATTATCCTCCTTACACTCTTTCTTCTAACATTTACTTGTTTTTCACTTATGCCATCTCTAAAGTCCAATACTCTAGCTTATTTTTATTTATTATTAATTTATTATTATTATTATTTTTGACACAGTCTCGCTCTGTTGCCCAGGTTGGAGTGCAGTGGCATGATCTTGGCTCACTGCAACCTCCACCTCCCAGGTTCAAGCAATTCTCCTGTCTCAGCCTCCTGAGTAGCTGGGATTACAAGCACACACCTGTAGGCAGACCCCCTGAAACTATTGCTATGGAACAAAAGATGAAATGCTCCTGATTATTGTAAATACAAAATTGCATGCAGGATTGTGTAAAGACAATGCCAGGTTGGACTGCCAGAATGAGCCAACAGCACGTGATGTGCTTCCCCTGCAGAGAGCCTATGAAGGGACATGCATTCAGGGAGGTTTCACGTCACCAAGATTCCTATCCCAGAAAAGCAGATATTCATAGCTCTGGGAAAGGAATGCGACCGTTGTGGAGAGCCTATAAACGGATGCATGAGGGGCACCTGTCCATATGGATAAGATAGGGCTGTAATGCCCTCATCTTGCACAGCTCTTCTAGGCCTCTTTAGGGTTAAGGCATACTCCCTTCTGAAGATTTCTGGTCTAACCAGTTGTCTAGCTTCACATCCTGTTTCTATGGATTGTTTGTAACCAGCTTTTGCTTCAACTGTTACTGCTGATTAATATCTTGCTAATCATAGGTTATGGAAAGACTGTGTTTCTGGTTTTTGTTGTTGTTGTTGTTGTTGTTATTGTTGTTTGAGAGGGAGTCTCACTGTGTCGCCCAGGCTGGAATGCAGTGGTGCGATCTCGGCTCAGTGCAAGCTCTGCCTCCCGGGTTCACGCCATTCTCCTGCCTCAGCCTCCCGAGTAGCTGGGACTACAGGCGCCCGCCACCACACCCGGCTAATTTTTTAAATTTTTAGTAGAGACGGGGTTTCACCATGTTAGCCAGGATGGTCTTGATCTCCTGACCTTGCGATCCACCCGCCTCAGCCTCCCTGTGTTTCTGTTTTAAAGCTCTGTTAGAAATTACTGATGCACACGCTATATTGTAAATTCTTATCTCTGTATACTGTACTTCTGCATACAGATATTATGTTAAAGAATTACTTCATCCCCATGTGACCATCTCACCTCATAATCAAATGACCCTAAATTCCTCACTAACCTACCCCCGCCCTCACTAAACTTAATAAGAAATGCTGGTATATTCAGTGCATTGGTGGCACTGCAGGACCAGAAGGTGGTGACCCCCCTGGACTCAGCTTTCACTATCTTGTGTGTGTCTATTTAATTTTTCAACCTGCCGATCTGTCTGGGAACAAAGAGAGAGTCCCATTGCATTGCAGGCTGCTAGCTAGATCCCTCAATATCTGGCGCCCAAGGTGGCCTTCTTTGTTCCTCGGCTCAGTGCACTCCGAATGCAGGTTCATGACGACTGGTCTTCAGTCTTGACAGTAAGGTCCCTGGGTATGCTTTTCCAACTCTCCCCTCTTTTCAGGTTTGTCGATGAGTATTATTCCAGGGCTATTATGCGACAATCACAGTCTAAACACCAGGCTTATCTGTCTTTTATTAAACTTCTTCTTAAACAGGGTGGAATCAAGGCTGATTCCACTAACCTTATTCTTTTATTTCAGACTATTGAAAAATATTGTCCTTGGTTCCCTGACAAAGATTCTATGGACCTGTTAGACTGGGATAGAGTTGGTGCCACTCTCCACCAGCTCATGAGAGATGGTGTTTTACTTCCTATTTCTGTTTGGACTGACTGGGCTCTTATTCATGTTGCTTTACTTCCTTTTCCATCTGGTGATCCTCTTCAACTGCCACAAGTTAACGTGGATGATGAACTGCTCCCTTTACCTTGGGTAGCTGACCCCCCTACTAGTCCTCCTTCTGATGATGAGGGAGAATTTGATCTCTCCTTGGTTTCTTCCCAAGAGAAGGAACCTGATGATGATCCCCACCCTCTGCCTCCTATCTTGGAACCTGTATATGTTAACTCTTCTTCTACTAAGCCGTTGCCCCCTCTGCCAGAGGAGGATGTGTGGCATTCATCTGAATGGCATGTTTCTCATTCCCATCATCCTTTTGGACCTCTCCCCTATTCTAAGCCTACTGTTTCTTTCAACACTCCGGGACCCCTTCTTTCAGAGGCTTAGAATCCTGTTTTCCCCCAGTCCACGTCCTGGTGCCCTCACTCTCCTTCTTTTCCCCTGCCCCTTCACAATAGATGTGTGAGTCACCTGTTTGGGTAGAGCAGTGGCCACTTTCCAAACACAAATTGGAGGCTTTAATTTAAATTGTTAATGATTTACTACAAGCAAACACTATTGAGCCGTCCTTGTCTCCATGGAACTCGCCTGTGTTTGTTGTACAAAAAAAAGTCAGGAAAATGGAGGATGGTAACAGATTTAAGAGCTGTTAATGCAGTTATTAAACCTATGGGGGCATTACAATCTGGTATGCCCTCCCCCTCCATGATTGCTAAGGAATGGCCTTTAATTATCATTGACCTTAAAGACTGCTTTTTTCATATTCCTTTTGACAAGTCAGACTGTGAAAAATTTGCTTTCACTATACCTTCCATCAACAATTCAGCTCCTGCAGCTAGATATCAATGGAAAGTTTTACCTCAAGGAATGATAAAGAGTCCTACTATTTGTCAGTTGTTTGTCGGTACTGTGTTACAACCTATCTGACAGACTTTTAAAAATAATTACATTCTTCATTATATGGTTGATATACTAATTGCTGCCCCCACTAAAGATGAATTAATTCAATGTTTTACCTCTTTAAAATTAGCTGTTGCCAATGCAGGACTCCACATTGCTCCTGATAAAATTCAACAAGCCACTCCTTTTCTGTACTTAGGAATGCAGCTAGAAGCTCACTCCATTAAGCCCCCAAAAGTCCAACTTTGTACTGACAATTTAAACACCTTAAATGATTTTCAAAAATTACTAGGTGACATCAATTATCTCAGACCAACCATAGGCATCCCTGCTTATGCATTATCTCATCTATTTGCTACTTTATCAGGAAATACAGATCTAAACAGTCCTCGTTCTCTAACTGAACCAGCAAAACAAGAGTTGTCTTTTGTAGAACAACGAGTGAGAGAGGCACAAGTCTCTCGTATTGACCCAAATTTGCCTTTACAATTTTTAGTTTTTCCTTCCATCCACTCTCCTACGGGACTTATAGTACAAAATAATTCTCTAGTTGAATGGGTATTTCTTCCTAATTCAGCCTCTAAGACTCTTTCAATATATCTTGATCAAATGGCCACTTTGATTGGGTTAGGATGTCAGTGTGTCACTAAAATTTCTGGCTTTGATCCAAACATTATTGTGGTCCCTTTGTCAAAAAATGAAGTTTAAAATGCCTTTTCTACATCTTTGTGCTGGCAGACTAATCTGGCTGACTTCGTTGGCACTATTGATAATCATTTGCCTAAGTCAAAATTCTTTCAATTTCTAGGAAATACTTCCTGGATTCTACCAGAACTTACTCATTCATCATGATGAGAGGCAGCCGTTACCATTTTTACTGATGGATCCAGTAATGGAAAGGCAGGTTATGTAGGACCAAAAGATAAAGTCATTTCTACTCCATACACTTCTGCTCAAAAAGCCGAGTTGTTTGCTGTTATCTCTGCATTACAGGATTTTAGTCAGCCTCTTAATATTGTCTCTGACTCAGCTTATGTAGTCCATGCCACTAAGGCAATAGAAACAGCTACCATCAAAAATATTACTGACACTAATCTATTTTCCTTGTTCTCTTTGTTACAAAAAACTGTCAGAAACTGAAACCACCCTTTTTTCATCACTCACATTCGTTCTCATACTAACGTACCTGGACCTTTATCCAGTGGTAATCATAAAGTTGATACTCTAGTTTCTCTAGCCATTATAGATGCAGAACAATTTCATCAACTCACTCATACTAATGCCTCAGGTCTTAAACATAAATATTCTCTCAGTTGGAAAAAAGCTAAACAAATTGTACAACACTGTTCTCGATGTCAGGTTCTTGTCTTAACCACACAATCTCTCGGAGTTAATCCCCGAGGCCTTTCTCCTAATGCTATTTGGCAAATGGATGTTACTCATGTTCCTTCTTTTAGAAAATTAGCTTATGTGCATTTCACAGTTGACACCTTTTCCAATTTCATCTGGGCTACCTGTCAAACTGGAGAAGCCACTTCTCATGTTAAAAAACATATGTTTTCATGTTTTGCGGTTATGGGAATTCTTAGTGAGCGCAAAACAGACAATGATCCAGCCTATTGCAGTAAAGCTATTAAAAATTTTTTTCATCAGTGGCATATTAAACATATTACTCATATTCCTTATAACCCACAAGGCCAAGGTATTGTAGAAAAAAGTAACAGAACCTTAAAATTACAATTACTTAAACAAAAACAGGGGGATAAGGAGTTGTCTACCCCTCACATACAATTAAACTTTGCATTGCTCACATTAAATTTTCTTAATATTCCTAAATCTAGTTCTGTTACTGCTGCCGAAAAACATTTCTCTGGTAACTGTCCCACAGTAAACCAAGGAAGGGAAGTATGGTGGAAAGATGTTCAATCTAATATACGGTCAAAAGGCTCTATTTTAACGTGGGGTAGAGGCTATGCTTGTGTTTCCCCAGGTGAATATCAATCTCCTGTTTGGATTCCTGCTAGACACCTGAAATTTTGTCCTGAAGATGCATGCAACAATGAGACAGAGAAATTTGCTGAAAAAACACCACAGCAAAAAACAACTAACACATCCAACCGTCAAAAAAAAAAAAAGAAAAAGAAAAAAAGAAAAGAAAAAAAATAACCATGCTAACTCCTTTACAACAGACAATCCAGTCAGCCATCCTGAACAACTTGCCTCCAGCGATCCAGGTCTGGCTCAACCTCTGCCTCCTCCTGATTACACTGATCCTTTTACCCTCTGTCACCCCACAGACTGTTAAAAACTACGAATATTGGGCCTATATTCCTTTTCTTCTTCTTATTCGAGCCATGACGTGGATGGACGCTCCTATCGAGGTCTATGTTAATGATAGTATTTGGATGCCTGGTTCTGTAGACGATCGTTGTCCTGCCCAACCTTCAGAAGAAGGAACTCCTTTCAATATCACTTTAGGTTTTAGGTATCCACCTTTGTGCCTGGGACCCACAAATGGATGTCTCTCATTAGATATTCAAATTTGGGCAGTCACACTACCATCTGGTCACTCTTTAGGACACTTGGTATCAGGGATCTCATTAAAACCTCTAAGACAGATCAAAACATGAATCTCTGATTATATTCACACATCCCAATATAAGCCTTTAGGACCTGTGTGTCCTATCAACTTGTCTTCAAATGCTGACAAATTAATGTGGAAGGATTGTGTTAGTTCAGAAGGAGTGTGTTATTTAATTCTTCTCACTATACCATTGTTGATTGGGCTCCTAAAGGTCATATTACTAATGATTGCTCTCAAGGTCACAGAGATTGTCAACACTTTCTCTATGATATTACTTATCAAAAAAGTAGTGACAACCCTCCCCTATTATATCATATATTTAACTCCTTTTTTCCTTTTAAGTGGAAAGGGGCAGGGGTTGCCCCTCCAAAGCCAAGGCTCATTGTTCCCCACTTAGGACCTGAACATTCAGAATTATGGAGATTAACCATAGATATGACTGGTATGAGAGTTTGGGCTGGAGAAAGTGTTATAAGTAAATCCACCTTGTCACCTCGAAAACTAAGACAACAGATTGATTTACACTACTATTTTCACACAGCCAAAAATATCACTATGGCAATCGTCAAAAGGTCAATTCAAAGATGGGACAGTAAAGATGATGAGGACTTATATCCCCCCCTTTGCTAATGTCCCCACACCACCTCTCATACAACCTATTCCCCCCACCATGCATTCACAAAAAGAGTACCATCCCAAAATAAATATACTATCTATATGGAGTCCAATAAAACTATACCACTTAAAAGTTGTGTTAAACCACCATATATGTTATTAGTAGGAAAGATGCATATTAGTTCAAAAACCAACATAATTACATGTGTTAGTTGTTACTTGTATGCTTGGATTGACTCATCCTTTAATCAATATCATAGTATTTTAGTAGTCAGAGCCAGAGAAGGTATTTGGCTTCCCGTAGCCTTACATAGGCCTTGGGAATCTTCCCCTTCTATCCATGTTATTAATAATATTCTACAGAAAATTATTAAAAGGAGTAAATTATTTATTTTTACATTAATTGCAGTAATAATGGTTTGATTGCTGTTACTGTGACTGCTGCTACTGCTGGAGTTGCATTACATCAATCTATTCAAACTGTTCATTTTGTGGATAAATGGCAAAAAGATTCTACTTGGATGTGGAATTCTCAGTCAGGTATTGATCAAAAATTGGCCAATCAAATTAATAACCTGACAAACTGTTATCTGGATGGGAGATAGAATTATAAGAATTATAAGTTTAGAACATAGATTTCAAATGCAATGTGATTGGAATACTTCTGATTTTCTATAAATCCGTTTCAATGTAATGAGTCTGTTCACAATTGGGAATCAGTAAAATGCCATTTACAAGGAAGTGAAGATAATTTAAGTTTAGACATAAGCAAGCTAAAAGCACAGATTTTTGAGGCCTGTCAAGCACACTTAACTGCTTTACCCAGTGCTGAAGTTTTAGACGGTGTATCTGAGGGGTTATCTAATCTCAACCCCATTCAATGGGTAAAATCCTTGGGAGGATCCACTATTGTTAATTTTGTTCTATGTATAATTTGTGCTATTGGTTTATTGTTCATATACAAAATTGGAAAAAATATTCTTCAATCCAATCATGATCAGTGCCAAGCTATGATTGCTATGGTTCATTTAAATCAGAGAAAAGGAGGAGATGTAGGGAGACCCCCTGAAACTATTGCTATGGAGTAAAAGATGAAATGCTCCTGATTATTGTAAATACAAAATTGCATGCAGGATTGTGTAAAGACAATGCCAGGTTGGACTGCCAGAATGAACCAATAGCACGTGATGTGCTTCCCCCTGCAGACAGCCTATGAATGGATGTGCATTCAGGGAGGTTTCACATCACCAAGATTCCTATCCCAGAAAAGCAGATGTTCATAGCTCTGGGAATGGAATGCGACCCTTGTGGATAGCCTATAAATGGACGAATGAGGGGTGCCTGTCCATATGGATAAGATAGGGCTATAACACGCTCATCTTGCCACAGCTCTTCTAGGCCTCTTTAGGGTTAAGACATATTTCCTTCTGAGGATTTCTGGTCTAACTAGTTGTCTAGCTTCACATCCTGTTTCTATGGATTGTTTGTAACCAGCTTTTGCTGCAACTGTTACTGCTGATTAATATCCTGCTAATCATAGGTTATGGAAAGACTGTGTTTCTGTTTTAAGGCTCTGTTAGAAATTACTGATGCACACACTATATTGTAAATTCTTATCTCTGTATACTGTACTTCTGCATACAGATATTATGTTAAAGAATTACTTCATCCCCATGTGACCATCTCACCTCATAATCAAATGACCCTAAATCCCTCACTAACCTACCGCTGCCCTCACTAAACTTAATAATAAATGCTGGTATAGTCAGTGCATTGGCGGCACCGCGGGACCTGCTTTCACTATCTTGTGTGAGTCTCTTATTTCTCGACCTGCCAATCCACCTAGGAACAAAGAGAGAGCCCCGTTGCATTGCGGGCTGCTGGCCAGCTCCCGCGATACACACCACCAACGCCTGGCTAGTTTTTTTTATATTTTTAGTAGAGATGGGGGGTTTCACCATGTTGGCTAGGCTGATCTCAAACTCCTGACCTCATGTGATCCACCTGCCTTGGCCCCCCAAAGTGCTGGGATTACAGGTGTGAGCCACCCTGCCTGGCCTCCAGCTTCTTAATAGCAAAACCTCTACTTAATTGGCTTCAACTTACCCTTCTAGACTATACTCATGCAACTCACAAATTACTCAGGGTGACAAACTAAAATCAGAGACATTCCCCCATGGGTTCATGCAGAGAGGACACTACAATTAATCTACATTTGACAATACCCTTTCAGTAAACAGTGATTCATTTCATAAGGATCTTTCATTAAATAGAAATTTTTTTAATGCCACAAGGTAGAGCAGAAATTCTCATTGATGCAGAAAATATTTTCTACACATTTTTGTAACATGTTAGAGAGTCATAATGACGATTAACTCTGAAAGCTACAAGAGCAGAATGTCATATCCTTACCACTTGATTAGTACTGTCCATAATCAGTATGTTCTGGAATTGGAAGTTAAAGGTTGGTAACTCCTTTAACCAAATTATAACCAATAGACTCACTGTTTGAAAGTATTTGTCAAGAAAAAGAATTATGCTCATGTAAGTTTTAGAAACTGAAGTTTCTTTGGGGGCATTTGAGTGTTTATAAGCACAGAGCAAGCATCTAAAATATTTTATTCATTAATATTTATCATAACAATGAAAGCATGACACTCTCCTGGGAGACTTTTAAGTCTTATAAGCAATAAAACATAAGATCTCTGTTTTTGTAATGTAATACAATATTTACAATATAATGGTGGGCATTTGTTAATGAGGAAATACATTTTTTTAAGCACTTGGAATCCAATGCTAGTAATTATTTTTCATATGTTAGGATTTTTGTTCAGAGAGGTTGCTCTAGTTGTGCCCATATCACAATGCAAACAAATTTATACTTGGTAATACTTATTTTCCTCACATCAAAATTTAAGAGTAAAAATTTTCCTCATATCAAAATTTAGGAGTTAAAAAAACCCCAAACAAAAACACGCCAAGAAACAAAACAAAATATATCTTTCCTTGAAACCTAATTACAATGTATTCGTTCTGTATAAGGTTGGATTTCATCTCTTCTCTATTTTTCCCATCCCTTTCTGCAATTATAAACTATGACTTGAAATGTATTATATTAATGAATAAATGTTTACCTGCTGGGAGTTCAGTCCAGAACTGAGGGTTTTCAGCTGTGTATCAGTCCAGTAGCCCTTTTATATAAATGGTAAGTTTATTCTTCAAGGCTACCTCTCTAATTAGCCCTTAGTGGAAACAGGAGGGAGAGAAAAAAAAAAAAGTGCCCACACCTGTAGACGGGGAGGAGTTTATGATGGTGATCAGGTGAAAATCATCTCACATAGAGCACAGGCATTTCCACTCCATCTCTTCCTTTTTATCACATTTAGCCTTATGGTGTAAAAGCCAATGAATACTAATCTTGATTTAGAGATAGGTATTTTCTAGCCATAAAACCTGTCTATTAATCAGTATCTCATGAAGGAGAATAAAAAGAAGAGGAGCCCAGGCAAATGGTAGTACGATAAGAAAGTAATATAAAGGTATTGACCCTTTAGTTATTTTTTTATATATTCTGAAGAAAATGATTTTGCTGCCCTAAACTTCCAAGGCTGAAAGGGGGTAATCTCTACAGAGGATACATAAGTACATGAGAGTAATTTCAAGAATTTTAATTACTTCAGCCTATTCTTTTAAATGAAAAGTCATTCAGAGTTTACTCACTTCTTTCAAAAGACTGCAATTTTAACCACCATGTAAGTATTTACTTGGACATCTCAGCACTCAATATCTACATCTTGAAATAATATGCAACACAAATGTCTCAACGGCATATGCAGAGTGCTTCAGTTTGAATGTGGTTAGATGGGAGGATTCTGTTTACCACATTTAGGTCTCATAAAATGGTAAGGTAGGGCATTCTTCACTAGAGGACACTGAGCTTTGTAATACAATGGGCAGCTAGTAGTTGACAGCAAATGGAGAAATTGTATTAGATGTCAATTACTAGATGTCAAAATAAGAGTTTTTGATCTTGCTGTATACATTGATAACTTCTTTTTTAAAAGATGTTACTGAGAACAAAGTATACCTACTCTTGGACCTAAGGAGCCTATATAAATATAGTTTTCTAAATATTAACTGAGTAAAATATATTTTTTAAAAGTTAAGCTTTTTTTTTATTTGCAAAACAGGAACTCCTTTAGACAGTAAGTGCAATATCCTAGGGGAAACTTTAAAAAGTTTGGGGTCTGGTTATTTATAAACTCTGAGACATGTAAAAGTCTCCCCAAATTTAGATTACGTCTTGTTTCCAAGTGCATTTAAAACAGAAATTTGAGCTCTTTGTTCTTTATAAAACATCAGAACTAATTGGAACTAATTTTTGCCTGAAGAAAAAAATAATAAAAAGGCAAAACATTCCTTTTCCTGGAAAGTATGGTTGAAGGTAATTAAATTTGAGATATGTATATATATTAGGCTAAGGCAAACTTTTAACTCTGAGATTAACGGAAAAAGGAGGAAAAAAGGAGATTCCCAATGTAAGATTAATTTAAAGGAATTGTCTTCTGAAAACCCAGGTGAACAAATCCGCAATACATATTATCACTTTACTCAGAAAAATACATCAGATTGTACTTTGCTGTAATAGGGGTTACTCATTAGATTCACTAGCCCCTTCTACTTGTAGTTTATCAGAAAACTCCTAAGAAAAGGTTCAATTATTTTTTCACTTCCTTGTTCTATCATTTACTATCTGTGTGATCTCAAGTTATTTAGCCTCCCTGTGCCGCAGTTTCTTCACCTGCAGGATGGAGATAATAATGAATGTTATGAGGTTTAATTCCCATAGGGTTTCCATTAAGATTAAACATTGGCATAAATACATGTATATAGGTAATGGCATTGGACTAGTACCTGGCATGTAGCAAGCACTCAATAAATGTCAGCCATTTTTCTCATTGCTATGACTGTCTTATATCCCTGTTGTACTATTTGAAAACTTACAGTAATTTTAAGGACAACTCTAGGGGGTAGAAATGGGGCAAAATTGGCTAAGGCACATTTATTTCTATTAGTTTAAAAATGTATACATATGTAACAAACCTGCACGTTGTGCACATGTACCCTAGAACTTAAAGTATTAAAAAAAATGAACAACTTAATTTTAAAAATGTGCTCTATTGTAGTTCTAATGAATTCAGAAAATGTCCCTCTTTTATCTTCTTCTTTGTCTAGTTTTAACAACTACTATATCCAATTTTGGAGATGGTTGCTAAAGCAACTTCACAGCCCTGATAAGAACAGAGGCTACTTTAATAAGACAGCAAACACCTAAGTCAAGAAAAATTGGTTCTATGGTGGCTTAGTTGTGAAGAAACACATTTAGTAACAACTCTTAACCAAAATTGCGAATTAGAAAACAAAAATAGCTCACTTTTTGACATAATAAAACCCAACTGAGAAATTAAAATTTCTCTCTGCTTTTGCTTGCCTTCTTTCCCTTCTCTCTCTCAAAGCTAAATATTTCTTAACAATGAATGAAACATGAGAGGATTTAGACTTATGTTTAGAAACTAAGCCAACCCGTATAACTCAAATACTAATTTTGACAGGTGCAACTGCATATTTTTGGTAAACAGGGAATGCCAAGAAATTCTATCCAACCAAATAAACAAAAGTAAATCCTTTAATTTTAGGTTCCAGTGCAGGTGGCTCGTATTTAAACAAAGCCTGTTTGTTGAACATATGCCCAACTGGGAGTTGGGGAAAATCAAAGGGCTCATATAAAGTAAGAATTTGAAGTGGCCGACATTACACTAAGGTTCTGCAACATATCTGTAAAGTCTGCCTCTCAAAACAGTTCTACCAATTCACCTTCCTTTAGCACAAGTACTCGGTGCCCATTTTTCAGTATGTTCAGCAATTTTCTTTCAGCTTTTTCCCGTCTTCGTCAATTTGATAGGTGAAAATATGTTTTAATTTGCATTTAAATGGTGAAGTTAAGGTTGATCATCTTTCAAATACTTATGGATGTTTTCCTTTGAGAATTGCCCATTTTCCTATTTGTATTTAACCTATTTGTTAATGATATTTCAGAGCTCTTTATTTAAAAAAGTTTTATTTCTTTGTTTTATTTATATTGTAGATATTTTCCTATTTGTGATGTGTCTTTGGCTTGATTTTGTTTTATTTTTATTTTTTATTTTTTGAGACAGTCTCACTCTGTTGCCCAAGCTGGAGTGCAGTGGCACGATCTCATCTCACTACAACCTCTGCCTCCCAGGGTCAAGCGATTCTCCTGCCCCAGCCTCCTGAGTAGCTGGGATTACAGGCATGCACCATCATGCCCGGCTAATTTTTGTATTTTTAGTAGAGACAGGGTTTCACCATGTTGGCCAGGCTGGTCTCGAACTCCTGACCTCAGGTGATCCACCCACCTCGGCCTCCCAAAGTGCTGGGATTACAGGCATGAACTGCCATGCCCGGCCGGTTTTGTATTTTTAAAAATCTTATTTCAAAAAGTTCAAAATATTATGTAATAATCTTTCATGATTTTACTTTTGCTTATATGCATAATAGGGCATTTGCTACCCTGACATCCACTGTTCATTTCTTTCTTTTTAGCTTCTATTTTTATATTTAACTTTATTTAGTGGGAATGTACTTAGGCATAAAGTAGGAATATTAAACATCCTCTCACCCTCCATTATGTAGTTAGCCAGTTTTATGAAGACCATTTATTAATAAATATTTTTCTGTATTTCATTTGAAATGCCATCTTTATCATATGCTACATTTTAATACAATATATCCTCTATCTCAAAAGTGTATTTTTTTTGTTATTGTTTAAGTTTCTGACATTGGCATTTATCAGTCACTAGAGAAGAGATGTATCATAGTTGGCATGGGCTGTGCATGGGAGAACTTAGATGGCTGAGGTCACTACAGAGGAGGACTGTTATTTGAATTATTGGGACCATGTATAGTCAAAGTTTATTTATTTCTTTATTTTTATTTTTTTGAGATGGAGTCTCACTCTGTCACCTAGGCTGGAGTGTAGTGTCACTATCTGGGCTAACTGCAATCTCTGCCTCCCGGGTTCACGCGAGTCTCCTGCCTCAGCCTCCTGATTAGAGGAGCCCGCCACTGCGCCCGGCTAATTTTGGTATTTTTAGTAGAGACGGGGTTTCACCATGTTGGCCAGGCTGGTCTCGAACTCCTGACCTCAGGTGATCTGCCCGCCTCAGCCTCCCAAAGTGCTGAGATTACAGGTGTGAGCCACTGCGCCCGGCAGTTTAATTTTATTTGGATCTTGTCTTGGGTCTCTTTAGTGTTGCCATAAAGGAATACCTGAGGCTGGGTATTTTATAAACAAAAGAGATTTATTTGGCTCATCGTTCTGTAGGCTGCACAAAAAGCACGGTGCCAGCATCTGCTTCTGGCCAGGGACTCAGGCTGCTTCTACTCATGGTGGAATGTGAAGGGGAGCTGGCATTTGCAGATCATGTGGTGAGAGAGAAAACAAGAAAGAGATGGGGAGATGCTAGGCTTTTTAACAAGCAGTTCTCATGGGAACCAAGAGAACTTATTTACTCCTGGGAGAATGTCACCAAGCCATTCATGGGGGATCTGTTCCCAAATTTCTCCCATCTGGCCCCACCTCCAATATTGGGCATCAAATTTCAACATAAGATTTGGTGGCATGAAAAACAAATCTCATGTCTTTCTTGCATTGCAAAATACAATTATTCCATCCCCCAAAGTCTTAACTTGTTCCAGCATCAACTCAAAAGTCTAAAGTCTCATTTGAGACTCAAGGCAAGTTCCTTACAACTGTGAACCTGTAAAATAAAAAAAGAAGTTATTTACTTCCAAGATACAGTGGTGGTGCAGACATTCCCATTCCAAAAGGGAGGAATAGGCCAGAAGAAAGGGGTAATAGGCCTCATGTGAGTCCCAAACCTATCAGGACAGATATTAAATATTAAAGCTCCAAAATAATCTGCTTTGACTCCATGTCCCGCATCCTAAGAACACTGGTTCAAGGGGTGGGTTCCAGAGCCTCAGGCATCCCCATCCCCATGGCTTTGCTGGGTGCAGCCCACGTAGCTGCTCTCGTGGGTTGGAATCCAATACCTGCAGCTCTTCCAGGCTGAGATTGTAAGCTGTTGGTGGCTCTACCATTCTGAGGTTGGAGAGTGGTGCCCCTGCTCCATCTGCTCCACTAGGCACTTCTCTAGTAGAGGCTCTCAGACCCTGTGGCAGCCTTCTTTCTGGGCACCCAGGCTTTCTAATACATCCTCTCAAATGTAAGTGGAAGCTGCCAAGTCTCCACTACTCTTGCATTCTGCATGCTTGCAGACTTAACACCACATGGAAGTCTCCAAGGCTTACTGGGTACACCTTCCAGAGCAGCAGCCTGAGGCCCTTTGAGCTGGTGCCGCTGGGGTGTGGGGAGCAGTATCACCTGCCCCATCAAAAAGCCATTCTTTCATTCTAAACTTCTTAATCTGTGATGGGAGGGGTGGCAAAGATTTCTGAAATAGCTTTGAGACATTTTTTCCATAGTCTTATTAGCACCTGGCCCTTTTTAGTCATGCTCATCTCTTTAGCAAACTATTGCTGCTGCTTGGTCATACTCTTAGATTCCTCTCCTAAAAACACTCTTCTTTCCTTCTCTAACACAAGGCAAGGCTGCACATTTTCCAATTTTCCTCTGGTCTCTACTGTAAGCAGTTAGAAGTAACCATGCAGCAGCCTGAGCACTTTGCTGGTTAGAAATTTCTTTTCCCAGATACCCTAGGCCATCTCTTAAATGAAGCCTTCCATAAAGCCCTAGAGCATGGACACAATGCAGACAAGTTCTTTGCTACGGTGTAACAAGTGTGACTTTTGCTTCAGTAACTTATAAGTTCATCATTTCCATCTAAGGCTTCCTCAGTATGACCTTTGCTGTCTCTTTTTCTATAAGCATTTTGGTACACAACTACTTAACCAATCTCTAAGAAGTTCTACACTTTCCCTTGTCTTCCCTGTTTTCTCCTGAACCCTCCAAACTCTTCCAACCTCTGCCTATTACCCAGTTCAAAAGCTACTCCCACATTTTCAGGCATCTTTAGAGCAATGCCTCACTCCTGAATACCAATTTTCTTAGTATGTTTAGTGTTGCTATAAAGGAATATTTAAGGCTGGGTAATTTATTAATGAAGAGATTTGGCTCATGTTTCTGCAGGCTGTACAAGAAGCATGGCACCAGCATCTATGGCACCACGCCATTCATGAGCGATCCACGCCATGATCTAAACAACTCCCACCAGGCCCCGCTTCCAATATTGGGGATCAAATTTCAACATGAGGTTGGTGGGGCCAAATAAACCCTAGGCAAACCATAACAGATCTGTAATTAATTCTTAAATTCTTTCCAAAGAGTACACCAAAATGCAGTCTTATTTAAAGAAAATACTGTGTATGTTTTGGATTGGATGCTACCTACCAGAAGATATTGTAGATCTCTTAAAGTTAGATTATAAACTCTTCAAAGCTACAAGAGTAGTATGGCCAGTTCACACAGGGTGAAGAACTGTATCACTCAGCAACAATGGTAAGTTAAAATCCCAGTTAACTATCAGTTATCTGTTAAACAGATGCCCTGAGAGAAATGGCATACATAATTCCTCCCCCACCACCAAAAGCTACTATAACATTAGTGTTAAAAATCACTGAGTTAGGGCTCTACTACTCATTCTAAAAACATGAAGCTTTAAGTTTCCAAGTGAAGGGTTTTTAAGACATTTTGTAATAATCTTTACTTTTAGTCACTTTGCCAGGTTTTTCTTTGAGATTTTATTTTCCTCCAAAATCTATTAATAGGCCTTCTTTACCATTATTCCTATGAGGATATTGCTTGTGACCCTTTTCTTGAGCTGCCCCAGGGTCCTCATGTGTGATCTCCTCACTACACTGAAAACCCAACTTGTTTAACTACAGGTTTGTTGCCAGTGGTCTCTGCCTGAAGGGTGTTAACAGAATTATGGCATCTCCCAAATTAACTGATATTATAGGTCACATAAAAAAGTAATTGCAGTCATTTTATTTTACAGACTAAAAAAAAAAAAAAAAACCCAAGACAGTATACTGTAGTTTGTTAGAAATAATTTTTTATACACTAGGTTATAACTTATTCACATATATAAGCTTATTATCATAATAAGAAAAGGTTTATATATTTTGGGTTTTCTTGTTTTAATAAAATAAATGTGCTAAGGTTCCTTTTTAATACTTTTTGGGAATATGTTTTGATGACAGTAGAAAATATTCAACATTAATTCACTAAACAACCAAAGAAGTAAAATTTTGATACTACCTCCAAAGTTAAAGATAGCAGGCATATCTTAACTACTTCCCAAAAAGACTAGGGAGTTAGGTAAAAGAGTGAAGGCATTTGAGGATTTTTCAAGTTCCAGATGACCAGACAGAAACTGTAAGCCATTGGCTACAGAATGAATGATAGCAAACACTAAGGTTTTTATGCACTAGACAGTGTATGTAAACACTTACTTATCACAGCTCCTGATATGAGCTGTTAACCAATAAATGAGTTCCATTCAGGCATTATAAACTACTAGATCCTTAAGGCAATTCCTATTTTATGGTTTTAGGCAAATACTTATAGATACAGCAATATAAATGTTAGTTTCCTAGATTTGGCAACTGCTAAAAACAGTCTTCAGAACTACATTAGATGCTAATGATAGAACTACAAAGACTAATTTTAAAGTGCATATCAGGAGATAATAAATCCTGCAGAAGCCTTAGCCTCTGTACATATAATCATAGGTTAACAGTTTTACAAATTCACGAACATTAAATTAATATGGAACAATCTAAAAAAAAAACACTCTTTAAGATGCATCCAGTTTCTTATAGGCTTCTTCAATGAAGGTTGACATGCTCTTCATCTGTGATGAATTATGAAGAATATCCAAGTCCTTTAGAAGAGCATTCTGGTTTGGAATTAGCGCCAAAATTTCTTTCTGTGGGAAAGATAGTATTAAATGTAGTTGTTAACATTTTATTATGAGAAATCTCAAATGTATGTTAGAGAGAACAGTAAAATAAACCTTAAGTATCTATCATCCAACTTCAATAATTGTCAACGAATCGCCATTCTTCTTTCAAATCTATCTCTCCCTCTCCCCATCCTGCTCCTTTCACCACTGGTAAATGATAGGATTTGTTTGTTTGTTTGTTTTTGTTTTTTTGAGGTGGAGTTTTGCTCTTCTTGCCCAGGCTGGAGTACAATGGCGCAGTCCTGGCTCACTGCAACCTCCAGCTCCCAGGTTCAAGCAATTCTCCTGCCTCAGCCTCCCGAATAGCTGGGATTACAGGCATGTGCCACCACACCTGGCTAATTTTGTATTTTTAGTAGAGATGGGGTTTCTCCATGTTGGTCAGGCTGTTCTCGAACTCCTGACCTCAGGCAATCCGCCTGCCTTGGCCTCCCAAAGTGCTGGGATTACAGGTGTGAGCCACTGTGCCCAGCCAATAGGAAAATTTCAAATTACTTCTTGAGAAAACATGAAGACTTTCCAATGCTACAAACATTTATACTACAATGTCTACTAGAGCCCTTGGAAGAAATAGTTTACTACAAATAAGACAGTACTATTTTATAAGGAGTTATATGCTATTGTTAGAAGCATTAAAAAAACCAAACTGTCAGTATTTACTTCTAGAAATGTATCCTACAATTATGACTATACAAATCAGTAAAGACATATGTACAAGGGTGTACCCAGTCTTACCTGTATTAAAAAAATTATGTATTTCCATCAGTAATTTACAAATTATATGACCTCCATACAACAGAATGTTACATAGCTATCAACAAAAATGAGAGATCTACGTGACTGACAAGATGTTCAAACTATACAGTCGAATGAGAAAAGTAATTTGCCAAACAGTTTATATCAGGTTCCATTTGTTTAAAGAACGAAATAGGACATAATGTTTTCATATATGTAATGTATAATTGGTCTATGATATACCAGGATGCCTCATTTTACCGTGTTCCCAGACACTGCATTTTTTACAAACTGAAGGTTTGTGGCAACTCTGTGCAAAGGAGGTCTATCAGCACCATTTTTCCAAAAGCACATGCTCACTTTGTATCTCTACATCACATTTTGGTAATTCTTGTAATAGTTCAAACTTTAAAAATTATTACGGTATCTGTTATGGTGATCTATGCCCAGTGTTCTTTGATGGAACTGCTGTAATTGTTCTGGGTGCCATAACTGCAACCATATCAAACAGTGAACTGAATTGGTAATTGTTATGTGTTCTGACGGCTCCACCAACCGGCCATTTATTTCCCAGTTTCTCTCCCTCTCCTTGGGCCTCCCTATTCCCTGTGACACAACGATATTGAAATTAGGCCAGTTAATAATGCTACAATGGCCTCTAAGTGTTCAGGTGAAAAGAAGAATCATGTCTCTTACTTTAAATCAAAAACTAGAGATTACTAAGTTTAGTGAGGAAGGCCTATCAAAAGCCACGCAAACCAAAAGCTAGGCCTCTTGTGCCAAACGCCCAAGTTGTGAATGCAAAGGAAAAGTTCTTGAAGAAAATTTAAAGTGCTACTTCAGTGAATACATGAATAATGAGAAAGCAAAACAGCCTTATTGTTGATATGGGAAGTCTGAGTGGTCTGGATGGAAGATCAAACCAGCCACGACATTCCCTTAAACCAAATCCTAATCCACAGCAAGGCCCTAACTGTTTTCAAGTCTATGAAGGCTGACAGAGGTGAGGAAGTTGCAGAAGAAAAGTTTGAAGCTAGCAGAAGTTAGTTCATAAGGTTTAAGGAAAGAAGCTGTGTTTATAACATAAAAAGTGCAAGGTGAAGCAGCAAGTGCTGATAGAAAAATTACAGCTAGTTACCCAGAAGACCTAGCTAGCTAAGATCACTGGTGAAGGTGGCTATAGTAAACAACATATTTTCAATGTAAATAAAACAGCATTCTATTGGAAGAAGATGCTATCTCTAGGACTTTGATAGTTGGAAAAGAGAAGGCAATGCCTGGCTTCAAAGCTTTAAAGGAGATGCTTTTGTTAGGCTCTTGTTAGGGGCTAATGCAGCTGGTGACATGAAGTTGAAGCCAATGCTCACTGATCATTCTGAAAATCCCAGGGTCCTTAATTCTACTAAATCAACTACATCTGTGTTGTCTGTGCTCTGTAAATGGAACAACAAAGCCTGGATGACAGTACAACTGTTTAGAGCATGGCTTACTGAATATTTTAAGCCCACTGTTAAGAGCTACTGCTCAGAAAAGAAGATTCCTTTGAAAATATTACTGCTCATTGAAAATGTTCACAGTTACCCAAGAGCTCTGATGAAGATATACAAGGAGATTAATGTTGTTTTCACATCTGCTAACACATCTGTTCTGCAGCCTCTGAATCAAAGAGTCATTTCAATTTTCAAGTCTTATCACTTAAGAAATACATTTCATAAGGCTATAGCTGCCCTAGGTAGTGATTTCTCTGATGGATCTGGGCAAAATAAATTGTAAACATATTAAAATAAATTTATCATTCTAGATGTCAGTAAGAGCATTCATGATTCACAAGAGGAAGTCAAAATACCAATAACAGGAGTTTAGAAAAAATGGATTCAATTTTGAATCCTCATGGATGACTTTGAGAAGTTCAAGACTTTAGTGGAGGAAGTGACTGAAGATGTGGTGGAAACAGCAAGAGAACCAGAATTAGAAGTGGAGCCTGAAGATGTACCTGAATTGCTGCAATCTCATGATAAAAATTGGATGGACGAGGAGTTACTTCTTATGGATGAGCAAAGAAAGTGGTTTCTTGAGATGGAATCTATTCATGATGAAGATGTTATGAACATAGTTGAAATATCAATGAAGGATATAGTATATGACAAAAACTTAGCTGACAAAGCTGTGACAAGGAATGAGAGAACTGACTCCAATTTTGAAGGAGGTTCTACTGTGGGTAAAATGCTATGAAACAGCATCACATGCTACAGGGAAAACTTTCGTGAAAGGAAGAATCAACTGATGTGGCAAATTTCATTGTCTTCTTATTTTAAGAAATTGCCACATGCATCCCAACCTTCAGTAATCACCACGCTATCAGTCAGCAGCCATCAACATTGAGGCAAGACCCTCCACTGGCAAAAAGATTACGACCTGCTGAAGGTGCAGATGATTGTTAACATTTTTTAGCAGTAAAGCGTTTTCTAAATTAAGGTATGTCCCTTTAAAAAAAAAAAAAAGAAATAATGCTTTTTCACACTTACTAGACTACAGTATAGCGTAAACATAACTTCCATATGCCGTGGGAAACCAAAACATTTGTGTGACTTGCGTTATTGCAGTATTTGCTTTTTTGCTGTGGTCTGAATCCAAATTTGCAACATCTCTAAAGTATGCCTGTAATCAATATGGTAAATAGGCACTTACCTGAAGTGTGGGTGCTTTGAGAGTTTTCTGAGAAAGTTCCGGAAGAGAGAGTACTCCACTACTATTTATTTGATGCATCTAAAGTAGAAGAAAGCTACAGATTATTTCAAAAAGCTGATTTCTCTCATCATATTATACTCGAAAGTTATCTTTGCATAATTTAACCATTAAAAATTATATCCAAATTCCAATAATACAGTTTAAAATAATTACCTGTTTTACTCTCTCCTCTTCTTCTTCCACCTCACTTGCCAGAATCTGAATTTTGTTCTTTAGGCTCTGAATATTCCCAGTCATTAACTCTGTGGTCTCTACCATTTTATCTATTTCTTCCTGAGTCAGAAAGAGAAAAAAAACATTTTAACTTAAACACATTATTATATTAAATCCTAATAGATATTGTTATACATACACATTTTAAAAAAACACCATATATATTTAAAACATTTTTAGAAGCAACTGGTGAATTTACTTTTGTTTCTTTCAAAAAAGAGACTTCTTGGAAAGCTGGTATGTCAAGGTATTAATGTGTTATAAGGATATCTAATTTCCCTGGAATAAGGAGATGTACATGAACACTTCCTCAAAACGTACCAATGCTGGTAGGGTCAGAGATCCTGGAAGATCCAAGTGTAAATCTAGCAGAGCCCAGAACTGATGACAACAAATACAGCAACCTTCCTTAAGCAGCATAAAACTTCATGTAGTGGAGAAATTCTGAATTGTTTTCATTTATTTAGGAACATTTAAGAGCCTGCTATTTTAATTTGTCAAAAGGAAGTAATGTTGGGCATTAGAGCAGGGAGAATAAAAAAAAAGAGTAACAGTTTCCCACATTAAAGGAATACATAATTTAGAGAGGAAGATGAAAAGAAAATAAGAAATGAATAAAACAAGTATGGGGACAACACATCAAGGATGTGTTGTGTGCAGGCCAAGTATAAAATTAAAATTAGCAAGCCTCCAGGTTTCTAAAGGGTATTAAACATGGCACTGCTTTCAAATATGGTCCTAGCAACAGTCAATGATAACATTGCCTGTATGCTTTGGGGAACAAGTAAATAAGCCACACAGAAAATATACATAAGTAATAACTCTTAAATCTTGTTCAGCAATAAAGTTGATGCTATATCTATGTCTTTTCCAAATACTGGATGCAGAACTATTGCTGGGAGAGTAGTCTTCCTCAAGAAATATA
This sequence comes from Homo sapiens, assembly GCF_000001405.40. Lineage (NCBI taxonomy): Eukaryota > Metazoa > Chordata > Mammalia > Primates > Hominidae > Homo > Homo sapiens. Next base: position 49,487,486 of record NC_000006.12, on the reverse strand, counting down.
TTTTGGCTTCTAAATGACTTTTTTTTTTTTTTAAGAAAGGGTAGCTGCAGGGGTCAGCAATTGCCCATGGGATGTTTTTGTACAGTTCAAGAACTGTGAATTGTTTGTACATTTTAAAAGATTGGTCAAAACCTCAACAAAACAAAAGGATATGCAACAAAACAGTCAACCACATGTGGTCCATAAAGGCTAAAATGTTGTCTGGCCCCTTACTGGGAATGTGCTGTTCTCTGAATGCCTAAGATTTTGGGACTGTGAGCTCTATTCACTTGAATCTAAACTCCATGGAGGAACAGACTCTGTTTTTATTTTTTTTATTTTTTTTTTTTTTTTGAGATGGAGTTTTGCTCTTGTTGCCCAGGCTAGAGTGCAATGGCACTATTTTGGCTCACTGCAACCTCTGCCTCCCAGGTTCAAGTGATTCTCATGCCTCAGCCTCCCAAGTAGCTGGGACTACAGGCACCTGCCACTATGCCCAGATAATTTTTTTTTCTGTATTGTAAGTAGAGACAGGGTTTCACCATGTTGGCCAGGCTGGTCTTGAACTCCTGACCTCTGGTTATCCACCAGCCTCAGCCTCCAAAAGTGCTGGGATTACAGGCGTGAGCCACCACGCCTGGCCCATGGCCATCCTGTCACACCTTTAACTCCATCTGCTTCTCCTGCTTCCCCTGTGCTATTTCAAATCCTAGATATCCTATCATTTTATCTATAAATATTTCAGTATACAGCTCTAAAGGATTTAAAGATACATAAGAGTACAATATCATTACTACACTTTAAAAAAATCTCAATAAATTCCTTAATATCAAACATATGGTTAGTGTTCACATTTTCAATTTTCTCATAAATTGGAGTTTTTTTTTTACATTTTGTTTTAATCAGGTTCCAAACTGGTTGTGACTGGTTGATATGTCTGAGTCTCTTTTCATCCATAGAAGGCTTCCATTTCAATTTATTTGTGGAGATTAGATAGTTTACTCTGTGGAATTTCCCATGGGCTAAATTTTGTGAACTGTATTCCCTGGTGAAGTTTAACTGGTTCCTCAGCCCTGTGTTTTCTGTGAATTGGTTGTAGGATCTAAGAGAATGCTGTCCAACATAAATATAAAGCAAACCACATATATTAGTTTCCCGTGGCTGCTGTACCACCTACTTGGCTTAAAATAACAGAAATTCATTCTGTCATGGTTCTGGAGGACAGAAGTACAAAATCAAGGTGTTGGCAGGGCCACAATCCCTCTGAAGACAAGAGAGGAGAATGGTTTCTTGTCTTTTTCAGCTTTTGGTAGCTGTCAGCATTCTTTGTAGCTGCATTGCTCTAGTTTCTGCCTTTGCTTTCACGTGGCTTTTTATTTATGCCTTCTATTGTGTTTCACGTGGCTTTTTCTTTGTCTTTGTGCCTTCTCTTGTCTTTTATAAGAACACTTGTCATTGGATTTAGGACGTACCCGTGACGATACAGGATGCTTCATCTTGAGATCCTTAATTATATTGGACAAGACCCTTTTCCTAGATTCAACCCACTACAAAGGGAATGTATAACAGCATTGAATGAACAAAAGGGTTAAATATAACAAGGATTAAAATTTCTCATTATAAAATTTATTTTGTTCCATTGCTTTGGTTATCTTTGGGTATTACTACCATACTCATATGGTATCTTCTTTGAGGTTTTTTTTTTCTCAATTCCTTTTAAAAATGTTTTTATGATTCTGAAAATTTTCTCTTTATCTTCTATTTACCATAAGCATTATCTGTTGTTTATTTGCTTTAGTGTTTCTTCTAATTTAGTCTACATATCTGCAAGGTTTTCTCTTTTATGTCTCATTCATTCTTGAATTCTCTACTTACATTTATCAGTATTTCTAATTCTGATTTATAATTTTTCCCCTATACTTTCTATCATTTTTTCTGAATTTATTTCAGTTCACTTGATAAATTAGGTTAATGTTTATCTGTTCTAGGCACGTGTCTTTTTGGTATGCTTTCGGTGTATCAGGAATGTTATTTTTGGTCTTTATTGTCATATTTTCTTATGCTAACTCTGATTCTGAAATCCTATGGCTCCATTTTTATGACAAGATCAAGGGAGTCTAAAAAATTATGCTTCAGCTGTTCTAATGCCATCCTCCCAGAATCTCCGAGATGGTGTTCACCATTGTTGTTTCCCCAGCACCATTACTGAGTGAGAGCACGATGAAAATGTTAAATGAATAAAATTTCTGTTACTATTACAGGTTTTGGAAGATCATCACCAGCAATGACTCTAGGCTGCAGTGAGAAAAAGCAATGGTTCTAAGGCACAGAGGAGAAAACTAATGAATACAGATAGAGTTTACAAGCTGCTAGTCCAAAGATCTTCTTATGCCAATGGAGAACTCTCCTGCCCCAAATGCCAGCGGTGCTTCTTCTGAGTGACTAACAAGCAAATTATAGATTGTAATTATGCTTATGTCCCATGGAGGTCAAATTTCAGCTGGAGGCCAGAAATGCTTACCAGTAGCATAAAAATCACACTATCATTTATGACTTCAGAACACCCTTAACTGATGTGCATAAATACTAAATGTTAAAATTCTCCATGATTATACTTTCAAACCTTTTAAAATAACCTAAATAAACGTCATCTAAGTGTTTAGGTGATGAAGCTAGTGCCAATACTGAAAAGATGCCCTAAAAAAGTAGGAACCTTGGGATGGAAATAAAATATAATACCACAGTTTGAATAAAGTGAGGCAGCCACCAAAAAATGCCGCCCTATTAGCTAAAAATACATATAGATTTGTGCTCAGAAATTGTTCCTTCAACTTTATTCTCAATCCTATGGAAAAATGGGAATGAATTGTTACCTTTGAATTATTATAAATTTTGGGAATATATTCCTTCAGAAACTACTACCACCTTGTACTTAATAAATTGCAACTAAAATCTATGCACCACATCTACAAACTACTTCAAAATGTCTAAGAGATACGGTCCCATATGTGTTAGTTTTTATAATTATCTAATAAGCTCCTCAAGGTTGCTTTGACTTAGTTGTTTGGATATCCATTCATTAAAAGCTGGAAGTTAACCATGATAGATAAGGTTATCTCCTATTATCTTCCACAGGATGCCATACAACATAGTGATCAAGAATCATGTGCTACTGTCAGAATGACAAAGTTAGCATCTCAACTTTAAGCAACTTGTCTAAGGTTCAGTTAGAAATAGCATTATGTCTTTTTATCACATTTATAAAAACAGAATAATTTAGGTCATACTCTAAGTCATTGTGAGGATTAAGGGATATAACTATAAAGTGCTTAGAACAGTGTCTGGAGTGTAGGAAGTCCCCAGTATATATTAACTCTAATGATAATTGTGTTTTCTTGCCATACACAGGTCAGAAAAATTTCCACGTTTTAAAATTCCACAGTATTTAGTGATAAGCTCCTCTAAATTGATAATTAAAAATACTAAGATAGTTCAGTTAAAATCTGATGAAAAAATAGGACTGCTACTGACAGGTGACAGTGTGCTGGCAGCCCTTGCAGCCCTTGCTCACTCCTGGCGCCTCCTCTGCCTGGGCTCCCACTTTGGCGGCACTTGAGGAGCCCTTCAGCCCACTGCTGCACTGTGGGAGCCCCTTTCTGGGCTGGCCAAGGCTGGAGCTGGCTCCCTCAGCTTGCAGGGAGGTGTGGAGGGAGAGGCGCGAGCGGGAACCGGGGCTGCGCCCGGTGCTTGCAGGTCAGCTGTAGTTCCAGGTGGGCGTGGGTTTAGCAGGCCCCACACTTGGAGCAGCTGGCTGGCCCTGCCAGCCCTGGGCAATGAGGGGCTTAGCACCCAAGCCAGCGGCTGTGGAGGGTGTACTGGGTCCCCCAGCAGTGCCAGCCCACCGGCACTGCTCGATTTCTCGCTGGGCCTTAGCTGCCTCCCTGTGGGGCAGGGCTTGGGACCTGCAGCCCGACATGCCTGAGCCTCCCCCCTCAGAGGGTTCCTGTGCAGCAGGAGCCTCCCCCATGAGCGCCGCCCCCTGCTCCACAGTGCCCAGTCCCATCGACCACCCAAGGGCTGAGGAGTGCGGGCGCACAGCACAGGACTGGCAGGCAGCTCCACCTGCAGCCCCAGTGTGGGATCCACTGGGTGAAGCCAGCTGGGCTCCTGAGTCTGGTGGGGACTTGGAGAACCTTTATGTCTAGCTAAGGGATTGTAAATACACCAATCTGCACTCTGTATCTAGCTCAAGGTTTGTAAACACACCAATCAGCACCCTGTGTCTAGCTCAGGGTTTGTGAATGCACCATTCTACACTCCGTATCTAGCTACTCTGGTGGGGACGTGGAGAACCTTTGTGTCTAGCTCTCAGGGATTATAAATACACCAATCAGTGCCCTGTCAAAACAGACCACTCGGCTCTACCAATCAGCAGGATGTGGGTGGGGCCAGACAAGAGACTAAAAGCAGGCTGCCTGAGCCAGCAGTGGCAACCCGCTTGGGTCCCCTTCCACACTATGGAAGCTTTGTTCTTTTGCTCTTTGCAATAAATCTTGCTACTGCTCACTCTTTGGGTCCACGCTGCCTTTATGAGCTGTAACACTCACCGCGAAGGTCTGCAGCTTCACTCCTGAGCCAGCGAGACCACGAACCCACTGGGAGGAACAAACTCCGGAAACGCTGCCTTTAAGAACTGTAACACTCACCACGAGGGTCTGTGGCTTCATTCTTGAAGTCAGTGAGACCAAGAACCCACCAACTCCAGACACATTTTGGCGACCACAAAGGGACCTTCGCCTATCGCCAAGCGGTGAGACAATCGCCGAGCGGTGAGACCATCGCCAATCGCCGAGCAGTGAGACCATTGCCTATCACTGAGTAAATCGAGGCCATCAAGCTACAGATGGTCTTACAAATAGAATCCCAAAGGAGTTCAACTAACAACTTCTACTGAGGACCCCTGGACCGACCCACTGGCACTTTCCCTGGCCTAGAGACCTCCCCTCTGGAGGACACTACAACTCCAGGGCCCCTTCATCGCCCCATCCAGCAGGAAGTAGCTAGAGTGGTCATCAGGCAAATTCCCAACAGCAGTTGGGATGTCCTGTTTAGAGGGGGGATTGAGAGGTGACAGCGTGCTGGCAGCCCTTGCAGCCCTCGCTCACTCTCGGCGCCTCCTCTGCCTGGGCTCCCACTTTGGTGGCACTTGAGGAGCCCTTCAGCCCACCGCTGCACTGTGGGAGCCCCTTTCTGGGCTGGCCAAGGCCGGAGCTGGCTCCCTCAGCTTGCAGGGAGGTGTGGAGGGAGAGGTGCGAGCGGGAACCGGGGCTGCGCGCGGTGCTTGCGGGCCAGCTGGAGTTCCGGTGGGTGTGGGCTTGGCAGGCCCCACACTCGGAGCAGCTGGCTGGCCCTGCCAGCCCCAGGCAATGAAGGGCTTAGCACCCAAGCCAGCGGCTGCGGGGGGTGTACTGGGTCCCCCAGCAGTGCCGGCCCACCGGCCCTGCGCTCAATTTGTCGCCGGGCCTTAGCTGCCTCCCTGTGGGGCAGGGCTCAGGACCTGCAGCCCGCCATGCCTGAGCCTCCCTCCTCCGTGGGCTCCTGTGCAGCCCAAGCCTCCCCGATGAGTGCTGCCCCCTGCTCCATGGCGCCCAGTCCCATCGACCACCCAAGGGCTGAGGAGTGCTGGCACACGGTGTGGGACTGGCAGGCAGCTCCACCTGCAGCCCCAGTGTGGGCTCCACTGGGTGAAGCCAACTGGGCTCCTGAGTCTGGTGGGGACGTGGAGAACCTTTGTGTCTAGCTCAGGGATTGTAAATACACCAATCAGCGCCCTGTCAAAACAGACCACTCGGCTCTACCAATCAGCAGGATGTGGGTGGGGCCAGTTAAGATAATAAAAGCAGGCTGCCTGAGCCAGCAGTGGCAACCCTCTCGGGTCCCCTTCCATGCTGTGGAAGCTTTGTTCTTTCGCTCTTTGCAATAAATCTTGCTACTGCTCACTCTTTGGGTCCACACTGCCTTTATGAGCTGTAACACTCACCGCGAAGGTCTGCAGCTTCACTCCTGAGCCAGTGAGACCAGAAACCCACCGGGAGGAACAAATTCCAGACACGTCACCTTTAAGAACTGTAACACTCACCACGAGGGTCCGCAGCTTCATTCTTGAAGTCAGTGAGACCAAGAACCCACCAATTCCGGACACACTACTTAACCACAAATATATTAGAAATACTTCAACTTTAGAGGTGCCAAGTTCAGACAAATTTTTGCTTTAATGAAAACAACAACAAAAAAACAATTTAATGAAAAAACCTGGTTCAAGATCTAGTATTCACTACTGGAAGAACATCATGATAATTTTAAAAACTTTGGTCTTCTTCCCTTTCCCTAACTCTCTAATTATGGATTCCCTATTCAAATTTCATACCTGTAGTAATGCCAGACCTTCTTCATTAGCTTTGTCTCGTGCCCTTTCCATATTCAGTAGACTTGATACATTAGTTAAATCTTCCATCTTTTTGGGAGGGACTTTCAGAGTTTCACACTGTTGTAGCAATCTTAAGGATAAAATAAAAACAATTATTTTGTTTATTTTTGAGTACTATTATTATTTTAAAACAGTCCTCATTTTTTCTTGTCCTCATATTCTTAAGGGTACAATATTCTTTTATTACCACTGGGTAACATTGCCAGTAAATCTCCCCCTCTAAAAGCCCTGACAAATCATCATTTAGCCTTTCAATTTATTAAGATTTACCTCAAATTAAGGGACACTGGGGCTACTTTACTAAAAGCAAATTTTCTATCTTACACATTTGACAATTTATATACATTTTAAAACCAAAATTTCCTTTTATCATCCAGATGTTTTCTAGACTATTACACTACATGAGTCTATTATACATTGTGAATTATTGGTTGAGAGACAGAACACTAGTCTAGAAGTCTTAACTATGACCCTGGACCCCAAATCTCAATTATTTTAGAGAATGTGATCAAAAATAGAGAAGATTTACATTAGTTATTCTAAATGATTTCAAAGAAAACTGAGTTCTATAGAGTTTAAGGCAAATAAAACACTAAGATCAAAGTGCATTGCTCAAAAATTCTATAAACATGAATGGCATTTAATATTAAAGTTAAAAAATTCTTTTACAAATTTGAGTTGATCACCAGTAGAAACATCTATTTCTATCATCACATCTGGCAGACTGCAAAATAGCTTTCCCAGATTTGATTCTTGAATTTTATGAGGAGGAAAAGCTAAATTTGATTCCCTTTATAACAGCAGTATCTTTGGGTTCTAAAAAGTTCTACTACTTAAGATTTGAAGAAATCTGAACAATAGTGGAACCCACTATCCCACTTTTGGGATCTGGTTAAAAATCTTAATTAAAAAAAAATCTTTTATTTTAGATTCAGGAATACATATGCAGGTTATGTAGGCAAATGTTGTGGGGCTTTGGTGTACAGATTATTTTTTCACCCAGGTAATAAGCATAGTACCTGATAGGTAGTTTCTCAACCCTCACTCTCCTCCCGCAAGTAGGCCCTGGTATCTTTGTTCCCTTCTTTGTGTCCATATATATTCAATGTTTAGCTCCCACTTGTGAGAAAATGCACTATGTGGTTTTCTGTTCCTGTGTTAGTTTGCTTAGGATAATGACCTCTAGCTCCAACCGTGTTGCTGCAAAGGACATGATCTCATTCTTTTATGGCTGCATAGCATTCCAAGTTTTATATGTACTACATTTTCTTTATCTAATCTACCACTGATAGGCCTTTAGGTTGATTCTATGTCTTTGCAATTGTGAATAGTTCTGTGGTAAACATAAGTGTGCATGTGTCTTTATAACAATTTATATTCCTTCAGGTATATACCCACTAATGGGATTGCTGGGTTGGATGGTAGTTCTGTTTTAAGTTGAGAATCTGCCAAACTGCTTTCCACAATGGTTGAACTAATTTACATTCCCACTAGAAGTTTATAAGCATTCCCTTTTCTTGGCAACCTCCCAGCATCTGTTACTTTTTGACTTTTTAATAACAGCCATTTTGACTGGTTTAAGATGGTATCTCATTGTGGTTTTCATTTGCATTTCTCTAGTAATTAGTGATGTTGAGAGCATTTTTTTCATGTTTGTTGGCCGCATGTATGTTTTCTTTTGAAAAGTGTCTGTTCATGTCCTTTGCCCACTTTTTAATAGGATTGTTGGTTTTTTGCTTGCTAATTTGTTTAAGTTTCTAATAGAGTCTTGATACAGACCTTTGTTTGATGCATTGTTTGCAAATAAAATTTTAATTTTTGTAAAGAAAAAAGTAGGCAGCAAAAACCCCACAAATCATAATTCTCATTAAACTGTTAAGACAAACTCTAGTTATTTAGAAAAATCATCATTAGGCTATCACATTTAAACACAAACTATCTGCCTAAGCTTTCCTAAGAGGAATAAGTTTTTTATTTTCTTAACAAAAATATTTTAATTATGAAGTTTCTTCTATATGTTTATTAAACCAATTATGTGGAAGAGTCATTCACTGCTCCAAATGTTCTAAATAGCAGTTAGATTTCCAAGAGTCTCACTAACTCTTAGAAACTAAAACCATGGCTTGAATATATCCTATTATATCAGCAACATTTAATCACCACTTATAACATTGTTTCTATAGGGCAGACTTTCTGGAAGTATGTTCCTTTAGAATTGTAATGGCGAATAGTTTTGTTTGCCTAGCAAACTTGTCTGTGTAATCATGGGGCTAGGTATATAATCCAGTCTATATCAATCATATCCATGGTAGCTCTTGTCACAAAATCACGCCAAGAATAGGTGTATATCACCTAAGCTCAGCAAATCAGAAACCATCTCCTAGAATTTTCTAACTGAAGCTAAGGGGTAAGAATCGTCTTTTTCCTCTTTCTTCGCCAGGCTAAAATGATATACACAGGAAGCTGCCTATGACTATAGCTGTAATCTAGTAAGAACTGAAAACTAAAAAATGAAAATAATGAAGCTAACGTTTAGTCAAAAGCAGAGATGAGACTAATATATGAAAATGACTTCCCAGAAATATCAATTTGGGAGATGCTAGGTTAAAGAAAATGAAATAGATTTATATGAAAATGAGTTCCCAGAAATAGCAATTTGGGAGATGCTAGCTTAAAGAAAATGAAATAGATTTATTTACTGCAGGGCTTCTTACATGCTAAGGTACCCAAATATAATTCACCATAGGTTACTTTTATCCATAGACTATCTGTAAGAACAAGTGTTTCAAATATACTTTCAGAAACACTGCTACAGAAAAATGTATTTAGAGTTCCAATTAGGATCAGTTTGCTAATGTTGTACTTTGTTGTATTGGTAGAAGTAACTGTATCTTGGGTATGGTGACTTCAGGAACTAAAGAAAGCAAGCTGTGAAAGTAAAAATAAGGAGGAAATAGTCAGGCCTTGAAATGTATGTACTCCATAGCTGTTACATGACAAAGAGACTGCCTATCTGTTGAATATAATCTTTTCCAATGAACCAAGGTGATCACTATGAACAGCAACTATTATGTAATAGTCACATTCATAAACTAAACATTAGTATTTGTTCTATATTAAAAAGATCCTAAACAGCTACATTTTCATTATACTTGTATTAGCTTATTATCTTTTTAATATCTTCTTCCTTCTTTAATAATAGGCTGCTATACCTTTAAGCAATTTACAAGCCTGCTTCTAGCAGTTTTTAATTTGTTAAACCTTTCTCAGCAAACTCCCACCCTGACCCAACCCATCTGATTCACTCTTTCTACTTGGCTATTGTGGGTTGAAAATTATATTTAAAGAAAAACTAAATAGAATTTGTACTCAAAAGAATTCCTTAAAATAGGTCACAAATATTTCTAGGCAAACTTGAAACTGAGAAACAGAACATTTTCTTTTTTTTTTTTTTATTATACTTTAAGTTCTAGGGTACATGTGCACAACTGTGCAGGTTTGTTACATATGTATACATGTGCCATGTGGTGTGCTGTACCCATTAACTCATTTAGCATTAGGTATATCTCCTAATTCTATCCCTCCCCCTCCCCCCACCCCATGACAGGCCCCGGTGTGTGATGATCCCCTTCCTGTGCCCAGGTGTTCTCATTGTTCAATTCACACCTATGAGTGAGAATATGCGGTGTTTGGTTTTTCATCCTTGTGATAGTTTGCTGAGAATGATGGTTTCCAGCTTCATCCATGTCCCTACAAAGGACATGAACTCATCCTTTCTTATGGCTGCATAGTATTCCATGGTGTATATGTGCCACATTTTCTTAATCCAGTCTATCATTGATGGACATTTGGGTTGGTTCCAAGTCTTTGCTATTGTGAATAGTGCCGCAGTAAACACACATGTTCATGTGTCTTTATAGTAGCATGACTTATAATCCTTTGAGTATATACCCAGTAATGGGATGGCTAGATCAAATGGTATTTCTAGTTCTAGATCCTTGAGGAATCGCCACACTGTCTTCCACAATGGTTGAACTAGTTTACAGTCCCACCAACAGTGTAAAAGTGTTCCTATTTCTGCATGTCCTCTCCAGCACCTGTTGTTTCCTGACTTTTTAATGATCGCCATTCTAACTGGTGTGAGATGGTATCTCATTGTGGTTTTGATTTGCGTTTCTCTGATGGCCAGTGATGATGAACATTTTTTCATGTGTCTGTTGGCTGCATAAATGTCTTCTTTTGAGAAGTGTCTGTTCATATCCTTTGCCCACTTTGTGATAGGGTTGTTTTTTTCTTGTAAATTTGTTTGAGTTCATTGTAGATTCTGGATATTAGCCCTTTGTCAGATGAGTAGATTGCAAAAATTTTCTCCCATTCTGTAGGATGCCTGTTCACTCTGATGGTAGTTTCTTTTGATGTGCAGAAGCTCTTTAGTTTAATTAGATCCCATTTGTCAATTTTGGCTTTTGTTGTCATTGCTTTTGGTGTTTCGGACATGAAATCCTTGCCCATGCCTATGTCCTGAATGGTATTGCCTATGTTTTCTTCTAGGGTTTTTATGGTTTTAGTTCTAACATTTAAGTCTTTAATCCACCTTGAATTAATTTTTGTATAAGGTATAAGGAAGGGATCCAGTTTCAGCTTTCTACATATGGCTAGCCAGTTTTCCCAGCACCATTTATTAAATAGGAATCCTTTCCCCATTGCTTGTTTTTGTCAGGTTTGTCAAAGATCAGATGGTTGTAGATGTGTGGTATTATTTCTGAGGGCTCTGTTCTGTTCCATTGGTCTCTATCTCTGTTTTGGTACCAGTACCATGGTGTTTTGTTTACTATAGCCTTTTTATATAGTTTGAAGTCAGGTAGTGTGATGCCTCCAGCTTTGTTCTTTTTGCTTAGGATTGTCTTGGCAATGCGGGCCCTTTTTTGGTTCCATATGAACTTTAGTTTTTTTTTTCCAATTCTGTGAAGAAAGTCATTGGTAGCTTGATGGGGATGGCACTGAATCTATAAATTACCTTGGGCAGTATGGCCATTTTCACGATATTGATTCTTCCCATCCATGAGCATGGAATGTTCTTCCATTTGTTTGTATCCTCTTTTATTTCGTTGAGCAGTGGTTTGTAGTTCTCCTTGAAGAGGTCCTTCACGTCCCTTGTAAGGTGGATTCCTAGGTATTTTATTCTCTTTGAAGCAATTGTGAATGGGAGTTCACTCATGATTTGGCTCTCTGTTTGTCTGTTATTGGTGTATAAGAATGCTTGTGATTTTTGCACATTGATTTTGTATCCTGAGATTTTGCTGAAGTTGCTTATCAGCTTAAGGAGATTTTGGGCTGAGACAATGGGGTTTTCTAGATATACAATCATGTCATCTGCAAACAGGGACAATTTGACTTCCTCTTTTCCTAATTGAATACCCTTTATTTCTTTCTCCTGCCTGATTGCCCTGGCCAGAACTTCCAACACTATGTTGAATAGGATTGGTGAGAGAGGGCATCCCTGTCTTGTGCCAGTTTTCAAAGGGAATGCTTCCAGTTTTTGCCCATTCAGTATGACATTGGCTGTGGATTTGTCATAAAAAGCTCTTATTATTTTCAGATACATCCCCTCAATACCTAATTTATTTAGAGTTTTTAGCATGAAGGGTTGTTGAATTTTGTCAAAGGCCTTTTCTGCATCTAGTGAGATAATCATGTGGTTTTTGTTTTTGGTTTGGTTTATATGCTGGATTACGTTTATTGATGTTGAACCAGACTTGCATCCCAGGGATGAAGCCCACTTGATCATGGTGGATAAGCTTTTTGATGTGCTGCTGGATTTGGTTTGCCAGTATTTTATTGAGGATTTCTGCATCAATGTTCATCAGGGATATCGGTCTAAAATTCCCTCTTTTTCTATTGATTGGAATAGTTTCAGAAGGAATGGTTCCAGCTCCTCCTTGTATCTCTGGTAGAATTCGGCTGTGAATCTGTCTGGTCCTGGACTTTTTTTGGTTGGTAGGCTATTAATTATTGCCTCCATTTCAGAGCCTGTTATTGGTCTATTCAGGGATTCAACTTCTTCCCTGTTTAGTCTTGGGAGGTGTATGTGTCCAGGAATTTATCCATTTCTTCTAGATTTTCTATTTTATTTGCGTAGAGGTGTTTATAGTATTCTCTGATGGTAGTTTGTATCTCTGTGGGATCAGTGGTGATATCCCTTTTATCAGTTTTTTATTGCATCTATTTGATTCTTCTCTCTTTTCTTATTAGTCTTGCTAGTGGTCTATCAATTTTGTTGATCTTTTCAAAAAATCAGCTCCTGGATTCACTGATTTTTTGAAGGGTTTTTTGTGTCTCTATCTCCTTTAGTTCTGCTCTGATCTTAGTTATTTCTTGCCTTCTGCTAGCTTTTGAAAGTGTTTGCTCTTGCTTCTCTAGTTCTTTTAATTGTGATGTTAGGGTGTCAATTTTTCCTGCTTTCTCTTGTGGGCATTTAGTGCTATAAATTTCCCTCTACACACTGCTTTAAATGTGTCGCAGAGATTCTGGTATGTTGTGTCTTTGTTCTCGTTGGTTTCAAAGAACATCTTTATTTCTGCCTTCATTTCGTTATGTACCCAGTAGTCATTCAGGAGCAGGTTGTTCAGTTTCCATGTAGTTGAGTGGTTTTGAGTGAGTTTCTTAATCCTGAGTTCTAGTTTGATTGCACTGTGGTCTGAGAGACAGTTTGTTATAATTTCTGTTCTTTTGCATTTGCTGAGGAGTGCTTCACTTCCAACTATGTGGTCAATTTTGGAATAAGTGCAATGTGGTGCTTAGAAGAATATATATTCTGTTGATTGGGGTGGAGAGTTCTTTAGATGTCTATTAGGTCTGCTTGGTGCAGAGCTGAGTTCAATTACTGTATATCCTTGTTAATTTTCTGTCTCATTGGTCTGTCTAGTGTTGACAGTGGGGTGTTAAAGTCTCCCATTATTATTATGTGGGAGCCTAAGTCTCTTTGTAGGTCTCTAAGGACTTGCTTTATGAATCTGGGTGCTCCTGTATTAGGTGCATATATGTTTAGGATAGTTAGCTCTTCTTGTTGAATTGATCCCTTTACTATTATTAACGGTCTTCTTTGTCTCTTTTGATCTTTGTTGGTTTAAAGTCTGTTTTATCAGAGACTAGGATTGCAACCCCTGCCTTTTTTTGTTTTCCATTTGCTTGGTAGATCTTTCTCCATCCCTGTATTTTGAGCCTATGCGTATCTCTGCACATGAGATGGGTCTCCTGAATACAGCACACTGATGGGTTTTGACTCTATCCAATTTGCCAGTCTGTGTCTTTTAACTGGAGCATTTAGCCCATTTACATTTAAGGTTAATATTGTTATGTGTGAATTTGATCCTGTCATTATGATATTAGCTGGTTATTTTGCTCGTTAGTTGATGCAGTTTCTTCCTAGCATCGATGGTCTTTACAATTTGGCATGTTTTTGCAGTGGCTGGTACCGGTTTTTCCTTTCCATGTTTAGTGCTTCCTTCAGAAGCTCTTTTAGGGCAGGCCTGGTGGTGACAAAATCTCTCAGCATTTGCTTGTCTGTAAAGGATTTTATTTCTCCTTCACTTATGAAGCTTAGTTTCTTATAAAAAGAAAAAGTTGTGTAAATACTAGAGAAAAGTAATTATTGAAAATCACAGGCAGTGGTGTGCCTTTTAAGAACTCCTGAGAAGAAATCTCCATTGGTGATTTACCATAAGATGAAGAGCAATAATATCTTAGAAAATTATACTTGTTGCTCATGCAAATAATTTAAGACAATATGAAGTGGAAAAACACAGCAATAGGGTAAATATCAGATAGATAAGAGTTGTGAACTATTAACTTCAAATTATTAAAAATGAAGTTGAAGGGAGTTCAAGTTGACAAAACTGTTTTCAAATTCTGATATGGAAGAGTGAACTGTGGAAACAGAATTTCGTGATTTTCAGGGTTTTTTTTGTAAGTTCCCCTGAAACTTATTTGAGAAACATGTGGAGCAGCAGTTTAGAAAAAAGAGAAAACATACTTCCAAGTTGTTCACCTTCTCTAAAAAAAAAGAAAAACTTACATTCCACAAGTGTCTATTTGGCAACATAGAAAGAAGTCAGGTTTTTAAAAATTATGTTTTAATCATTTTAATTATGCAATAGTATTACCTTTTCTTCAGGAAGTTGAGATGGTATTGTATTTCTTCTTTTTCTTTAATACTGTTACTCAAAATTGTCCTAGAAAAGAAAAAAAGATGGAATAAATAGTAGTCTGATGCACAAATCATATACTCTTTGTACTTTTTCTCTCTGATTTCTCTCAAGTACCCCTCCCCACTAGCCAGGCAAAATCAATCACTTTTCCTTTCATATTAAAGACACTTTAAACAGAAGTACAATGAAAAAATTCTTCTTATATATATATTTTGCCACACTGTATTGTAATAAGTTACATGCCTGGCTCTTCTGATAGAATTTGCTCCACAATGGCAGAATTCTGTCTTATTTTCTCTGTATCCCCTCCAGTGTGGTAGCTTCTATGTAAAGTGTCACTTTGAACTCAACTTCTTCCTAAAGAATCTCTATTGACAAAAATTAAAATTTTATTGATAGCAAGTCAGGCCACAAACACTTGCTTTTATTTCACCGATGGAATTTCAGGTTTCTAAAATTAACAAAGACTTTTCTGCTGAAGGCAAATACCGTCACATTAATTTTATCTGCTTCCGAAATAGAAATATACTCTATTACCTTAAAATAGATAGCAATATTTAAAAGAATAATATCCATAGGAAACACCTAAATGGGAACCAAAAGAATGAAATGGAACAATTTTATACTCACATTATTACTGATTCCATCATAGTTTGCAAATGGTCTCTGGTACTCTTTGACAGAGGTTGCCAGGTTTTTCTCTTGCTGGCTGCTGTCTTTCCGTGTTTTAGGTTAGTGTGCTTTGTTTGTCCTGTCGTTAGTAATAGAAGAGGCTCTGATCAATCTAGATGTTTTACATGTTTTTGCTTAAAAATGGAATGTTTTCATCTAAAAAAGCTTATGAAATTATCAGAACAAAATATTATAAAGCTGTATAAACTGTTTAATTTACTTTTTATCACACAGCTGTAACATCCCAGGTGTTGAATATGAATATGCTTTCTATTGATAAGTTAACAGAAATACTACCAAGTGATAATAGAAATAATTTTAAATGAAGAATCAAACTTTAATTATGAAAAGTTTCATTCTCAGAAATGGCCTAAATTCTTTAAACATTTCATTGAGAGGACCAGGAAACTATTTTCCAAATGTTGGATGGCAACTGGAACAAAACAGACTAATCAAACCACAAATAGATAGTGTCAACTATGCTGTTGGTACTGTTCTACTTATTAGGTATTAAAAAAAAGAAGAAATAGTACTGGATCTCATGAAAATGAGTGTTGGAGAGAAGGGATATTGAACAAATTATAGGTGTGCAAAGCATACAAAAGGAAAAAAAAGTATTGTACACTATGGCAGTATAAAACCAGAGGACCTAACCTAGTGTTGGCTGAGGAGACGTAGAGAATCCTTCCATGAAACAGTGATGTTTAAGCAAAGGCAACTACTCTAAACTAGTTTACTCCAAACAAACTTATAATAATGGTTCCAAACTAATCTATACAGAACAGAAAGCATATTTGTCTTGAAGAAAAATTAGTACATTTGTATTTATATCACAGATCACTAATAATTCAGGCTGTGGGCCACTTTGAGTTTCTCTATTTCCTATCAACTCAGTGGCATTGAAGCCTCTACAGTATTTCGTCAGAGGTGCTAAGTAAAATTTCAGTTGACCAAAATAACTAACCACTACTACATATTCTTACAAAAATGCAAATGTAGTTGTTTATTACTATCTTTTGCAGAACTCATAAACAAGATGCTGAACATTTTTTCACGAATGTAGATATAGCTTGATATAGAAGCAGGTTAAACAAGGTAATAGAAAAGAAATACCTTCAGAAGACAGATCTTTCAGATGATTTTTATTTTTTTTCACTGTGTTTCTAACCTAGAGGGAAAAACACATGCATAAACATAAACAGAATTAAACATCAGATAAAAGGATCCTGCTTTTACAATAGATTTTTATATATGTCAAAGAGTATTCATATAATTTCTAGTACATAGAAAAAATGTATGTTGCTACTTCTAAAGAAAAATGGTGTATATTTATCACAGAGAGGACATACTAAAGCAATTCTTGACAATGATGATAATAACAGAATTTTATACAGTGTCAAAGAATGTTTTAAATGAATTATTACTCACTTTGCCTAAGAAATAATGTTATATACAAATATAGGCATTGCCTAATGAGTAGGGTAAAACCTGAAACTTTTTTTTTTTTTTTTTTTTTTTTGAGACGGAGTCTCACTCTTTTTGCCCAGGCTGGAGTGCAGTGGCACAAACTCGGTTCACTGCAACCTCTGCCTCCCGGGTTCAAGCAATTCTGCTGCTTCAACCTCCTCCCGAGTAGCTGAGATTACAGGTGTGCACCACCACGCCTGGCTAATTTTTTGTATTTTTTTTTTTGTTTTTTTTAAGTAGAGACGGGGTTTCATCATGTTAGCCAGGATGGTTTCGATCTCCTGACCTCGTGATCCACCCACCTCGGCCTCCCAAAGTGCTGGGATTACAGGCATGAGCCATAGTGCTTGGCCACAGTTGAAGATTTCTAAATGAGAAACTTGATATTTTCATTACCTTATTCTCTGACAACACAACTTCCTCATTATCCTTTTTTCTCTTTGGATTTCTTTTTAACTGTTGAGCGTTTTTCTTGGAAGCATTTGCTTTACCAGACATCTTGATCTAAACACAGTGCTTCGAAAAAAAAAAAAATCTGTAAAGATGAAAATAATACAAAAAAAGCTAAAGCCTTGCACAATGTTTTGTTTAAAAAACTATCCTGTAAATGTTCCACATTCTCTTTTTTTTTTTTTTTAAAGAAAAATCATAATAAAAGTTTGGGGATAGTATTGTATGCTTTTAAACAAGCATTTTTTAAAAGAAATAATTTTCACTCTTATCAGAATAAGGATATCTAATTCAATTTCATTCCTAGAAATTAACTTCCGTTTGTATGGATTTTAGAAAATCATTTAAAAATGCTTTTGTATCTCTTATTTTATACTCTATCGTATGATAACATCCTCTCCATGTTTAAGTCCAAGGAAATAGAAATATAAAGTAGTCACAGATAATGTCAGTTCAAGGAGTAAAGCCTAGGTCTTGTTATTTTAAGTAATAAATTTACCATTACCCAATTTTTGCCAAAAATGGAAGGAGACACTTTTTAGGATTATACCATCAATCTATGTGGAAATTCATGTGTTAGTCTGACACTATTAAGAATTTAAACTGCAATCCTATCTGGGCTATGTGCATTTTAACAAGAGTACAGAAATGTACTGAATACCCTGCCCTCCCACAAATTACAAAACAGACATGGGATTGGAAATGGGGATGTTGATAAAATTTAGAGTAATTTTCCCTCTTTTATTACCAAACTAATTTCTGATAAAAGGAACAGAAGAATGAAATACTTATTCTTGCATTACACCATAAGAAGTGGATAGAAGTTAGGTGCAGTATACAAGGAAATATGTATATGCACATATTAGCTATATATGCCTAGAAAATATATATATACACATATAAACATATACACATATTAGCCATAGCTAGATATACAGATAAATTATTCATCATTTATTTTCTAAACATTCAGAATTATTATACTGATACAGTTTAAATATATGTGCAGATTTAGAGAAAGACAATGATAAATCTATCCTCTCAAACGTTAAAAGCTTCAAACTCCCCTCCACACAAGACTGGAAAAAAAATTGGGAAAGAATTAACAGAAAGATCACAAACTACATTTAGCAACCACATATCACACCAGTTACAAAAAGCAGTGGAAGTCAAAATATCACTTTACCCTGCTCTTGAACAATGTGATACCTTACCAAACACTCATTCTCTATCTTGTGTTCAATTTCTAAAATGCCTAATTACCTCAACTTTACATCTACACCCTTATACTTCCCCTACTTAAAAACCCATCCACATGACAGAATTTCACTTGTAGATCTCTCCTGGAAGGGCTGACATGTACAATAGTTCAAGTTGTTCACTGAATAAGAGCATCCAGGTGAAGGGACAAGTAACAGCTGAGATTTTAGATTAAAAATGGTACACATTCCTTCTCATGATTGTTAATGAGCAGTAAGGTCTATGTTCCCTTGTCTTAAATCTTGGCAGACTCTGAAGCTGTTTGAGCAGTAGAATATAGTAGAAGTGATTCTGTTCTAGCTTACTGGCTTAGACATGAAGAGACTGGCAACTTTGACTTCTTCTTGCTTAGAAACACTTGCTTTTTTTTTAAGAAGTCTTGCACTGTCGCTTGGGCTGGAGTGCAGTGGTGCGATCTCGGCTCACTGCTGCAACCTCTGCCTCCCAGGTTTAAGCGATTCTCCTGCCTCAGCCTTCCAAGTAGCTGGGACTACAGGCACCCCCCACCACGCCCAGCTAATTTTCTGTATTTTTAGTAGAGACGGGGTTTCACCATGTTGTTCAGGCCGGTCTCGAACTCCTGACCTCAAGTGATCCTCCTGCCTCGGTCTCCCAAAGCGCTGAGATTACAGGCGTGAGCCACTGAGCCCGGCCAACACTTGCTCTTATAACCCAGCCACCACCATAGGAGGAAGGCCAACACCGAGAGGAACTGAAACCCCAGGAAAGTCTTAGCTGAGCTCCCAGCCAAGAGCCAGCACCAACTGGCCAGTCTGGTACATGTACCTAAGTCAATATGCTGCAGCCCACACTGTGTGGACAAGACATGAGCAAGCCCTGCCTAGTCCCTCCCAATCCCAAATTTTGGAACAAATTAATTGAGTAAAAAATTTACCCCAATACGTTCTGTGTAACATTCAAACTCTTTACCATGCCATTTTTAGTCCTTACCAACCTAACTCTGCCTACCTTTTCATACTTCTCTCCTACTACTCCTTAATCAAATCTCCCTCTCTAGCTAGATTTGATGATTTCCTGAACACACTTTGAGTAATTCTGCCTCCCAAACATACACTGTACCTTCTACCTGAGCAGCTCTCTTCTGTCTCTGCCCACCCTCTCAGATCATGAGCCACCTTCTTTTCAAAATCTTCCTAACTATTCTACTTCATTTCTCTCTAAGTCTGTGGCTCTTTTGCTCTGTCTCATTTGGTACTTATTTATAGCTTGGGTCCATTAATCATTTTCTTCTTGATATTCTTTATTAAAATAACATGTAATTTAGCGCTACTCCAAATCTCATTCAAACTGTTTGCCATAATCAAGTGTGGAAATTGAAGGTAATCATTTAGAAACTTTTGTAGCAATTTGATAGAGTAATTTTATGCACATTGAACCTTATCATAAAATAATTAGCCTTGTCTTTGCCATATCATTTTCTAGTAATTAGTATTTTTTTAAAAAAGACTTTTTTCAGAACAGTTTTAGGTTTACAGAAAATTGAGCAAAACATACAGAAACTTCTTATATAATCCCTGCCCTTCCCCATTCCCTGCAACCTCTAGTATTAACATCACACACCAAACTGGTACATTTGCTGTAATTGTTGACACATCATATTACCCAAAATCCATTGTTTACATCAGAGTTCACTCCTGGTATTATACCACAAGGGAGTTTGACTAATAATTGATTTTTAATTGCATTTTACAAAAGTATCAGTTATGACTGATTAGAAATAAAAAGCAAAACTGGTCTAACAGAGTTTGAGAAGTACTGTTAACAATGAAACCTACTTGAGGCACTAGACTATAGCACAAAGTTTCTCAACCTCAGCACTATTAACATTTTAGATGGATCATTCTTTGTTGTGGAGACTGTGGTGTGTATTGTAGGATGTTTAGCAGCATGCTTGGGTCTACGTAGACCGTCAGATGCTAGAATACTTCCAACCCCTGAGTAGAGCCAATCAAAATTGTTTCCAGACATTGCCAAATGTCTCCTGGGTCAAAATC
The DNA here is from genome assembly GCF_000001405.40 of Homo sapiens. Taxonomy (NCBI): domain Eukaryota; kingdom Metazoa; phylum Chordata; class Mammalia; order Primates; family Hominidae; genus Homo; species Homo sapiens. The sequence goes on along the minus strand of NC_000006.12, from coordinate 49,466,949 downwards.
AACCCAGGTTGAGAACACTACCATAATGGTTAAGAGCAGTCCTGCAACGAGGGTAAATTGTTCAAGCTCCAAATCTAGCCCTGCCACTTAATTAACTGTATATCTTTGGGCCAGTAAATTAACTCATTTTCCCCATTAGTAAAACGATTAATAAAAGTACTAACATTAAAGGCTTTTGTAAAGCAAAAATGATGTAACAAAGAATATATAAACCACCTAGAACGGTATTTGAGACATAGTAAGAATCCAATAAACAAAAGACATTGTTTCTATCACTTCTGGGCTACTCACAGTGCATATAAAAATGAATAGGTATTTTGTCCCATTCTTAGATCCAAGGGAAACCACAGCTTAGTGATAGTGCACAGGTAGAGACAGATATGAAAATAATTACTATGTGTATTTATAAATGTTATAAAGAGGCAAGTGAGCGAATGACTGTCTTAAACTGGTTTGTGCTATGGGTAAGAATGTACAGGCATAACTCTTTTTATTGTGTTTCACTTTATTGAGCCTCGCAGACACTGTATTTTGTTGTTGTTGTCTTACAAACTAAAGGTTTGTGGCAAGCCTGCACTGAACAACTATATTGATGCCATTTTTCCAACAGATTGTGCTCACTCTTCACATTTCTGTGTCATATTTTGATAACTCTCACAATATTTCAAACCTTTTCATTATTATATCTGTTATGGTGATTGATGTTACTCTGTAATTGTTTTAGGGCACCATGAACCATGCCAATATCAGACAGAGAACTTAATAGGTAAATGTTGCGTTGTGTTTTGACTGCTCCACCAACTGGCTGTTCCCTGCCTCTCTCCCTCTCCTTAGGCCTCCCTATTCCCTGAGACACAATGATATTGAAATTAGGCCATTTAATAACCCTACAATGGCCTCTAAGTGTTCAAGTGAAAGCAAAAATCACACCTCTCTCACTTTAAATTAAAAGCTAGAAATGTTTAAGCAAGGTGAGGTAGGCATGTCAAAAGCCAAGATAGGCTGGAAACTACACCAGTTAGCCAAGCTGTGAATGCAAAGGAAAAGTTCTTGAAGGAAATTTAAAGTGCTATTCCAGTGAAGACATGAATGATAAGAAAGCAAAAACAGCCTTATTACTGATAGGGAGAAAGTTTGAGTGGTCCGGGATTGAAGATCAAACTAGCCACAACACGCCCTTAAACCAAAGACGAATTCATGGCAAGGTCTTAACTCACTTCAATTCTATGAAAGCTGAGAGAGGTGAGAAAGCTGTAGCAAAAGAGCCTGAAGCTAGCAGAGCTTGGTTCCTGAGGTTTAAGGAAGTAAGCTATCTGCATAACATGAAAGTACAAAGTGAAGCAGCAAGTGCTGATGCAGAAGCTGCAGCAAGTTATCCAGTTCTAGGTAAGATAATTGATGAAGGGGCTACACTAAACAACAGATTTTCAATGAAGACAAAACAGCCTTCTATTGGAAGATGCTATCTAGGACTTTCATATCTAGAAAGAAGTCATTGCCTGGCTTCAAAGCTTCAAAAGACAGGCTGACTCTCTTGTAGGGGCTAATATGGGTGGTGACTTGAAGCCAATGCTCATTGACCATTCTGAAATATCCTAGGGCTCTTATTCTTTTAAATCTACTCTGTCTGTGCTCTGGAAATGGAAGAACAAAGCATGAGTGACAGCACATCTGTTTACAGCACGGTTTACTGAGTATTTTAAGCCCATCTTTGAGACCTACAGCTCACAAAAAGATTCCTTTCAAAATAATACTGCTCAATGACCACGTACTTGGTCACCCAAGAGCTCTGATAGAGATGTACAAGGAGATTAATGCTGTTTTCATGTCTGCTAACACAACATCCATTCTGCAGCCCATGAATCAAAGAATAATTTTGACTTTCAAGTTATATTATTTAAGAAATACATTTTGTAAAGCTATAGCTGCCCTAGACAGTGATTCCTCTGATGGATCTGGGCAAAATAAATTGAAAACTTCTGGAAATGATTCACCATCCCAAATGCTAGTAAGAACATTCATGATTCACGGGAGGAGGTCAAAATATCAACATTAACAGGAGTCTGGAAAAAGTTGATTCCAACCCTCATGGATGACTTTGTAAAGGTCATGACTTTGTTCAAGACTTCAGTGGAGGAAGTGATGAAAGATCTGGTGGCAATAGCAAGAGAAATAGTGGAGCCTGAAGATGTACCTGAATTGCTGCAATCTCATGATAAAACTAGTGGAAAAGAAGTTGCTTCTTATGAATGAGCGAAGTTCTTGAGATGGAATCTACCCCTGGTGAAGATGCTGTGAATATTCTTGAAATATCAACAAAGAATTCAGAATATCACAAAACCTTAGTTGCTAAAGCAATGGTAGGGGTTAAGAGGATTTACTCTAATTTTGAAAGAAGTTCTACAGTGGGTAAAATGCTTTCAAACAGCATCACATGCTACAGAGAAATCTTTAGTGAATGGAAGAGTCAACTGCTGTACAAAATTCATTATTTTGTTATTTTAAGAAACTGCCACAGCAACTCCAATCTTCAGCAACCATCACCCTGATTGGTCAACAGCCATCAACATCAAGCAAGACCCTCCACCAGCAAAAAGATTAGGACTTGCTGAAGGCTGAGATGATTAGTAGCATTTTTTAGCAATAAAATATTTTAAAATTACAGCATGTAATTTTTTTTTACACATAATGCTATTGCACACTTAATAGGTTACAATACAGTGTAAATACAACTGTTATATGCACTGGGAAACCAAAAAAATCGTGTGACAGGCTTTATTGGTCTGGAACCGACCCCGCAATATCTCGGAAGTATGTTTGTACATTATTCATAGAAAAAGTATTATTCTAATAACATTTTGAAATATTTAGCCAAAAAGTAGAAAAATGAAGCATCCAAGGGAAAACAGTAAAACTCGGACGGCAGGAAAGCTCGGAAAAAACACAAAAAACCTGGCGTGTTCAGGGACAGGATAATCCAGCGAGGCTTTTAATGTGTATAGGAGAAGTGAAAAGAAATAAGGCTGGTACAGTAGTTTGCCGCCAGACTATATGCTTTAGGAGAGAGGGAGGCATTCTAGGTTGTCTTGTTTTTCTTACCAGCTTGTTGATACTCATGGGACTCAATTACCTCAATTTAGACCTCTATGTGGGCACAAGAGTGAGTAGGACTCCTGGAGAAACACAGACACTAATGTCCAAGGCTGCACTTGACTTCACTAGTGCCCGCGGGAGAAATTTAGCAATGAGGATGAGCCATGAGGATGATTCGGGAGAAATAGGAAGTATTCATGGCTTTGCTCCCTCCCCCCTAATCAAACATCTCAATCTCAGGATCCTAAGGGCAGATCTTTTAGGACATCGGGCATTTCCCCGTAAGCAATCCCCCCTCGCTATCCTCAAATGCAAACTGCGGAGTCTGCCACAAACGCGTTGGCTTTAAAACTCATCCCTGAACTTTAGATCCACCCAGCCGGTTAAGGATATCACGACTCACCACTGATTCTTCTTGCACCCTTCTGAGAGCCGCGCTTAGAGTAATTCGCGCCCAAACATTCGTAAACAGAGGAGACCCGGAAGTGGGTGGGAAGAAAGCGGAAACGGGCATCTAACCCTACCCCTAAACGTCATCAGGAATGCGCCCATGAGAGCGCTATTAGATTGGCTGGAGGGAGGGCGGTGTCGGCCTACGCCCCCAGAGTCGTCCGGCTGACGCTGGCGGTGGCGCGGTTTGTGTGGGCTTGGTGAGGGCGGGGAGGCCTGGCTGTGTGGATGTCTGACAGGTGAGGCGGGGGACGCAGAAGTGCAGCCGCCCTCTCCCACAGCGGAGTCCAAAACAGGCCTACCAGTGAGTAGGACGTACACCTTTCAGATCGCTCCATTCTTCTGGCTCCTGTCCCTCCTCTACCCCTGTATTTTGAACTTTTGTCCTTTCTCTCCCGCTCTGTCCTTTACTTCTGTCTTCTTTACCTTCCTACTGTGACGGGATCCCACTCTCTGCCTTCTCCTTAGGTTTAGATTTTCACTTCGACCAACCTCTAGTTTTGGGCGAAGTCCCTGGCAATTCGGAGGTACTTCTGGAAAGAAGGTGCTTTTAATACTTTAGGGGCCATGTCGGTATCTTCTTTGGCCACTTAAGCACCCTGAACTGTTCCCGTTGGCAGAGGTCACTTTTTGTATGGTTCCAAAGGGATGCGCCTGCTTCATGGCTGCCTCCCTTCTAGGTTGTGGGTTATGTTATTGTCAGGGTTTTTCTAAGAGTTTTCGGGAATAAAAGTGATTTTCTGTGTGTAAACAGGATTAAGAGTGTAAACAGTGTTAAGAGTGAGAGGTAGAATAGAAAAGACAGGTCTAAATTGACATAAAAGCTTACATTACTAACTCGTTCTCAGTTTTATCTAGAAAGAAGGTGGTCTTAGGGAAGCTCGAAGCCCTGGATAACGTATGTGTGTAAAGTTTTAAACCACTTGATGATTTTCTGCCAATATAATTTTGTGTTTAATGATGTACTTATGCTAATATCAAATATAATTTTCATGCCCTATGTTTCCATCTCCAAACCCAACTAGTTGAACATCAAAGTACCTTCTTGAAGTATTAATGTGCAATCATACGTCAGCAGCCAAAGCTTGAAACTTATTGGTTCAAGAAATCTTTTTCTCACTGATTTGTTTTTGAGGTGTGGGGGTGGGATTAATCATTGCTCTTTAACTCATTTTAGTTGTCAGTAACATATTTGCTTTGCATGTTGCTTCTTTGAATGCTTGAGGCCTCTCTTGATGGTCTTCTGAGAAAATTCAGAGGTCGTATTGCCATCCGCAGTAGTTGTGTTTTTATCTAAAAATGGTGTCTGTTTCCAGCCTCCACCAATTCACATGTGATTTTCAGGAAGTCACTTAAACGGGGCTCTTTCCTATTAGTTGTTCAGATTTAGGAAAGCCCACGTGAAATGAGTGTGATATTTCCTGCCAACAGTTTAGTCTCAGGTGGTTTTCAAATTACCTTTTACAGGATTACTATTGAAACAGTTTAGTTGTTGCTTCATTATTTTTTTCATCCACCTTTTAAGCTAGTAAATGTAGTGGATGGCTTGCAAAAAGATGGATGACAAGGACCCCATGGATTTAAAGAATAAAAATCGTGCTAGTATTAAAAAAATGGAAGGTTTTTTTGTTTTGTTTTGAGACGGGGTCTCTCTCTGTTGCCCAGGTTGGAGTGCAGTGGCACGATCTCTGCTCACTGCAACCTCTGCTTCCCGGGTTGAAGTGATTCTCATGCCTCAGCCTCCTGAGTACCTGGGATTACTGGTGTGCGCCACCATGCCCAGCTAATTTTTGTATTTTTAGTAGAGACTGGGTTTCACCGTGTTGGCCAGGCTGGTCTTGAACCCCTGACCTCAGGTGATCCACCTGCCTCGGCCTCCTGAAGTGCTGGGATTCCAGGCGTGAACCACCATGCCCAGCCTTTTTTGTTATGTTTCCATTTAGACTTTGTTCTATGTACTTTTTACATAGTTGAACCTGTTGCACTTACAATTACGTGTCTTGAGTCTTTTACTTACTACTTTTTGAGTTTGTTTCTCTTTTTTTGGGAAACTATGCATAACACATTTTTAACTTTTTACTTATACATATATTTACAGAAACTGCATAAAACATAACTGTATAATTTGATGAATTTCCACAAACAGAATATATCTATGTAAGTGGCAATCAGATCAAGACCATTACCCCCAAAAGCCCCTCTCTTGCTCCTGTTGTATTCTAGCAACCATTAAGTAACCATTCTTCTGACTTCTGACATCAAAGATTAGTTTTGCCAGCTTTCTAAACATATTTTGATAACTACATGAAATTCTATCATTTGTATATGCTGTAATTCACTTATTCATATGTTATGAGATACTTACGATTTTCCTAAGTTTTCTCTATTACAAATAAAACTATAGGAAACATCTATTTTATATATTACTACAGAAGCTTTCCCAGGAGTAATGTTCCTCAGTGGAATGGCATAAACATTTCTGAAGCATTTCATGTATATTGACAATTTACTTTCCAAAGTAGTTAAAATAGTTAATACTGTCACCAGTGGTTTATGTCTCTTGTTTAACGACCCCATAATAAGTGTTGAGTATTGATTTCATTTAAGCTTTACTAAACTGATAGGTAAGAAGTGGTATGGAAAATAAAATTTGAAACTCCCTTTACTTGTTGCCTTATCCAGTATAAAACACATAGTATAGTGAATATATTAATGTTTGCATCTCAATATCTTTTTAAACAATGGGCTCTATATGTTTACGCTGTATGACTCTGACAAGTTTTAGTAATTCAGGTAAACAGTTTACGGCTTTGTGAGGTGGGATTTTGATCAAGCGACTTTATTTCTCTGAGCCTCAGTTTCTACATCTGGAAAATGATGACGCTGAACCCAGCAACCTAGTATAAAAGTCTATGCTAGTTATCCGGAATATGCAGCTCTAATGTTGGAGCAGTTTATAAACTAGCACAGAAGTAGATTATTGAAGAGGCCATTTAGCTCACCTTATGGGTTCTGGGATGAATTGTGTGCATATTAGTTAAATGCAAGGACTTTGAAACAGGCTGCATAGGTTCCAATCAATGCTGGCTCTTCTGTGCCTCAGTTTCCTAATCTGTAAAATAAGGATAATAATAGTACCTACCTCTTAGGGGTATTGTAAAGATTAAAATTGCTACTCTCTGTGATGTCTTTATAGCCTTCTATGTTACTGGCACATAGAAACGCTGCAAATTGGAGATAATGCCTTAGCTGAATTAGCCAGAGAAGAACATTTTAGGCAGAAGGAAGAGCAAGAGCAAATTCAGAAAACTTTGACATATGTGCAGCCAACTGTAGGTAATCCAGTATTTCTAGTGCACAAAATGCATAAAGAGGACAAAGACAGAGATGGGTCTGAGGGGGAAACAGAGACCAGTTCATGAAGGCCTTGAATGCCTGTTTGTCTTATTCATCACTTTTTTCTCTATTACCCAACATAATGTCGGTCATAAACTGATATTTAATAAAAGCACTTTGAATGAAAAAATTAATTAGGAGGCTGTAGTATATCTTCCACATGATACAGAGTCTTTGAAAAATTCCATGAGGAGTGTGACATAGTCATATTTACATTGATGTCATTGTATGGAAGGGATTCGTATAGAATGGAGTAGAAAAGGAGTAAGACTGGTCAGTAAGACCAGCTAAGAGGCTACTGAGGAAAAAGACTGAAACTACAGGACTGATAGTAATTGTGAAGAAGAGGGGCCAAAGTTATAAAATATCAGGTGCAGGAAGCAGAAAAGGGGAAGAAATGAAATCAGACTAATACATCCTCTTTCTTTTCTGTTCCTTTCTTATGAGTAGCTCCTATTTCCCACCCCCTCTTCTAAATGTTTTTACTCTATGTTTCTTTTTCTAGGTCAGTTCTTATTTCTATTGGGTGTTTCCATGCTCCACCATGTTAAGAGCTAAGAATCAGCTTTTTTTACTTTCACCTCATTACCTGAGGCAGGTAAAAGAATCATCAGGCTCCAGGCTCATACAGCAACGACTTCTACACCAGCAACAGCCCCTTCACCCAGAATGGGCTGCCCTGGCTAAAAAGCAGCTGAAAGGCAAAAACCCAGAAGACCTAATATGGCACACCCCGGAAGGGATCTCTATAAAACCCTTGTATTCCAAGAGAGATACTATGGACTTACCTGAAGAACTTCCAGGAGTGAAGCCATTCACACGTGGACCATATCCTACCATGTATACCTTTAGGCCCTGGACCATCCGCCAGTATGCTGGTTTTAGTACTGTGGAAGAAAGCAATAAGTTCTATAAGGACAACATTAAGGGTGAGATTTTAATGTAAGACATAATATTTATGATAAGTCATATGCCTCCTAGTTTTTTATTTTTTGGGGGTTAATCTCTGTAAAGATGATATTCACTCTATAATTTTGTAGTTAAAGACTATACTCTGAAAAAAGTGGATTTTTTTAACTTCTGTGGTCAAAAAGATAAGTGAATTAGAATAAGGTGCTAAATTTTTGAAAGAAAACAACACATGCACGTTGTTTAAAAGGAATTAGGTGAGGTAAAGTTGCATGAAGAAAAGAAGACATTAGCTTTGCCTTCGAAAAATGTTCAATTAACATTGTTGGGATAGCGATTGGAGAGGAAGATAGTTTAGATGATGCCCAAAGAAAGTGTAAATGTGATAACGTGGTACAAACATATTCAGTGCAACCTGGCATTCATTCACTGAAAATTATCTTAACTATTATTTCTTCTTTCTGAGCTGTAATAAAATTGTACTGTTTGAATACTAAACTTGTAGATTTATAAGTTTGTATTGCCCATGGAAGGTTGAACTTACATTTAGTATAGACTATTTTAGTTATTTAAAAATTTTGTACGATGGTCATAATTCTGTTTTCCAGAATATTTGAATAGCCAGGAATCCTTTGTGACCATATTAGATAAAAGAACAAAATAGTAAGCAAGCATACAAATGCTAAGTTATTTTTGCCATATATGAACAGCCAGATCTTTTCATGAATTTTAGAAATATTTCAATCAAGTACCATATCTTCAGATAGATACGAGATGATTGAGATTTGTTGTTTCTCCCATTCTTTCCTTTAGTGAGGTCTGGAACTAAATTTGTGCATTTTGGCACAAGGGAAACAACTGACTCTCTTAAGAAGTGAAGTATCTTTATTTAAGTTGGTTTTGACATGTATGAGCATAAAAATAGTTGTTATAAAAGTGTACTGTTATGAGATGAATCAACATTTTTAGTAGTGTTAAAAGTAAATCATTTTACCTTGATTCCAGACTCTTGAATCTTACATTATTTTTCTTTATATATTTAGCTGGTCAGCAGGGATTATCAGTTGCCTTTGATCTGGCGACACATCGTGGCTATGATTCAGACAACCCTCGAGTTCGTGGTGATGTTGGAATGGCTGGAGTTGCTATTGACACTGTGGAAGATACCAAAATTCTTTTTGATGGAATTCCTTTAGAAAAAATGTCAGTTTCCATGACTATGAATGGAGCAGTTATTCCAGTTCTTGCAAATTTTATAGTAACTGGAGAAGAACAAGGTGTACCTAAAGAGAAGCTTACTGGTACCATCCAAAATGATATACTAAAGGAATTTATGGTTCGAAATACATACATTTTTCCTCCAGAACCATCCATGAAAATTATTGCTGACATATTTGAATATACAGCAAAGGTATACTTTGTGGTTATTATAGGTTTTTCTATAGTTCCTTGAATGTAGGAATTTTTACAACATGCTATAACTGAATTTAAAAATTTAGTCTGAGTAATATAAATTTAGAATGTTTTGTTATTGTTACTTTTTGTTTTTAATGTACTAATTTTATGTTCTGTCGTTACTTGCAGGAATCTGGGCAACAGATCTTTACTGTGTTTTCTTTATTCCTAAAATTTAACTCTGATAATTGTTAGATTCAGGGAGGTCTTCTACTTACATTTTTAAATTTCCCTCCGAAATTCAGATGCAGTTGTGAAGTAGACACTGGTATCAGACAAATGGGGATTGGAATATCAGCTTTATTTCTGCTAAAAGCTGAATTGGAAGATATCACTTATCACTCATATCTGCAACCTCAAGGAGGTCCCTAATATTCACCCTTGAATTAGGCTCATCTTTCCCAATAAGAATGATGGGAAAAATCCTTCCATAGGGACACATTTTCCTCCTTCATTTTCCTGTGAGCAATTTGTTTATATTTCCCCCCATTATTCACTCTTTGCTTCTTACCAGCAACGTACTCCTTCTCCTTACCTACGTTAAAGTTAGATCATTATTTCATGGCACAGAGAAAATCGTCATCAACCCTTTTTATCTTTATCAACCCTTGTAATTACTGTTATCTCCAAACTCTAGCAAGCATTGTGTAGCAAGCATTTTATGTTTGGTTAACTCTTGGTAAAGATAGTTTTTCTTGGCTGTGCAGGATATGTGTGATGTACTCTACCTAACATGAAATTTTAGGGGAATAGTGGAAATACAGTTTTTGTAGTGATTGTGGTGGAAAGAACCTGTCTGGGATATGCTTAGTATTAAATGTCACAGTAAATCAAACTGAAATCTTTGATTTTTAAAGCCATGCATTTTATCCCATTTTGTTTCAACATATAGTACTAAGAATCAAATCATTTTATTTTTTTTCCTACTGTGTACTTATTCATGTTTGATGCCTTCATTCAAACTAGAAAATTAATAACTAGTAAATAATAATAAATTTATACATCTTAAGCAGATTAACCCAAGGTTTGGGTCTACAACCTCTTATGAGGTCCAAGTCATTGGTTTGGAATTAAAAATGCTTCATTTAGTTCTCAGGCCAAAGGTTACATTCCTAACCTCAGCTAGCTAATTCCACAATTTAAACTTTCAGAATGGTTAGTATAAATTCTTGTCCACCAGAAAAATAAAGTAGGTACAGTCCTGATGATGGTTCATGGACGAACCATTTAAATTGGAAAGCAAATTAAATGTAACAAATAAGCATTAAATATTTTGTTAACATTATGAACTACCAAGTTTATTTGAATTTAACATCATTTTAAAATAATGTTTATGCTTAGAAAGTGGATTTAATAGGACCTTTTAATATTTTTACTTATTCACTGTTACAATTTTTTTTTTTATGTAGCACATGCCAAAATTTAATTCAATTTCAATTAGTGGATACCATATGCAGGAAGCAGGGGCTGATGCCATTCTGGAGCTGGCCTATACTTTAGCAGATGGATTGGAGTACTCTAGAACTGGACTCCAGGCTGGCCTGACAATTGATGAATTTGCACCAAGGTGAGTAAATTAAACCTAGATATTGTTTCAACATTAAGAAATGCATAGGACCATTTTATATATTGATAAAATGAATTTATAAATATAAATGTCAGGCTAGATTTAGATTTTCTTATATTTTATCTGAGTGATAATGAGAGAAAAAGCCAATATTTCTAATAAAAAATAGAATTAAATTTGGCTGTACTTCTTTGTAAATTTGAGGAATATCTTGTCTCCAGCTATTTAGAGAACACAATTAAGTTCCACATTTTAACAAATTACATTAAAATGTAAACATAATGTTGAGACAGTTTTTTCTAATTTTTCCATTTTAGAATACAGAATTCATCTATTATTATTTTTTTTTCTGTTGCACTATCTAATGTAATGTTTTGGGATCCACTGTGCTGTTGAAACATTTGTTTCACAACAGTTTCTTAATAATGTTGTATGAAAAATATGGGAAAACTTAAATGTAGTTTATGAAATATTTAAATTTGGAAGTCGAAAGTCATTCGGTGGTTCAATCAGTACAGCAATCACTTGCTAAGCTTTGCTGTGCCAAACACTAGCCTATATGCTGACAATACAACATGTAGAAAACATAGCTTCTGCCTTTAGTGTTTATAGACTACTGAAATGCTCCTTTGTACCAGGGATTTGTGTACTTACTGTGACAGCAGTTCCCAAAGTGTGGTCTAAGAACAGTTGGGCATTGCTAAGACTCTTTCTGGGGTATTTGAGATCAAAACTGTTTTTATGCTTATGTTAGAGCTTTATTTGCCTTTTTCACTTTCATTTTCTCAAGAATTTATAGTGATGTTTTTCAGAAGCTACACGATATGTGATACTGCAACAGATTGCAGAAACAGATATGAGACTCCAGCTGTTTTCTCTTAAGCCATACATTGAAGAGATTTGCAAAAATGTAAAACAATGATGCTTTTATTATATATATATATATTTTTTTAAGAAGCATACTTATTTTTCATAAGAAATGTTACTAATGTTAACATGTTGTGGGTTTATTTTGATTTGATTTGATGATTATTGAGATAGGATCTTGCTCTGTTGCACATGCTGGAGTGCAATGGCATGATCACTGCTCATTGCAGCCTCAGCCTGCCAGGCTTAAGGGTTCCTCCCACCTCAGGCTCCCAAGTAGCTGTGACTACAGGTGTGTGCCACCATACCTGGCTAAGTTTTAAGTTTTCCTGTAGAGATGGGGTTTCCCTGTGTTGCCTAGCTGGTATCAAACTCCTGGGCTCAAGCTATCCTCCTGCCTTGGCCTCCTAAAGTGCTGAGATTCTAGGCAGTAGCCTCTGTGCCCTTCCTTATTGTTACTTTTGAATGAACTAGTAAATAAAATATTGATAGATATTATACAAATAAAGAAATAAATTCTTTGGAATTTTCAGTAAGTTTTAAGAGTAGAAAGGGAACCTGAGATCAAAATATTTGAAAACTGCTGTGTTAAGAACTTCTTTCAAGGCTGGGTGTGGTGGCTCATGCCTGTAATCCCAGTGCTTCGGGTGACCGAGGCGGACAGATCACATGAGGCCAGGAATTCAAGACCAGTCTGGCCAACATGGCGAAACCCAGTCTCTATTAAAAATACAAAAATTAGCTGGGCATGGTGGTGCTTGTCTGTAATTCCAGCTACTTGGGAGGGTGAGGCACAAGAATCGCTTGAACCTGGGAAGTGGAGGTTGCAGTGACCCGACATTGCTTCATTGCACTCCAGCCTGTGCAATAGAACAAGACTCTGTCTCAAAAAAAGAACTTCCAAAAATGTGTCAGAAGTAGATTTGCAAGCTTTGTGCCTTTAGAGACAGGCAAGTAACCTAAATGTTTAAATCAGCACAGAATATAAGATAAAAGGGAGAGGTGAAGGGCACAAATTGGAGAAGTATATGCCTAGACCAATGCACAATCATTCTTTTACAAAACACTTTTCTGGCTAAACAAAGCAAATTTGCTGTTTTATTTCATTCATAGGTGACTCCTGTCTTACATATTGAGTATTCCTAAAATATACATTTTTTAAATAAATTGAATCTTTATTTAATGAAGGGCATAGGAAGAGATTCTTTCATTAAGAAAACCAATTACAAAGTGAATAATTCTTACCTGAAGCAAAATTTCTTCCATATGCATA